>NC_000012.12:101399521-101702552 GCF_000001405.40 Homo sapiens | reverse complement strand
ACAAAGATAACCTTAAGAAATGGTTTATTCTGTGTTTAAAATATGAGTTATTTAAATAAGTTATTTAAACAGAGAATAAACCATTTCTTAAGGTGTTTCTGGCATGCTCAGGTATACTTACTTTTCAGTTCAACTCTTTATCATCATAAACACAAGAAATGCATTAATTAATGCCCTTTGACCTGACCTTAAGCTAGGCACTTGTCCCTGCCATAAACATATTCTTAATAAAGACACTGACATGGATTTATATGCACAGATCACGAAGACAGGGCAGAAACATTTAATCAGATATGTAATAGAGAATGGAGTAACAGTTTATACCAGTCAAACACAAGTGCATGGAGTTAGTAGGAGAGACTGCTACTAGGCTGGAGTTAGAAGAACTAGATTCAAATCACTGGGTTATCACATATATAAATGTAGGAGTTACATTAAATAATCTCTAAGGTCCTTCCAAACTCTAAGAATCTGTGATTCTATTTTAAGATTAGGTAGCCAAGGAATGGGGGCCAGGGACTACCTACTTAGGGTGATGTTCAGATAGAACTGCTTCATCAAAGTGAGGAGACAAAGTTCTTGTTTTCTCCATTTGCCCTAACACTTGCTTACTCTACTTAAAACTACCAAGGCCAAACAATTGCTAGGTATTTAACCCAAGAACAGCTAAAACTGAATAAGGGTTGAAAAACATCATCTCTTGACATCACATTGTGTTATTTCATTCCTGCAGCCAATAATTTAGAAAACAAACAAATGTTTGTTTTCTAAATAATTGCATCTGTTTGATGCAAAATTATAAGCATCTGTTTGATGTAAAGCACTGTGCTATAGAGATTATACAAATGAACGAGCAATTGCTGTCTGAACTTAAAATCTGGTAAGTTGTCCTGCTCAATAAGGACACAGACAACCAAAATAAAACGGTAAAGATCCACAGGAGAGCTACAAAGCCCTACAAAGGAAGCATAGCTTCTGGCTTGGAATCCTGGCCCCCACTTAAAGGTATGTCACTCTAGAAGAGGTTAATTTTCCTTCAGTTTCCTCATCTATAAAATGATGATACTAATAGTACCTTATTCATAAGGTTGTTGAGAGGAGTCAATGAAAGAATAAAAGTGACTTAAAATCATCCCTGATACACAGTAAAAATCCAGTAAAAGTTAGTTATTGTCATTATCATGGGAATTCAGAGTGGTTGATTTGACTTAGGAAAAGGAAGATAACTTTCATAAGGATATAGTGTTAGAATTGGGTATTGAAAGATGGGTACATAGTTGGATAACTGGTACAGAAGAAAGGAAGAGGAAGGGGAAAAGAGAGGGATAAGAAGGAGAGAAATCCTTGTTATAGTAAGAAGTTCAATTTGGCTGGAGTACAAAGTTCCTTATTGGAAATGATGGCTTGAAAAGCAGTTTGCAGAAGCTAAATATAAATCACAACTTTTTTCTATTAGTTTCCCTTTATCCCCAGTCATGTTCTAGAAATTAGCATCATGCTTAAAAACGTATCAAATGTTATTATTCATGCACTCAGTATTAAAGCCTATATGAGTAGATAAGCCCAAGCATCTAAATCGAAAAACCTTATGTGTTTTTGCTGACTCTTTCTGGAAGCAATCTGTCAAGTCTGAAAAAAACACTAAGAATTCTTAAGTCTGAGAATCAGAAAACAAGTCCCAAGCCAGTTGAAAGTCACTTGACATCTCTGGGCTTCAATTTCCTCTTATGAAAACATATACTACTGTTACTTCAGGATAGATGGATAGAAGAAATACTGAGGTGGTAGGAGGGCCATTGTAGGAAGCGGAAAACTTGCTAACCTCTTTGGCTGATAACAAGACACAAATGCAACCATGGATGTGAAAGCACTTTACATATTTGTATTATGTAAAACATAGGATCTTTTTATTTTTGAAGTCATACCAACTTAGATCTGAATCCTACCTGATCCAGTCATTTGCTAGTTCTATGAACTTAAGAGAAAATAGCCAGAAACTGCTACACTCTTCACACTGTTGCTGGGCTTTCACCAAACAAGCAATGTGGATCCTGTAATGGCGTTTCCCCTCCCTGCATCAGTCACTCAGAAGCATATGAAGGTTCTAGTGACATACATTTCAGAAACTCTTGTTTTTAACTCTCATTTACCCTTCTTGGGCCATTTGATTTTGCACTTTATTTTTAAATGCCTCCAATCCCCACCCTCCACCCTTTTTTTTTTTTTTTTCACATGAGGCTGATCCTAAAAACTAATTAATCATAAACGTACCTCTTCCATCAGGCCTCCCTTTACTTCCCTAGGCAGAAGCTCTTGACTTTTTTGGTAAGCCCTGCTCTTTCTAAGTGTTCAACAAATGCTTCTTAAATTAATAATAACATTGAAGAGTCCACAACTTAACTGGCCAATATCAGAAACATTCAAATGCTGTTAGCTAAATCTGGACCCAATCAAAACTAAATTTTATTATGTGTTTTCAGGATGTTGTCTGATAACAGTAATATTTTTAATGTGTTGAGTGATATTTTTAATTTGTTAGGCACATCGCAATCTTTTACATTTATCTGCATATATATCATTTGGTCCTCACTGCATCCTTGTCAAGTTGTTTTGGCAGGCATTATTTTCTATTGTATCTGTGGGAACACAGACCCAGCAGGTCTGTGGTGGAAGAGCCAGTTAGAAACCAAGACCTCCACTTCCAACCCAGCTATCCTTTCATTCTAACACACTCCCTCTGGTAAATTCTAGAAACAGGCAGCAAAACAGCCAAAAACTAAAGCAGCTTACTTTTTCATATGTAATATGTAAATGAATAGCAATGGCAAATGACAATGGGAATGTCTATTAAGAAATATATAATAAGCCTGGCGCAGTGGCTCACTCCTGTAAATACCAGCACTTTGGGAGGCCGAGGCAGGCGGATCACTTGAGGTCAGGAGTTCGAGACCAGCCTGGCCAATATGGTGAAACCCCGTCTCTACTAAAAATACAAAAATTAGCCGGGCGTGGTGGCAGGCACGTGTAGTCCCAGCTATTCAGGAGGCTGAGGCAAGGGAATCGCTTGAACCCAGGAGGCAGAGGTTGCAGTGAGCCGAGATCACCACATTGCCCTCCAGCCTGGGTGACAGAGCGAGACTCTGTCTCAAAAAAAAAAAAAAGAAAAGAAATACATAATAAGCATACCAATCCATTGACAAGATATTTTAAAATGTAGGCTCGATCAAATTTTTGTTTTTAAAGGATGCATGAGCCTGGCCAACATGGTGAAACCTTGTATCTACTAAAAACACAAAAGTGAGTCGGCCGTGGTGGCACGCGCCTGTAATCCCAGCTACTTGGAAGGCTGAGGCAGAAGAATCGCTTGAACCCTGAAGGCGGAGGTTGCAGTGAGCCGAGATCGAGCCACGGCACGGCACTCCAGCCTGGGTGACAGAGTAAACCCCTGTCTCAAAAACAACAACAAAATGGATGCATGCATGGAGGGCATGAAATATTTCCACTGTATTTCTGTTAATCCAACCTCAACCTCCATGAGTCCTCCACAAGGCCTACACTCAAATGATTATAAAGGGACTTCACTATTTGGAGCAGAGAATAGAAAGTAATGTCACAGAATGTGCAATGTAATATTTATCCCACGTAGTATAAACTATAGATGGGAGTGAACTCCACTCTGCCCCCTATCCCTCCACACTCAGCCCAAAGGGTGCTTCTGATGAACAGCTATCCAAAGCCTATATTTACTCCTTATTTTGTACAAAGGTCAAATGTAATTATTGCTAATAAAATGTTGGGGTTTTTTTAATCCCTAGGTTGTGATGACAAAAAAATTATTGCCTTGATAACATTCCAGTTTGTTTTTCTTGAAAAAGTCGATGAAGCAAAGAGGAAGTTACCTCTTAACTCATCTTTGATCAGTGCTACCGGTCATTTCAAGATCACTAGCTCAACCTTCCAGAAACGAACGGTTACGAAAGTATTCAAAGGGCGTCTCGGGCTTGGCACAAGTCCCTGTGCCAGGCAGGACGGAGATGGGGGTGTTCAGTCCCCAGTGTGCAAAGCACCCGACCGCGGGTCCGTCTCACAGGTTGGCGCCGCATGGGATAGCGGCTGGGCAGGCGCCCTCCGGCCCGTCCGCGGCCGTGGGGAGGATCTGCGCGGACATAGGACCTGGGGCAGTGACCTTAACAGCCCCTCCGCTGCCCAGGGGAGGCTTGGGATGGTCACGGGATTGGGATAGTGGCGTGACAGTCTCCAGGCGGCCCAGGGCGGACACCGCCCGGGGCAGTGGCCAGTCCGCCCCTCCGGGGCCCGGGAGAGGCTCAGCCGCGCGTGGGTCCGCCCTTCCCCCGGCGCCTCCAGCGACCCGCCCGCAGCGCATCTGGGGCCCGGCTCGGGCGATCGGCCAGCCCTACCTCTTCGGTGGCCGTGGGACAGTAGGAGATGAGCACGAGCGTGGTGACCACGTTGACGGCGAGCCCCAGCAGGGTGATGGAGTTGGGGGCCATCCAGAGCGGGATCCACTGGAGCAGCCAGGTCCAGTAGAGCTGCAGCGGCGGCTCGAGCAGCGAGACGCCCGCCGCGCTGTAGCGGTGCTCCTCCAGTCGCCGCAGCTGCGCCGCGCTCAGCGGCTCGCTCAGCGCCCTCAGCCAGCGCGGCGCGGACCCGGCCCCGGCGCCTGCCGCCATGGCCGCCTGAGGGCCCCGCCGCCGCCACCGAGCGCAGCCCGCGCCTGGCGCTGGGGGCAGGGAGAGGTGGAGGGAGAGGCTGGCGGCCGGGTCCTGCGACTGCCGGGCTGGACTCACCGGTCGGGCCCGCACGGCGGAGGTCGAGGTCAGGCCGGCCTGCCCGGCTGCCGGGGCCCCAGCCCCAGAAGCTGTGGGGCCGCGGCTGCGGCTCGCGGGTGGGGCGGGGCCTCGGGGAGGGGTCCGGCTGGGGGCGGGGCGGAGGGGGTCCTGCTAGGGGCGGGGAGGCGGGTGCCGCGCTCGCGGGTCACCCTCGGCGCCCGCCAACGGCAACTTGTTATCGGCGATCAAGGTCCTTGACTCCCCAGGGGCCGGCTGCACTGCGCCTGAGGTCTGATGTCTTAACCCACGGCGTCGGATTACGCCCTGAGGTCGTCTCCTCGCGGGCTGCACCACGACCGAGCCGGTTCCTCTCCTAGGGGTCGGAACACGACTCCGGTCGCCCAGTGTTAGCCACTGCAGGACCACGCTGCCCGCAGAGCCTGGGGGTTTTCGTGTGAGAACACAGTTTTGCAGGGCTCGGGTCACGGGGGTGACGGCCCCATCTGTCCTGCTTGGTAAAACACACAAGCACAATTCTCCCTTTCTGTACGGAGGAAGGCGGCCCTGCCATGTATTCGCTCTAGAGACCCATCACTGCGGATTCAGAGACCAAGGTTTTGAAACTGAAAATCAGGGCTTAGAAACACTAACAAGGAGACCGAATGGCTGAAACCCCGATACCTATTTTCTTCAGCGCATTTGATACCAACAAGGGTGAATATTTTTACACATACTCTTCCCTGGAATAAAGGGCAGGAGTGTCCTCCCCCTGCAAGGGGGAACAGGCTGGCTTGCCACACGCATTGGTAGGTCACCGGCCCCTTATCTCACAGTGCACTCACTTGGACAGGGGACATCTGTCATAAACACGTTCTGTTGCACAACCTGAGACAGGCCTGTCACTTGCTTTGCTCTTCACTTCATGGCTCTGATCTGCACGCACTTTCTAAGGCCTAGGACAAGCCAGAAATTGCTTCCAAGACACTTGTGTGGCGCAACCTCTATCGGCAAGTGCAGTTTGCCTCACGGGCTTCGTCAAACACTTGGCACAGGGGTCCACGAACTGCTGCCTGTGTGCCAGACCCAGCCCACCACCTGTTTTCCTACAGCCCTCCAGCTAAGTATGGTTTTGACATTTTTAAATGATTGGAAAAAATCAAAAGAATACAATTTTGTGTTGTGAAATTATATGAAATTCAAAGTTCAGTGCCACGAATAAAGCCATGTTTATTCCTTACCTATTGTTTGGCTGCCTTCATGCTACAAGGGCAGCAGAATTCAGTTGTGACAGACCGTATGGCTGGCAAAGCCTGGACTATGTCCTACTAGGCCCTTTAAGGAAAAAACTGGCAACCACTGCCTTAGAGCAATGAGGGTCTCTACAGACCAAGCGTATATGTCTTAGGAATATGGATCTCCTCATCTTTAGTGTGAAAAACGATGCTGACAAATGCAGGAAAGGAAATGGAATGATGGAGATCCACTTTTAACAATGCTGGTTTATGTGCAGTGAACTTGACAGTAACTACTTTTTAATTTACCGATGCCATGAACAGTCCAAGGAAAAAATCCTTTTCTAGATTAGCCGATTTCACTGTATTAAAGATAATTTTTAATGTACATCAAAAGACGTCATCAAGAGAATGAAAAGACAAGCCATAAACTGGGAAAAGGTATTTCCCTCAAAACCCACAATGAGTAGAACCCAGATTATGTAAAGAACTCCTAAAAATCAATCAGAATAAAAAATAATCAACTGGGCTATGTTCTGTTTCTATAGGAGAAGCCCTGGAACATGGTAATGTTCCAGGGTGCACTTATGAACATGAGTGAATTGCACAAGCATATGTTGACTGAAAAAAAAAAAGAAGCAGGTGTATTAGTCAGCTTGGATTGTCATAACAAAATACCACAGACTGAATAGCTTAGACAACAGGAATTTATTTCTCTCTCACATAAAAGAAGTACAGAATTGGCACTCCAAGACTGGTACGATGTTTCCATGGTCATCAGGAACTCAGGCTTTTCTGTCTCTCTGCTCCAATATCCTCTCTGACTTGTATCTATAAGGCCATCTCATGATTCAGAATGGCTGGTGAAGCTCCAGTCATCTTATTTGTGTTTCAAGCAGCAGGAAGGAGTAAGAGGACAGGAAAAACAAAAAGTAGATATCACTGGCTGGTGAGCAAACTGGGGTGCCTCTCCAAAACTCCCAAACAACACTTCTCCATACAGTAGTCTCCCTTTGTCCCTGGTTTTACTTTTCTGCAGTTTTAGATACCCACAGTCAACCACAGTCCAAAAATATTAAATAGAAAATTCCAGAAATAAAGTGTGAGTTTTAAATTGCATGCCATTCTGAGTAGCGTGATGAAATCTCACCCAGTCCCACTCTTCTCCACTCAGGACTTACATCATCTCTTTGTCCAGTGTATCCCTGCTATATAAGCCACCTGTCCTTTATTCATTTATTAGCCATCTTGGTTATTAGAAACAACATAGTACATATAGGGTTCGGCATTATCCATAGTTTCAGGCAACAGTTGTGGGTCTTGGAATATGTCTCTGGAGATAAGGGGACTGTTGTATTATGTATCTCATTGGCCAGAACTTAATTATGTGGCGTACCCAAGTGGAAGTGTTTGCTAGGAAGAGTAGATGGTTACAACCACTTGAAAAACAACCTGGCATGATCTGGTGAAGTTGAAGATGTGTGTACTCTGACACCACAATTCTGATCCAGAAACAGATCCTAAAGAAATTCTTGCACATGTATCCTAGGAGATAAGTATAAGAATACTCATGACACCTTTGTCTGTACAATAACTAAAAGCTGTAAATAACTTATATGTCCACTAATATTGAATGGGTAAATAAACTGGTATTTTCAAGTAATTTAATATTATATAGCAAGTTTAATATGGCAGTAAAAAATTAATGAACTATAGGTACACTTATGAACATGAATGAATTGCACAAGCATATGTTGAGTGAAAAAAAAAAGCAGATGTATTAGTCAGCTTGGATTGTCATAATAAAATACCGTAGACTGAATAGTTTAAACAACAGGAATTTATTTCTCACAGTTCTGGAGGCTGGGAAGTCCAAAGTCAAAGTGTGTTTCTTAGTGAGAACTCTCTTCCTGGCTTGCAGATGGCCACCTTCTATGTCTTCACATGACAGACAGAGAGAGAAAGAGAGGAAGCTCTCTGGTGTCTCCTTATAAAGTCCTTATAAAGGCACTAATCCCATCATGAAGGCCCCACCCTCATGATATCCAATATCCTAAAGGCTCCATCTCCAAATACCATCACATTGTGGAGGATTACGGCTTCAACATATGAATTGGGGGTGGAGCAGGGGCAGGATACCATTCTGTCCATAACAGCAGGCCATAGGCAAAATACACACAGTATTATTTTACTTATATAAACTTCAAAAACATGTGACTGCACTTTGCAGCTCCCATGTGGCAAAGCTATGAAGAAAAGGAAAAGAATTATAAGTACAATCCTGATAGTGGTTACTCCTGATAGAAAGGAAGGTAAATGCAATTATAGAGGGGCACATGGCAAGTTTCAAAGGTATTGGTAATTTTTTAGACTACAGCTGGGCAAACTACAGCAACCTAAATGGAATAGAGGTTTATTTTTCCCACATTGATGTCTGGGTAGGCATGGTAGGGCTACATGGCAGCTCGATGGTGTCAGAGACACAGACTTCTTCCATTTTATTAGTCTGCCGCCTTTCAGATGTTGCCCTTGTCCTTGTGATCAAAAATGGCTGGCCATGACTCCCAACCAATAGGAAGGGGAAAAAGAGAAGGGGCTGCTATGCTCCTTTCTTCTGAAGGCCATGATCAAAGGTTGCACACATCACTTCTGCTCTCATCCCATTGGCCAGAGCCTGGCCACATGGCTGCTATGCCTAACTGTAAAAGAGCCTGCAAATGCAATCTTTAGCCAGACAGCCACCTGCCCAGCTAAAATTTCTTTTACTTGTTTATTTATTTATTTATTTATTTAGAGACAGATTCTTGCTCTGTCACCCAGGCTGGAGTGCAGTGGCGCAATCTGAACTCACTGCAACCTCTTCCCAGGTTCAAGTGATTCACCTGCCTCAGCATCCTGAGTAGCTGAGACTATAGGCATGTGCCACCACACCCAGCTAATTTTTGTATTTTTAGTAGAGATGGGGTTTCGCCATGTTGGCCAGGCTGGTCTCAAATGCCTGACCCCAAATGATCCTCCCGCTTTGACCTCCTAAAATGCTGGGACTACAGGTGTGAGCCACCACAATCGGCCAAAACATTTCTATTATTATTGAAAAGTGAGAGAGTGGGTATTGTGGGGGGCCATCAAGCTGTCTCAATCACAGTTTTTTAACTGAGTAGTAGTAACATGTTCATTTTACTATTATTTATGCAATCTATGTAACTATATATCTACATAGATATAGATGGCATATTTGTATATTTTGCAAATATGAAATGTCATAATTTAAAAATAGTGAAAGTAGGCTGGGCGCGGTGGCTCACGCCTGTAATCCCAGCACCTTGGGAGGCCAAGGCGGGTGGATCACGAGGTCAGGAGATCGAGACCATCCTGGCTAACACGGTGAAGCCCTGTCTCTACTAAAAATACAAAAAATTAGCCGCGCGTGGTGGTGGGCACCTGTAGTCCCAGCTACTCGGGAGGCTGAGGCAGGAGAATGGAGTGAACCTGGGAGGCGGAGGTGGCAGTGAGCTGAGATCGCGCCACTGCACTCTAGCCTGGGCGACAGAGCAAGACTCCGTCTCAAAAAAAAAAAAAAAAAGTGAAGGTAATAAATATAGAAACCATTTTTAAACTACTCATCATGCTCTAAATTGATTTTCCCATGTGCTTCTTTGCTGAATTTTTGGAAATTTCAAATTAATTCAAGACATACTAAAGCCATGTTTATTTCTTCTACCTTACCCCACTCTAACATACTCTAATGTCAAAAAAGTATATTAGAGATTTCCTATTATTTTATTTCTTGAATCATGGCTCCCCTCCATTTTCATGGTTTGTTACATAGTGATTGATATATACAATGTTTCCCCCTTATCTTAACATAGTAGCTCACATTTATGAGTTTCTATCCTATGCCAAGCACTGTTCTAAACATCAGGAGTTATTTCACTTACTCCTCACAAACACTCTATGAAGTAGACCATTGTTATCCCCATTTTATGGATAAGGAAATTGAAGCACAGTGAGGTTCAAAAACTTACCCATGGCTGCACAGCTAGTATAGTGGTAAAGCCAGGATTCAAGCCCGTGTAGTCTGATTTCAGAGCTTATGTTCCCAACGACTGCAAAATGCCACCTAATAACTTACATGTATTAAATATAGGACTTTAGTGGGTACTTTTGTCAATATGGAACAGTCCAGTTTCTATATATCATGTTGGTTTTGTGCCATTCCAGTCCATTCTAAATATTATGAAAAAAATTATTGTACTAAATTTACTAAAACTAATAAAATATTCCCTTGTTCAGAAGCCTTTGATAAAGTCCAACTTCCCTCACTTGGCATTTGAGGGCCCGGTCTACCTTCCTAGTCTTACCTCCCTAATATCTCTTCCCCAATTCTCCTCCCTAAGTCTCATGCTCCAGCTGTGTGGGCCCATTGGCTGTCCCCAAACCCACTCTCATTTGTTCCCTGTTGGGGAGTACCCTCGATCCCTTATTATTCCTAGCACACTGCCCATCACTCAGATTCCACACTTAAATTCTGCCTTCTCTAAAATGACCTCTCAGATTCTTCCAGTTTGATCCCTCTTACTCCCACACAACCAGAGCACTTTGTACCTTGTAATGCAGACTATCTTTGTTCAGTTATTTGTGTATTGATCAGCCTCCTTGCCCAGGTCATAGAGTGTCAGACCAAGCCTGCACTGAGTGTGCTCCTCAATGCCTGGCATCCAGTAGACATCCATCATTTAAAAAATATGTATTTTAAAATGATTACAGACACACAGGAAGTTGCAAAAATAGTACAAAGAATCCCTTGTATGCCCTTCACACAGCCTCCTCCTATGGTAACATCTTACATTTCCATAGCACAATAGGGATGCATAAATGTTTATCTGATGGTTTAACTAAATTGTATTCCTTTCCCAAAGGAGAAAGAACATCTTGATTTAGGCTCTCAGTTTTACTACTAGTTCTTTTGTGTAACTTTCACTCATATTTCAAATCTTCCTTAACATCCTCAATCTCTAGGCCAACCTTCCACAAAATATTAAATCATGTCATATAGGCAGATTAGGCACTGTTGTGTGTGAAATAACCAGTTGGAAGCCCATGGACTTTCATTGGTTTGGAAGAAAGAGTGGGTTGCAATAAGAAATCACCTGGCTAGAGGCCGGGTGCAGTGGCTCACACCTGTAATCCCAGCACTTTCGGAGGCTGAGGCAGGCAGATCACTTGAGGCCAGGAGTTTGAGACTAGCCTGGCCAAAACGGTGAAGCCCAGTCGCTACTAAAAATACAAAAATTAGCCATGCATGGTGGCATGCACCTGCAATCCCAGCTACTCAGGAGGCTGAGGCAGGAGAATTGCTTGAACCCAGGAGGCGGAAGATACAGTGAGCCCAGATCATGCCACTGCACTCCAGCATGGGCAACAGAGTGAGACCCTGTCTAAAATAAATAAATAAATAAGTAAATAAATCACCTGGCTAGGCTTGCATTGCAGTAGAGTTTTATCATCAGGGTGTCAAGCTATCTGTGTGAGAATTCTGAGCTTTAGCTACACAGGCTGGGGTATTTGTGATAAGCATAGTTTTATGGTATAATACTTGCTTTACTTGCTTGGGTTTTATACTTTTATAGTTTCGTACTTTGAGACTCTAAAGTCTAAATTTTATGGAACTATGGTACTTTACAAAATACATGGGTAGGTAGTCAGTGTTCAGTAATAGATTGACTAAAACCTTTGCTCTCCTCTCTAAAAATGCTTAATTTCCTGGACAAGATCAGAAAACAAAATTTCGCAATACAGTCCCTAAGATGTTATAATTGTGCCCTTTATCTGAAATTGCAAAAGCAATTTAGGGTTAAGAGAACTGATTTCCTTCAGAGACACGGTTCTTAGCATTGGGTCTTGTTTATACCCTTTAATCATTTTTTATTTATAATCTTTTTCTGAGTTTATCTTCTACTGCTCTAAAATGCTTTCTATGGTATTGTTTGAGAAGCATTAGAGGGAACATCCTTTCTCAAAAATTCCTTTTTCAGGAACCCAGACATCCCACATTGAGTTAGTCTTTGAGTTAGGGCTTTTAGGAGTAACAGGTTAAGTTATATTTAGACATTAGGCTAGGTCATTATCAGCAATATCTGGGAGGGGATACATTTATCAGGATGTTTTTCCTCTGGGACAGCTAAGAGAGAATGCCTCCAAATAATAGCTAAGCAAGGAACAAGACAGAGAGAGTCTGGAGCATGGCCTCTCCAACATGAATGAGCACACAAATCACTGGGGATCCTGTTAAAATGCAGATTCCGAACTTAAGGATCTGGGGCAGGGCTAGAAAGTTTTCATTTCTTTTTTTTTTTAGATGGAGTCTCACTCTTGCTGCTCAAGCTGGAGTGCAATGGCACGATCTTGGCTCACTGCAAACTCCGCCTCCCGGGTTCAAGTGATTCTTCTGCCTCAGCCTCCCGAGTAGCTGGGATTACAGGCACGCGCCACCACGCCTGGCTAATTTTTGTAATTTTAGTAGAGACGGGTTTTCGCCATGTTGGCCAGGCTGGTCTCCAACTTCTGACCTCAGGTGATCCACCTGCCTCGGCCTCCCAAAGTGCTGGGATTACAGGCGTGAGCCACCGCGCCCGGCAGAGAGTTTTCATTTCTCAGAAGCTCCCAGGTGGTCAGCTGAGTAAGCTGAGTCCCAGGTGGTCAGCTGAGTAAGGAGGGACTTGCACACAGTCTTAGGAGGCTTGGGTGGAGGAACCACTCTGAGCTCTCTGGCTCTCAGGCCTTCAACTACACCTCCAGCCTTCCTAGGTTTTGTGGGCAGCAAATCATGGGATGTCTCAGCTTCCATAATTCCATGATGAATACCTTATAATTAATCTCTTTCTAGATTTTTTGTTCTTTTTCTTTCCTCTTTTCCCTTTCCATTCCCTCCCCTTTCCTTCCTTCCGTCTCTCTTCTTTGCTTCCTCTCCTACTCGCTGTTCCTCTGAAGAACCCTAATATAACAGTCAAGTTACAGCCTTGAAGACTGAAAGACCCCAGGTCCACGCTTGTCAGGGATGTTTCAGAGTCACCTGTCCTTGAGTGAACCATACTGGGTTTGACCATTAAACTAAAAGAACTGCTTTTGCTTGTTCTATGGGTGACTTTTTTATAAAGTGTAATACAATGACAGGCATCTCTGCAGTCACCAGTGTAGATTGAAGACCAGAGGCCTTTCCTTCTCTCCATTTTCTGGGCACCAAGAAAGATTCCTGTTGACTCTGGAATCTGAATCCCCAAACAGAACAGAGAATTTCTCAATCTCCCTAGCTAGTGGAGAGCTCAGAGTTACATTTAATCTGATTTAGAAAAGTGAAGTAATATGGTAAGTCCTGTTCTCCATCCTAGCATGATACACACATTGACAATAACGAATACATAAACCACACTATCCAGCTTCTGCATTGTTATAGTGCTCTCTTATACCTGCATCCTGCCTTGTTTATATGTTCCCTCTGTATACTAGTCTTATACATTATAAATTACTTGAAGGCACGAAGTACCTCTTTTTTTTTCTTTTTCTTTTTTTTTTTTTTTGAGATACGGTCTGGCTCTGTTGTCCAGGCTGGGAGTGCAGTGGTGCGATCTCAGCTCATTGCAATCTCCACCTCCTGGGTTTAAGCTATTCTCATATATCAGCCTTCTGAGTAGCTGGGACTACAGGTGCGTGCTACCACACCTGGATAATTTTTTGTAGAGATGGGGTTTTGTTATCTTGCCCAGGCTAGCCTTGAACTCCTGCACTCAAGTGATCTGCCTGCCTTGGTCTCCCAAAGTGCCGGGATTACAGACGTCAGCCACCACACCCAGCCTCAAGTACCTTTATTTATCAAGTTGCAAGCTAAATCCATTACAGTGCCATGCAGATATCAGACATTCAATAACTCATTTGTTGAGCTGAATAGTGCTTCAGAATTATTCTAAAAATGAATGGTTAAGGGCATATTACCTTGTTCCAATGTCTCTTAGAATTAATTTTTTTCTACTTTGATATTAATTTAGATGAGAACATTCATTAAGCCTTCTTTTAAGGTAAATAAAGAAACGTGAACCTTAAAAAAAATTTTTTTTTGAGACAGGGTCTCACTTTGTTGCCCAGGCTGGAGTACAGTGGTGCAATCTTTGCTCACTGCAACCTCCACCTCCCGGGTTCAAGCTATTCTTGTGCCTCAGCTTCCCAAGTAGCTGAGACTACAGTTGTGTGCCACCACGCCCAACTAATTTTTATATTTTTAGTAGAGACAAGGCTTCACCATGCTGCATAGCTGCTCTCGAACTCCCGGCCTCAAGTGATCTGCCCGCCTCGGCCTCTAAAAGTGCTGGGATTACAGGCATGAGCCACCGTGCCCAGCCTAAAATTTTTAATGAATGTTTAGTTCCCCAAAAGAATTTTTGGTAAATTCCTGTGATACGTAATTTTTTAATAGAGTGAAATTTAAACAAAATTATAGAAAAACCAATAGTAATGATAGCTTCTGATATTTTTTGCTCTTTGCAGTTTCACAATAGACTTTTTCTTCCTTATTAGAACTTTGCAGTGTATGTGTACCCTTAATATAAGGAAAGATTATATGTAGAAAAGTAACATTATCTAGTACAAAATATAATTAAAGAGCCTAAGTCATAAGTGGGGAACCAAAATTCAGCAGGGAGGTTTTACAGTCTCTTTTAGGCTATGTAAAACCATACACGTATAAGCAGCCTAACTAGCTTGGCCAATGTCTTGGCCAAAGTG
Organism: Homo sapiens; assembly: GCF_000001405.40. NCBI lineage: Eukaryota > Metazoa > Chordata > Mammalia > Primates > Hominidae > Homo > Homo sapiens. The sequence continues at coordinate 101,687,755 of NC_000012.12, read as the reverse complement.
CTCAGAGTATTTGAGTTAAGCAGCCAGCTCGGCTGCTGCACTATGGCTAAGACCCAGCAGCTGGGCTGCAGGGACCACGTTGACTGGGTTTGCCACATTGTCATTTCTTTGGTTTGTACATAGACATAAGGTTTTCATGTCTTTATAGATGAGCCAGACTTCCTTTATGTTAAAATACCTTAACCAATACTGTGCACGTAGCTTTCTTGATTAAAATTGGAGTTTACCACGTATGTTTATTGCGGCACTACTCACAATAGCAAAGACTTGGAACGCCCAACAATGATAGACTGGATTAAGAAAATGTGGCACATATACACCATGGAATACTATGCAGCCATAAAAAATGATGAGTTCATGTCATTTGTAGGGACATGGATGAAGCTGGAAACCATCATTCTCAGCAAACTATTGCAAGGACAAAAAAACAAACACCGCATGTTCTCACTCATAGGTGGGAGCTGAACAATGAGAACACTTGGACACAGGAAGGGGAACATCACACACCAGGGCCTGTTGTGGGGTGGGGGGAGCGGGGAGGGATAGCATTAGGCGATATACCTAATGTAAATGATGAGTTAATGGGTGCAGCACACCAACATGGCACATGTATACGTATGCAACAAACCTGCACGTTGCGCACATGTACCCTAGAACTTAGAGTATAATAAAAATATATATATATATAAAAACAATGGGTTATAGCAATAAAAATAAAATAAAATAAAATTGGTGTTTACACAGGGATTGCACACAATATTATTCTGGAGTTTTTGGGAGCATAGGAGCAGGGGTGATAGCCAATGTTCTTAACAACCAGTAAGGCAACATCACCAACCAATTTCAACAGAGATATATAGAGCCAACATAGTTTGGACATAAACTAGACTTTCTTTTGTTCTCAAATGTACTGCAACGACCTGAATCATTCACCCTTCCCTTTACGAGCCCAACATCAACCCAGATCCATGACCACCATAGAACTTCCCAGCTAAAATCTGGAAAGAAAAAAGAGCAGATATGTTTAAAATGTCATCCAAAGAAGCCATGGGCCCACCAACAAGTCACAATATATTTAGCTCCTGCAACAAAAGACCAAAAAGAAAAACAGAGGGGAGGCGAGGGAATAAACAGTAATGCTGTGGTACCTTACAGTTCGATTCTACTCCCTTAACTGAAACTTTATATCAGGAAGAGTAAAGGAAGTTGCTGAAAATATTATGGGTTAGTATAAATGTTTCTCAGCTGCTAGATTTTTTAATAAAGGTTTCCATCAAATTGAATGGATACCATCAGCAAACCCTAACTCTGTAATAGGTCTGTTGTCTGTAACAGCCCTCTGTCACTATGACTAGCTGTTTTGGCAGAAGCTCTGGCAGATTTGGCCAAGATGCCTTGCTAGAGACACAGGGAGGGCAGACCTGGGTTCAGGGGCATGCTGGCTCCCAGCCTTTAGCCTCAGTTTTGTGTCTCGGCATACAACCCTAAATGCATGAATGCATATTGTATCATTTCATCACAAACACTTCAGATTTGTTGTACCATCCCTTCTACTGAGAAAATTTGTTTGAAAGTTAGACTTTTAAAAATGTTTTATTGCATTCAAATAAGAAGAAAAAGGCACAGATCCTGGTGTGAAGCAGGCCTGTATGACATCAACAACTCCGCTTTGGTTAGAAAAATCTACTAGATCAAGAGAAAGATGGGTTTTCAAGATCCAGTCGTGGTGCATTGTGTTATGTTTTTTACTCTGAGAGGAAAAAAAAAGCATTTATAGCCTACTATGTAAACAAAAATAACTGCTTTTGCTTATTCTATGACTTGCATTTTTGTAAAGTATAATACAGTGAGCAGAGATAATAATGACCAAAGTGCTGACTTCAAATGAGATTTTGTTTGCAATTTTTAATTAAGCAATCTGGGCAAACTTTTTTTTTTTTTTTTCTCTTCAACATTAGGAGGAAAGAAAAAGACCACACTTGGGGGCCTGGTGGGAAAACAGAAAATGCTTTTTCTCATTTCAACCAGATTTCAAAGCAGCAGAGTGCAGAGAGACAGTAGCCAGGCCCTCCCTCAGTATTCCTCAGGATTGCTTGAGTGTAAGTCTCGCAGATACGAATCAATTATGTTTGGAGGTACGCCTTGCAAGAGGAGTCTGCAGAAGGAGAGCCCACCTAGAGAGGACCAAAAGGAAAACAGACAAATCAAAACCATCTACCTGAAAAATCGCTGAAACAATACTTCTTGACTAGCTGCCTGGAAATGTGACTAATCATGTTCCCATTAGTTACAAAGATTCATTCAGTCTCTACTTGGAAAATCTTCTCCTGGATTTAGTACATTTAGAATTTAAAGCACTTGGCATCTAGAAGGAAAAGCAAGTTCCCAGTAGAACCACAGCAGTTTTTCCCCTACTATTGTTCAATCTTCATTTAAATTCCCAAGTGGTTGGAAAGTATTTATTGCTCTTTGAGAGGTTTTGTGATTCCTCATAGATGATTTAAATGTTCTGACTGAACAGCAGAATAAATGCATACCACATTATGGATCAGTGGGAAGATCTGCTTCCAGTTTGTTAATGTTCTTTTTAATTAGGCACAGAGAGTTTCGATTCAAGCACATTAGAAAAGATAAAAACTACTCCCTTTAACTTTGGTCATTTATGCATGTCAAAAGCACAAAAATTGGAAATATTTTGTTAAAATTATAATAATAAGACCGGTCCAATACTTTCTGAAGGTGCGAGAAACACCTACCAATATTTCATACCTACCTTCTGAGTTTCTGAATTATATTAAAAAAATAAAAGTACCCTTCAAGAGAGAATCCATGAAACCACAAAAATTCATGGTCCTTTAGTGAAGTGCTTTACTACTTGCTAATAAATTCACGTCCAGACAAAGCAGCATGCCATTTGAACATTCTTAAAAACTTCTTTAATGCAAATTTGAGAAAGTCATTCTCCTTTTTTTAAAAAAACAACTCAAGTCACATATTGGTAGAAATGATGCCACTTATGTACATGTCCATTCCTTGATGCAAATAATTCAGAATGCTTGGGTATCACCCATTTTTGTCTACATTAAATGCTTTCATTCATGCTCTACTGCATTCAACAACTTGCTTCATGTCAGTAGGAGACTGCTGTGATGGATAAGTACTAGCTGTTAATTTCAAGATAGTGAAATACAAATTAAAACTACAAAGTTAGGGATTTAAAATAAGTCTATTTTCATTGGATTATGTAATGAAAATCATGCCATACTCCACAGGCTTGGTATGGCTTATGACAGTCATAAGCTTCATATGCCAAAACCATATGAAAGCTTACCTTAGATGATATTATACATTCAAAAATCCTTATTGTGCAATGACTAAGGAAAAGAGAAAGAGGGAGAGAGAGAGAAGTCGTAAGCATTAATAAAGTGCTAACACCAAACTTGAGTACTTGTTGGATGAAATTATGGTCATGATTATGAAGAGGTGATTTCATTAATCCTTAGTCATGTAAAAGATGTAGGAAAATAGAAGCACATGAAATGAAGGGTGGGGATCCAGTCACGTCAAAAGGATCATTAATATGTAAAACATTTATTAATATGCACAACTACTTTGCCTGAATAGGTGGCAAAGTCATTCTGATTGTATAGTGAATATCTATGGTAAGAGCTTCCAAACCATTAGCTTAAAACAAATACAAAAACCAAAACCCTACAACATATATATATCGTGTTTTTCAACAAAAGAAAAACATAGACAATAGACAAAGTGTTAGTGTACATATATATATGTTGAAATTCTAAAAGGCAAAATTATCAAGTACAAATATTAGACTAGTGTATTCTATAATATTGTATTCTGCATGGAATATATATGACTGATCTAAATAGACACAAAACCTTATGTTACAAAGCTATTCTATATACAATCTACAAAGCTTTCAAAAAAGAACCTTACTTTTTTCCTCTTTTGAAAGCTGTTATTATCTCTGGAAACTCACAAAACAAATATTGTAAACTCAGGCATAGATCTACATTATCAGGGTTTTTATCAGGTTGCATACCCAGCTGCAAAAAACTCTTAATTTGCAATTCCAAATGGGGGTGAATCACATATATATGATAGTACTCATTTATTGCTTGATACATTTTGTAATAGAGCCTGGAATTTTCTTTCCTTTTAAGTTCATAAACGTGAAATAATTTGAGTCCCCATGAAAATGTCCAAAATCTTCAACAGATAGATGGGTTACAGATATTCTACTTGTGAATTTGTAATGGGAATATTTTAAATATGTAAGTTTCCCAATTTATTTTTTTTATTTTTTATTTTTTTGAGACAAAGTCTCACTTTGTCACCTAAGCTGGAGATCTTGGCTCACTGAAGCCTCCTCGACCTTCCAGATTCAAGTGATCCTCCTGCCTCAGCTCTCCAAGTAGCTAGGACTATAGGCATGTGCCACCACACCTGGCTAAGTTTTGTACTTTTTGTAGAGATGGGAGTTTGCCATGTTGCCCAATCTGATCTTGGACTCCTGGGATCAAGCGATCCACCTACCTCAGCCTCCCAAAGTGCTGGGATTATAGGCGAGAACCATCACGCCCAGCCTCTAAATATTGGATCTATTTTTGTATCCTCTTTCCATAAAAAATGCTCAGAACATCAAAAAAAATGTTTGAAATGTTCAGTTCTCTGAATTGCATCATGAATGTAAGGAAACTATGCTGTCAACTATCTTTAAAAAAGTCTCTCTACATTTAAAAAATGAAAATATTAAAGAAATATTGATACCCAAGTTTTGATAGTCTTATTATATAAAACGAGATCATCTTCAAATGTAGCTTTCTGGCTTTATTCATGGAGACTTGTGGTATGGTATGTAGCTTTCTGACAAAACTTAGTTTCTACATTACTTAATATCCTTGAATAATTTGGCCTTCCTTGTTCATGGCATAAGCACTGTATGCCATGAGCTGCTAAGGGGTACAATTAAAAGCAAATGAGAAAGTCAAGCTTTACATGCAAGGTGCATTTTCATGTAAGAGGAATGGAACGGAAAGTAGAATATCCAGTGGGATATAAACTTTTTAAACCTGTTGCTGCCCCTCCAGGAAGACTGGTTGTCCAGGGGTATTTACTCCTTGATATATCACTGCAGAATCAGAATATTTGTACCAGTATTTATTTATTCTCAGTTGACATTCTTACCTTTTTTCACAACTCAACTTGATTCAAGTTACCTATTATCAGAGTAACAGTCTGATGATAAACAATTTCAGCTTTACTTTTAGGACCAAAAGCTTTTATCAATATATCACAATTGATACTTTATTACGAACTTATGTACTAGAATACATTATTCTTTTTATCAAATTTAATTACTGTACCATTTACTACATTTTCACTAAAAAGAATATATCATGTATATGTATAATACTATTCGCTTTTAAGGAGGGCCCCAAATATTGTTCCATTTGTTAAAGCATCATTTTATATCATTAACAACATTCAGCTAGTTTCAAAGCATAAATAAGTGGTACTTTTTTTTTTAGTTTTTGTTTTTTGGGGGGATATTGAAACAAAAGCATCAACAATACTTTGGAACTAATAAGGCTAGCAGTTTAGAAACCAGATGACTTGCAATTATGAACTTAATCATTTAAAGCCAATAAAGCAGCTAAAAATGTTTAAATTTGTAAGGGTTATCTCAATAGTAAGGCTTGAAATTTTCTAAGAATATTATATGCCTTATATTTGTGAGGAAAAAAAAATCAAATCTTTTTCCTTTCACTCAATTATGAATTGTGAAAGAAAGAATACAGCTTTAAAAAGTTGTAAGAGGAAAGCAGCTGGGTGCAGTGGCTCACGCCTATAATCCCAGCACTTTGAGAGGCCAAGGCAGATGGATTGCTTGAGGCCAGGAGTTTGAGACCAGCCTGGCCAACACGGCAAAAACCCGTCTTTACTGAAGATACAAAAATAAGCTGGGTGTGGTGCTGCATGCCTGTAATCCCAGCTACTCAAGAGGCTGAGGCACGAGAATTGCTTGAACCCAGGAGGCAGAGGTCGCAGTGAGCTGAGATCGCACCCTTCCACTCCAGCCTGGGTGACAGAGCAAGACCTTGTCTCAAAAAAAAAAAAAAAAAAAAAAAAAAAAAAAAAATATATATATATATATATATATATATATATATATATATGAAAGTTATTTTGTTCAAGAAGTTTCCCTCTCATATTTATACTAGATTTAGGACTAAAAGACTCTTTTTAAAAAACATAAATACCCAAGCATTTACTATGATTTTCTAAAATAGATATTTACTAGTTTTTGATTATAATTTCTTCATTATAGAGAGGTTGGAAAAAGAAAGATTTTGGTTATTACAGAATGGCAATATAATACAGTTAAGAATGAGAGAAAACACATTAGGATCATGTCACCTATTATCTCATAATGGTGACTCTTTGAAGGGGTTTTCATGGTGTCCCAAAGTAGGTTCTGCTTGTAAAGAAAAATATCAGCATAAAAATGGTAGTTGATTAATTTGAAAATTGATTAAGATGGCAGGTTATGCTTTTCAACCGCATAAATCCTTATGTGTTTTCTTGGTTTACATTAGTTGCTACACTTTGAAAACTAGTATAAATGAAATGTATACCTATAAATGGAAGTTCTCCAGTTAGAGATTTGAAAAGCAGCCTGTTATAATATGTATATGCTATATTCTATATGTGTAATATCAAACACTTAATTAGCAAAACTATTTCTATAAATATCAGAAAATAACAAACTTTACAAAATAGTAAACTAATTAAAAATAGTGCAGATTACTCAACTGTCATTTCAATAGATGGATTTTTACACTAGGCTTCTATTTATAGATGGGTTATGTCACCAAAGTGATAGCCCCTTTCATTCTTACCATGCTGTACACACACTAACATTCCACTGAAATTAACAGTCCCTTAGCACAAATCACATAAGATAAAAATAAGTTGACTTAAATAACAAGTAGCCTTCCACAAATAAAGTGAAGTGAATGCAGGATGTAAAAATGTCTTCTCTCCCTTAATTCCCTCCCTGCTTCCCTTGCCCTCACCACCCTCTCCCACCCTCGCTGCAGCATTTTGGCAAGCAATTTGGATTAAGAACAATAAGCATTAAGAACAATAATTCAATGATTTTCTTTAACTTTAGTCTATACGTGAGATATTGGATGTCATACCTTTCACCTCCAGTTTGCATTCAATCTCCACTGTCCCAAGGTCATTGACTGCTTTGCAGCAGTAAGTGCCTCCATCATAGGGGCTGGGCTTGCGAATTTCCAGGGTACAGACTCCCTGGTTGCTGAACATCCTGTATCTTGGATCATCCACAATAGCAACTTTGTTTTTCATCCAGGTTATTTTAGGCTGAAGTTCAAATTGAAGAAACTTAGGTCAAAACATATCTGTAATTGGCATATTAATAGACCATCAAAGCCAGTGACAGAATTTTAAAGCATGGCTTAAAAAGAAAGTGCATCTGAGAAGGATAGACTTTTACTTGACACTATTTCTCACATTAAACTCTACTTAGTGCTTGGCAAATAAGCAAACTAACAGTTCTAACAAAGAAAGCCAGATGTGTTCAGAGGTAACTCTAGGGCAATCTTCTCAAATGGATTCAGTTGCATTTCAATTTGATCTACATGGGTGCAAACTTTCAGTTACAGGATGAACAAGTTCTGGGCATCGAATGTACAGCATCGGTACTGATGAATGTATTAATTTGATTGTGATAATCATTACACAATGTGTACATATATCAAATCATCATATTGTTCAGCTTGAATGTATATGACCTTTATTTGCCAATTAAATACTTTCAAATTAAAAAACAATGTCATCCATAGGTCCATGTTGTTAACTCATTGTAGAGAGTGCATATTTGCTGAGCATTTTTTTCAGAGAAACCCCATAAAGTGTCACGATCATTTGATTTTCTTCACTTCCTTTTCCTGATACTGTTTTTTAATTCTTTATGAACTGCATCTGCCTCCTCATTACTTAATCTGTCCTCTGATGTCTATATTCATCATCCCATGGCAATGGATCTACTCCAATCAGATAATGCAAGATCAGTAATGACCCAATTGCCCAGGAAGATGACTTCATTCTCCTTGACTTCTGAACTGCATTTGATATCAGTGACTCCTCACTCTCATATTGTCTTCTCCTTTCTTTTGTAAATATGCACCCTCTGCATTCTCTCTTCCACCTCTTCTATTATTTTGTCTTGCTCAGAACCTAGAGATGGCACCTTTTCTGTCTCCTTCACACAGTCTTCTTCTTCCTTCCACCCGTCAAATGGGAGCGATCACTGAGCCTCACACCTTTCTAAAGCTTTGGCAAGGGGTAGAATGTAGCATCTTTATGTATGGGACTCCCAAACCAAGAGCAACAGCCCTGGCCTTTCTCCTAGGCTCCGGGTGAACCTCTCCATCTGCTTCCTCATCATTCCCATTTGGATGTACCAACATCATTTCCAAGTAAACATTAGTTCAGCACCTTTCTCTCATCCTTAGTCTGACTTCTTCCTTTGATTTTCCTTTTTTTTTTTTTTTTGAGACGGAGTCTTCTTCTGTTACCCAGACTAGAGTGCAGTGGTGCTATCTCAGCTCACTGCAACCTCCACCTCCCAGGTTCATGCAATTCTCCTGCCTCAGCCTCCCAAGTAGCTGGGATCACAGGCATGTGCCACCATGCCCAGCTAATTTTTCTATTTTTAGTAGAGACCATGTTGCCCAGGCTGGTCTCGAACTCCTGACCAAGTGATCCGCCTGCCTCAGCCTCCAAAGTGTTCGGATTACAGGCATGAGCCACTGCGCCCGGACGACTTCCCTATTTCTGATCAAGGTATATACAGGAAAAAAAGAAGTTCATAAATTTTCCCAATTCTAGGGTACTTTCTGTCTTGCACCCAGGGATATGTACATCTCTATGGGCGATATTCATTAATTCGTTGTTCTTTTCAAATGCAAACATGAAACCTTGAAACCTTTCTAATCTCTTCAACTGGATATGATAGCTCCCTTCTTAGCACACTGTACCCTTATCAAAGCACATTCATATTCTGTCTTACAGTGTAGTGTAATTGTTGTTTACTTTAACCTATCGCAGACAGTGTAGTGTGATTGTTGTTTACTTTAACCTATCACAGAATTCTTGACATTACCACCTAATTTTCCAAGTGAAACAATATTATTATACTTCCATCTCCTTACACAGGAGATGTTCTTTTTTAAATAGGTGGTTTGCTTTTTCTTTAGAAGGAATCCCTTAGCAAAGAAATGTAAGCATTTTTTACTACTACATCTGAATAGTGTGCCTAATAATCTACCACCACTACCACCTTCTAATCCCCCATCCTGGGAAGACACAAGTAGCAGCTGGATTTGTTTACATTGTTACTTACATTATAACACAACAAATACAAGACAGGGACTTTAACTGATGTGATAGAAGAACATGGTACCTTAGGATTTCCTCTCACACTGCAGTTTAGGGTGGCATTGTAACCAGCTATGGCATAGGTGTTAACCAAAGGCTGAGTAAACATGGGTGCCTCTGAGAAATCAAAGTCTTCATACACTGGATTTTTGTAGATTTTACCTTAAAAACAAGCATTACAAATATGTTAAAATTATGTAAATTGGCCTGAGAATATATTATTGGTGGCATACTTTACACATGATTAAAACTTCCCTGAACTTAGAAAAACATGGACAAAGATGAGCAAATGCCATGTGGCAAACATTCTGAGGGGTATAAACGTATAGCCAATCACACGTGGGATAGAAAGCCAGAGGGGTCATCTGAAACTGAACCAGATATTGAGAAGACTTTGGTGTCTTTCTGAGTATTTTGAATAGAAATTTGTTCTAATGTGAAAATACACAAGGAAGGTTTTAAGAAGAGTGGTTTATGATGAAAAGAAAAGATAAGGATAGAATTTAGTTTCTCCTTTTATCACAGAGTGGGTCCCATGTGTAGCTACAATAAAGGTGTCCAAGAATAAAAGTAGAAACTCTAGAAGAAAATGTCTACTTCTTCCAGCCTCTGGGGTATTAGCCATTTATAGATCCACTGCCTAGAACCTGGAATTAATTAAAGCCTATATTTGTAAAAAATGCAATAATAATACAATTTCACTTAAATTTTACCTGTAAAATTAAAATTTTACTTGAACACCATTATCATAATTTTACAATGTACATTTACCATTTTTTTGTTCCCTTTCACCACATCTCTTTTTCCAGTCTTCTCTGTCTGGTCACTGTCAACCAAGGTTTTCAAATGTCAGTCCATTCCCAACTCACCATCCCTGGCGATCACTGCACTCTCTTTAGTCATGGTGGCATCCTCACTGAGGCCACACATGTTTTCAGAAAAGACCCGGAAGTAATATTCATTCCCTATGACCAATTCAGTAATGGTGGCACTGGTTCGATGATAATGCTCAATGACAGTAAACCATTCCTAAAAGAAAAAAAAATAATAACTGGAGGAAAATCACCTAAAAGTATACAATTTTTCTAACTGTAGATTGGGATAAATAACAAGGATGCTTTATTAACAAAAAGAAAAAAAGACCACTCATTTTTATATGGAGAGTAATAATATATGTTGTTAAAATGTGTTGAAACAATGTATATTTTGTTTAATATTTCACAACTTATTTGCAATTGACTATGTAATTTAATCTTCATTTACACATTAGATTCATATACCCTAGTTGCCATCTACTATCTTTATATTTTTTCATAACCTTTAGGTGTCTGTCATCTATTTATCTACCTGTCTACCTACCTATTTGTCTTCCTAGCTATCTTTTGTAGAATAAAGTATAACTACAGAATTTTAGTGCCAACTTATTATGAGAAAGACCTGAAGCTAAATCACTAGAGAAACATTAGTAATATCCAGTACATTTATTTAACATTATTATTTTTTTTTTCTTTTTGAGACAGGATCTCACTCTGTCACCCAGGCTGGAGTGCAGTGATGCAATCTTGGCTTACTATAGTCTTGACCTCCCGGGCTCAATAGACCCTTTCACCTCAGCCTCCCGAGTAACTGGGACTACAGGCACGTGCTACCACACCCAGCTAATTTATTTTTTAGAGAGAGGAGGTCTCCCTATGTTGTCCAGGCTGGTCTCAAACTCCTGGGCTCAAGCAATCCTCCTGCCTCAGCCTTCCAAAGTGCTGGGACTACAGGTATGAGCCACTGCTCCCAGCTGATATTATTAACTTTGGTTCTGTTTTTTCTTTTTGAGATGGAGTCTTGTTCTGTCATCCTGGCTACAGTACAGTGGCACAATCTCAGCTCACTACAACCTCCACCTTCCGAGTTCAAGCAATTCTCCTGCCTCAGCCTCCCAAGTAGCTGGGATTTCAGGCGTGAGAAAATCTGGTGATCTTTAGCAAGTCATTTATCCTCTGCAAGCCTCAGTTTCCTCATCTATAAAATAAGTTTATAATAAGTCATACTCCAACTAGGTTGCTTTTTAAACACATTAAGCCAGGGGTTTTCAATCTTTTGGCTTCCCTGGAAAAAGAATTGTCTTGGGCCACACATAAAATAGACTAACGCTAACGATAGCTGATGAGCTGAAAAAAAATCATAAAAAAACTCATAACGTTTTAAGAAAGTTTACAAATATGTGTTGGGCTGCATTCAAAGCCATCCTGGGTTGCATGAGGCCTGTGGGCCACGGGTTGGACAAGTTTGCATTAAGCTCTTTTTCTCCAGACCTTTCCGCATTTGCACATGCTGTAACCTTGTAGAATCTTTCTGTTCTAACTGGTGTCTGTCTTTTTACTTTTTTGTAGACATAAGTGCACAGTATCCAACATTTATTTCACAAGGAGAAAGAGTTGCATGGGTGTAAATCTGAGTCAAAGTCTTGAGCAAATATTTGTTGAATGAATGAGTTTATTGAATTCTACTGAACATTGAACCAGTTGCTTTATATCATTTTAGCTTTGTAATAATCAAGCAAGGGATATTTGTGCCCCCATTACATAGATGAGGAAAATAGAGATCAAAGAGCTCAAGTGATTGTGGTCACGTGTGGTCCTTATACATGTGGTCTTAAGTAGCAATGCTGGGGTTTAAGACCAGCTCTGTGGCTCCACAGGTCTTTTCCTTTCTGCTCTGCCACATCACTTCTCCATAGCCCCAGTTGGCTCCTTACCAGTGAGGCCCTTGTGCCATCTCCTTTACCTCTGATGAAATGTGCCTTTTGCTACTGATGAACCAGAGAAAGCCAGACCTTACCATGCTCTTCTTGTCAGCCTTCTGAATGGTATAGCCTGTGATAGCAGCATTTCCATCATCCTTTGGTGGAGTCCATGTGAGAGCGACATTTTCTCCCCAGACATCCTCAATCTTCACAATTTGGGGTGGACCTGGACGGTCTACAGGATGAATTCATGGTGTCACTGCAAGGTCACTTTCTTTCCCAGTCTACATTTTGTTTCATGAGGATATTTTAAAAGACCCTTTCCTCTGTTACAGGAGGCATCACTCTTCTAGACCCTACCATGGGGGCTTCTGAGACCCTTTGCCTTCCAGTAGTATGGAGCCAGGCCAGATCAAAGGGCACAGAGCAGCCTCAACACTCCCTGCAACTTAACAAAACTCAAAACGGATTAGCCAGTGGGGAAAGAGTGCTTAGTTTAAAGGGAATGACCCTTTAAGGGAGGCTGTTACAGGAAGTTGCCCCTTTGGTTAGAGCAACTTTCAGCAAATTTACTGAAATACAATGATAACAATGATTGGAAACAACGTTTTTCTAGCTCTGCTCTTAAATTTCTTTCTTTCCTTTTTTTTTTTTTTTTTTTTTTGGAGACAGAGTCATGGTCTGTCACCCAGGCTGAGTGCAGTGGTGAAATCTTGGCTCACAGCAGTCTCCTCCTCCCAGGTTCAAGCGATTTTCATGCCTCAGCCTCCCAAGTAGCTGGGACCACAAGTGTGTGCCACAATGTCTGGCTAATTTTTGCATTTTTAGTACAGACAGGTTTTTACCATATTGTCCAGGCTTGTCTCAAACTCCTGGCCCCAAGTGATCTGCCCACCTCCCAAAGTGCTGGTATTACAGGTGTGAGCCACCACACCCGGCCTTAAATTTATTTCTTGACGTTGCAAAAATTACAGTATAATTTAAGTGAGAGGAGTCTATCCACAAGGGGTCCTTCCTCTATTCCCCTGACTCTGGACAGAAGTAAGAACTAACCTTATTTATTTTTTGGGCAGGTACGTATCTAACTACTCTGGCAGGATCAAAGAATTCAGTATTTAACTGTTCAATTTTGCTTAGGTACATCTTCCTTATATTAATATTAAAAAAAATTCTTCATTCTCCATGAAAACTTCATTAGCAAATTTTAGGTGTAGTAAGAAACATGTTAAACTATAGCTAGAATCTATACTGTCTAGAATGTAAGAATTCAACATAAGAAATAATTTTATCATCAGGGAGATGAGAAACTAAGAGAAAGAGACAGCTGGGTTATAGAATAGTGCAGAAGGATTTCACTAAAAAGCACATCCATTAATTTTCTTGAACATATATGCCTTAAATCTCCTGTGATTAGTCCTTTGAGTTGGTGAGAATTCATTTTGAAATGGTAACAAATCTTACTGTCCTTTTTTTGGAGACAGAGTCTCACTCTGTCACCCAGGCTAGAGTGCAGTGGCATGATCTCAGCTCACTGCAACTTCCACCTCCCAGGTTCAAGCGATTCTCCTGCCTCAGTTTCCTGAGTAGCTGGGATTACAGGTGCACGCCACCATGCCCAGCTACTTTTTGTATTTTTAGTAGAGACGGGGCTTCACAATGTTGGCCAGGCTGGTCTTGAACTCCTGACCCCAAGTGATCCGCCTACGTTGGCCTCCCAAAGTACTGGGATTACAGGTGTAAGCTACCACGCCCAGCCTAATTTATCTATTTTTAAAAAATAAATCTAAAAAAAGAGTTTTATGTAGAGCCAGCCTAACAAAACTCCTGCTCTTGCCTTAGGGACAAGGACAATTCATCCCTGTACTGCTTTGACAGAACTTTCTGGCTCCTTCATCTAAACCTACCAATGATCTGGATGTCAATTGATGCGGTCTCCACGAATTTGTCCACTTTGACTTGCAGATCATATTTCCCAGAGTGGCTCCTCTCTGCTTTTCTAATAAATATGATTGTATCAGTCTCAGAGTTGCGAATGTTTATTTGATTCTTATCAATTTCTGCACCATCCTTCTTCCAAGTTAATTCTGGTCTTGGTTTTCCCTAAAAAGAAAGACAGCAAAAGTAGAGAGGGTAAATCATATTGTCTCAAGATGTTTCTTCAGCATTATGAGAAGGACAGTGGCTTAACCCATTCTAGGCAGGGCTGGAAAATACCACCCTTCTAGTCTGGTGGTGAGCAATTACAGCAGCAAAGCTGTAATCTGTATTTTATGTGCAAGGCACTACCTTAGGTACATAACATTGATTATTTTCCTTAATCTTCACATCAAGCTTATCATTATCCTCATTTTTTGGATAGAGAAGTTAAATAATTTGTCCAAGGTCCTGCAGTTAGGTAAGCACTGGAACCAGGTCTCCCAGCTGGGTCTCCTAGTCTCCAAAAGCCTGCACAACACAGGATAATTGTTAAGAGCATGGGCTCTGGGGCCCTGGAATCTATGTCTAGCTCCTGACCACTTAACGTCTGTGTGACCCTGGGCAAGTTACTAAGCTTTCTGTGCCTCAACGGGAATAATGGTAGTACCTATCTCAAAGAGTGGTTATAAAGATTAAAGTGCTGAGAAAGCTTCTGCCCAATACATAAGTTTTTGTAGTTAATATCATCTAAATTTTTTTTTTTGACAGAGTTTGGCTCTTGTCGCCCAGGCTGGAGTGCAGTGGCACAATCTTGGCTCACTGCAACCTCCACCTCCTGGGTTCAAGGGATTCTCCTGCTCACCCTCCCAAGTACTTGGGTTTACAGGCACGCACCACCATGCTTGGCTAATTTTTTTAGTTGTTAGTAGAAACAGGGTTTCACCAAGTTGGCCAGGCTGGTCTTGAACTCCTGACCTCATGTGATTCACACGCCTCAGCCTTCCAAAGTGCTGGGATTATGGGTGTGAGCCACCGTGCCCGGCCAATATCATCTAAATGTTAATGATTACTATTCTACTGTCCTGTGCTGCTCATTTTAGACTTGTCTAGAATTCTCTCTCTGTTCCCTCTCGCTGTTGAAACTATTCTTTAAGAGCAGAATTTAAGAAATCATAATCCCATTCATGAACCTGAGTTTCCATTTCTATTACAAAGGAATTTCCTAGAATCCCCAAGCATCCAGGCGTACCCTGGCAGACAGGAACCAAGCATGAATTCTGTCAGGTAAGGCACAGCTTTCCTGTGGGCTCTGAACATGGCTAGGTTATAATAAGAGATGTAGAGCTACACACCAAACCCCTGCTTCAGAGCCTGAAGAGTGGTTGGGGATGCTCAGACTCACACATGGGAAGCAGAGAACGACGTTGTTGAAGATAGGGAAAAACAGTTCAAGCTTATTTCCTTAAATGTACAACTTGCTGTTAGCCACTAGGGAAAAATGTGGGTTCTCTAATAATATACAGAGTGGAAAAAACCACTGAATTAAGTGACCGGGCCATGGACTCTGTTCTTGGCCCTACCATTGACTTTCTGTGTGACATTGGGCAAGTCACTTAACTTCCCTTTCAGTTTCTTCCCTTCTCAAGCAAGGTAAGGAAATCTGGCCTTCCTGCCTCACAGGGTGTTTCTGAGGATCAAATGAGAAAATGTTTGCGAACTCTAGAGATTACACAAATATACAAACATCACACTTTGGTCTCATCTCCCTTCCTGGGGGCTGAACAGTCTCTGGGATGCCAGATCTATGCGGTCCCTGTTCTCATGATTTTTTCTCTCTCAGACTCAGTGACAGAAGCTGAACACGCAGACCCCCAGATCTGGGAACTGGGATTAGTTGTGGTGGCAGGAACGATGTGGAGGCTTGAGGGCTGACTCAGCAGCCCCAGTGCAGGGTTGGGGCTGGGTCCCCAATACCTGCCTTGTTGCCACTTCTGGTTTTATTTGATGCTGCAAGAGAAGGAAAGTGAGAAGAACCTTGCCAAGCCACCCACTTCCTCCTGGGCTGTGTTCTGCTTCACTTCCTCCTTGGCTTTCATTCTGATTTCATGCCGGGGGTATGTAGTACACAATGTCTCTCCTTAGGTTTGCACCCGGAGTGCAATGAGGATGGCCTGAATTGGCCATCCCTTTAGTTTGGTTTCATGGGAGCCTGGGTTTGAACAGAGTTCTCTCTGTGTGTGCATGTGTGCATGTGTGAGTGTGTGTGTGTGAGTGTGTGTGTGTGTGTGTGTGTGTGTGTATATGAGTGTCAAATGTGTGTAGAGACCTACATTCTAAGGCCAGGCTGGCTGATACGATAGCCACAAGGTACACGTGGCTATTTAAATTAAAATTAATTAAAATTGAAGAAAATTAAAAATTTATTTCTCCAGTCACACTAGTTCCTAGTTACACGTTTCAAGTGCTCAACAGCCACATGTGGCTAGTGGCTACCATATTGGACAGCATTGATATAGAACATTTCTAACATTGAAGAAAGTTCTATTGAACAGCACTGTCTGGAGGTGTCATATGAATAGGGAGTTGGAGAGTAAGGGTTGGGAGGTGCAGGGTGTGTGTGTGTATTTGTATAAGACCAAAATTGACTATTGTAAGTAAAGACTAGTGAATTTTGTGAAGAACAGATTCTTTTGCTGGAACAATGATTTAATATTGTTCATATATTTCAGTTAGTGTCATCGTTATTTCAAATTTCAGTTGTCCCCCTTATTGAAATTATTTTGGTTTGGGGTCATTGTGGGAACTAAGCACACACTGTTTTCCTGAATGTTACACTGAGAGCTTCACTTAAAATGATGGGTTTTACAAACGTATAGGACCAAAAGAGTCTTCAAGCATTTCTTCATTTGGTATCTCCTTGATGTTTCTTCCCTGCCCACCATAGTCGCTGAGCTTCAGGCAAGACTATATCTCATTTGTCTCATGCAGAAAGAAAATCTGTGATGGTTTCTATAGATTTCTCTATTTTGACAGCAGGAGATTGCTTAATCATTCTCCAATACTCTTTCATTCTTTATTTACCTCCTCTCCCTCTGAGGAAATCCTGAATCATGATGAACTTAAATGCTAGAGTACCTCTTCCCACTTCCTAAACTAATCCAGCCCTCTAAAGAGAAAAAGAGCGACCCTTGAACTCTTACCTGGAAAGGTATAACCAGATTGACAGCTTCTCCAACTCTGCGGATATAGGTTTGCTTCAGGTGTCTTGGAATGCGAATCTTTGGAGGTTCTGAGAGAGGGTAAAATAGCACAATTTTGCAATCAGTCTGGTGTCTGAAAATAGCCTTACAAAAGCAAAATGGCATGATGCTCACCAGCGTACCCTTGTGGCATATCTCTGCAATAAACTCTGAGATGTGCCACTAACAGACGATATATAGTAACTGGTTCAAAATGTGTGTGTGTGTGTGTGTGTGTGTGTGTGTGGTTTCCACACAGAGATGTTTTAACAGTTTGACTCAGCAAAATTTATCCCTGACATCCTTGGCTTTATTGCAACTTTGTATTTTTATTGTTGTAATAAGCCTAAAGCAACTTTATAGAAAAATACATTTTCTCTTAGGGCCTTATACATACTATGCATACTTTTCATAGTTTCTTTTTTTTTTTCTTTTTTTTTTTCAGAGAGTCTCTCTCTGTCGCCCAGGCTGGAGTGCAGTGGCATTGCTCACTGCAACCTCCGCCTCCTGGGTTCAAGCGATTCTCATGTCTCAGCCTCCCAAGTAGCTGAGACTACAGGCACATGCCACCACGCCTGGCTAATTTTTGTATTTTTAGTAGAGATGGGATTTTGCCATGTTGGCCAGGCTAGTCTCAAACTTGTGACCTCAGGTGATCCACCTGCCTTAGTCTCCCAAAGTGCTGGGATTACCGGCATGAGCCACCGCGTCTGGCCAGTTATTCATAGTTTCTAACAGTGAGTATATTTGCAAGGGAACATTCCACGAAAGATCTATAGGCACCACATTAGCTGGGAGGACTGTCCATTCTTCCTTACCAGAAAAAAACAAAATGTTAGCACCCAGCACTTGCTATTTAGGTGACTCTGTTGGAGTTCGACAGTAACTTTCTCCCTGTGTGACTGTGGTGAAGTACATAATAGGCAACCCTGGCCCACTGTGTATTAATATTCATTAATTAAACATCATGAAGATACTAGAGCATGTCACTGCAAATCCATCAGGAGCAGGGAGTCAAAGGCTCATAGGCTCACAGGGATGAAGCAGTTCTTCTTACTTATTTCCCCAAGTAAAAGTGGAGCTTCTGTGCAAAAAAGTCACCTATTCATCCTCCAACTCAGTTGTACGGTGCTTTTCCTGGGGACAACCATTGTACTGCAGTGTGCAGCCTAAGTACTTCAGACATACTTTGCATTTCATTGTCACACAAGTCTAGAAAAAAAACATACTCAAGAGCCAAGATTTGATGAAAGTTATTATTCTTATTCTTGTTTTGTTTTATTTGAGACAAGGTCTTGCTCTGTCACCCAGGCTGAAGTGCAGTGGCGTGATCTTGGCTCACTGCAGCCTCCGCCTCCTGGGTTCAAGTGATTCTCCCACCTCAGCCTCCTGAGTAGCTGGGACCACAGGCGTGTGCCACCACACCCAGCAAATTTTTGTATTTTTAGTAAAGACGTGGTTTTGCCATGTTCCCCAGGCTGGTCTCAAACTCCTGGGCTTAAGTGATCTGCCCGCCTCAGCCTCCCAAAATACTGGAATTACAGGCATGAGGCATTGTGCTCAGCCAAAATTAATTATTTTTATGCTTCATTAAGAACACTCTAAGGGCCAGGCGTGGTGGCTCACGCCTGTAATCCCAGCACTTTGGGAGGCTGAGGCAGGTGGATCACTTGAGGTCAGGAGTTCGAGACCAGCCTGACCAACATGGTGAAACCCTGTCTCTACTAAAAAATACCAAAAAAATTAGCCAGGCGTAGTGGTGCATGTCTATAATCCCAACTACTTGGGAGGCTGAGGCAGAAGAATTGCTTGAACCCGGGAGGCAGAGGTTGCAGTGGCCAAGATTGTGCCATTGCACTCCAGCCTGGGCAACAAGAGCAAAACTCCATCTCAAAAATAAAAAAAAGAGACTCTAAGGCAAAACTGGCCCTTTTATTTCATCTGTTGAGTGCATGGTGGTGAGGAAGGCAAGGCTGGCTAGTATGGCTCCGTGGCACTGACTTGATTTCATACTAAGGTATCAACAGTTTTACTCACCTTCATTTTTATACTATCAGTGAAGATGTCAAAACACTGAAAGGTACACATAATATTTTCATAATATTATGAAAATAGTTCTGACCCTGCAGATTCATTGGAGGCATATGGTTGTCGTAGGGATTGTTTGCATGGTTGTATGAACATACTCTCTCTCCACTGTAAATAGGCAGCCCAGCCAGAGTTGGCTCCTGGAACCAGGAGAGGTTAACTAACTGGTCCTCAGAGTACCAAGATAAACCTGAAGGTGATCTCCCACATTGCCTGAAGAGAGCTGCTTTATTAAGTTCTAACTCTTAGGAAGCATTAAAGCATTAACAAAATATCAAAGGAGTAACAACAAAATAGGAGGTTTTGAGAAAGAAAGTAGTTTGAAGAAAAAAAAAGTGAACCATGTAAAATGGAGTCTAACTTTTGAAAGCCTTGTCTCCTACCTATGATTTCCTTCACGAGAATGGGCTGAGAATAGTACTTGGGCTCGCTGGCACCAGCTGCATTAACAGCCTTCACACGCACAAAGATCTTTGCATCTGTTGGCAGACCTGTGATGGTGAACTTCGTCTTGTCAATCAGATCTTTGTTTGCAACTATCCAGTCCTCAGCTGAAGTCCGTAAAAGAAAAGGAAAAGAAGGAGGAATGCTGTTTAGTGAAAAAAATCATCTTAACCATTACAGTCAACTCCAAATTAGTATTTTACTCATAATAATACATCATTTAGAGACATTATGACTTTGGTCTGGACTCCGACTACATGGGTGGACATTTTTCATATATTAAATAAAAAACAGCCTAAAATAGCTAACATAAATAACAGGAAAAATAAACTATAAGATTCTGCTGTTTCTGAAAAATCTTTATTCAGCATGAAAGCATCCTGAATAATAGTAACTGTCCACAAGAATTCTGTAGCAGTTTTATTCCAATTTGGTTTTATAATGATTCATGCAATCATGATAGCTAGTCATCTATACACATTAAAGTTCAGAAAAACAGGAAAAGGCTATCTTTATGAATGAGACATTGACCTTTATAGTCATATATATGTTTTTATCTTGGCTGATTTACTATTGTAAGACACTAACATGGGTAGAGGGAACTTGATCATATTTATTCACATTGATGAAGAGAAAAAGCTTATTTCACAAAGAGAAAACAGTTCATGGGCTGATTCCTCATAAGGAGTTGGTAGAATTCTATCCTTGCAACCAAAATCTAATTTTAAAAAGTTTTTGGCAGCTTGTGTATCACATCGAGAGAATTTTAACCCAGCATTCAGGGCTTACAAATGTTTCAGCATCTAAAAGTTAGTATGCATTTTGCCCACAGAAAGAAAGAAGACTTTGATCCCACATTATTAACTCACTGCTCCCTCTCCCCCATCTCTAAGGATGTGTGTGTGTGTATGTGTGTGTGTGTGTGTGTGTGTGTGTGTGTGTGTATGTATGTGATGAGTATTCTTCATGCTTGGTCATTCAATATTCCCAGAAACATTATAATATAGTAAGAAAATTTGAGAGCTTCACGGAATACTTTACCTGGCAGATCATAGGCAGCCTCCCCATTTTCATCAGACTGTTTTGCTGATGTACCTTTGAGAATCCGTCATTAAAATTAATTAAAGACACCCACTTTCACACCAGAATAATATCGTATCAGCAGTCAGCATTCTCTGTTAGTAAAGTATGCAAAGTGTGCAAAGAGATTTGTCCTCAGAGCAGTGACGGAAGAGACCAAACGGTGTTAGGGGGGTTCCTCAGGAGAGCACAGCCTGCTCTGTGCAGACTGTGGCTTCTGACCTGAGGCACCTGCCACAGAGAAGAGGAGAAAAAAGAAAAGAATAGAGAAGAGGAGAAAGGAGGCTGGGACACCTCCAGTGGTGGGAAGAAGAGATAGAGAAGAACAAAGCAAGACCCTGAAGAAAACAGAGGAGCAGGTCCTGGAATCTGCGGGGGAGCAGCGCACAGTGAGACAGTCTATCCTTGTGCCTGTCTCTGCCACCCCAGCAGGGGAGGATTCTCTTGGGTCCCCAGGGAACACGGTGCTCCCACAGTGGGGCTCCCTCATTCAAGACTGGGAGTGCAGGCCCTTGGGATAAGGCCAGCCCTGTTTTACCAGGGTCCAAGTTCTGAATAGAATTGGAGGCTGCCCCAGCAGCTCAGGAGGCAGTTCTGGTTCCCATGACAATGAACTCTGTCAAGAAAACAAATTGAGCCTGCTCAGGGTTCCGCATGGGTGGCTCACAGGGTGGTCTTGGGCATACCCACTGGTTTGGGATGATGACTTTCTCAGTATCAGGAGAGGAGTGGAGGCATTGGGGACTGGACTGGCTGTCCCTTGGAACTTTTGCCTCTCTCTTGTTCTAACCCTAACAGGAGTATCAAGGAGAAGGGACAGGCAACTAGAATATCCTGGCAGCTAGTAAGGCATGTGGAGAATAAAAATTCCTTATGTCTTTGAAAAAGAGATACATCTTTAAACAAATGGTCTGCTTGGGAGCTTCTGTGTTGGTATTTTCATAGTCAAGAGACAGTGGATGAGAAAGTGAAAATAAGAGACTCAGAAAACATGTACAAAAGAGTGAAGAACTAGTAAAAGAGACAATTTCAAGAGAAAACAGGACGAAACAAGACCAGAGGGGGAACAAAAATAGCCCATCTCTTCACATTGGAACCACTTTAATTGGGGAAACACAGACAAAGAAGATGGTGTCCCAGGGGATGAGGAAGGAACATGTAAGTTATTTAACATGTGAGGAGAATTTTTAAGAAAGGAAAGAAAAAACTAGAGTGCAGAAAGAAAACAAAGAAGAGTAAAATGCTGCAGGCATTAAAAAAATAATAACAAAACAAAAACGAGAGAAAGGCAGAGTCCAAAACAACACACGATCTTACAAAACAAAGAATTCTCTTACAGAATAAAACCTGATGTCTCTAAAAGCATTAAACACTATAGAAAATTAGTCTGGAGGACAACAGCCATTAAAAGAGAATGAAGAGTCGGCAGCCACATAAAGAAAATAAGAAAAGACTGCAAGAAGAAAGAGATACACGTTGTGAGAGAACTCCCATAGAAAGCTAATTCCAGAACGTTACTCGGCAAAATATATACATAATAATGACTGTGTACATATACATATGTATATACGGATATACATATGTATCTACACAGACCACACGCAAAATTTTGTAAAATACACTTCATTGTATTTTATCTAAGGTGGGTAACATCAAAATGACAGCCATCTATCATTTTGCTGTATCTTCTTACTTTTTAAACCTATCAGAAAGAAAAGAGTAAAGAATTTGCTCGATTCATACATACACAAAAGGTTTATGCTCAAAGGCCACATCACACATAAGACTGGGATATTCTGCTGGCTGGACAATACAAAAAAACAGAATGGAGTGCTCATGACTTTTTTAAATGGGGGCAGGAGGATGGAAGAGGAATAAACTGAAGTGCTCAAGAATTTACTTGTTGCATTAGTGACACTATCCCCTTCCCTTACTGGGTTAACCCTGGGAAATTTCTGACGTTTCCACTGCTTTTGGTTAGTGGCTTTTTAAATCCTGGAGAAACCAATTATAGGACTCTGTGTGTGGAGTAGGTGCAAGAGGGATTGAGGGGTATCAGGATACTTCATTGTCCCTCTCCTCTTCCTCCCTCCAGAACAGAGGTGAGCATTTCCACAGGTGCCCCAATCCAGGCACCTGGGATTTCTTTTTCAGCAGTTTTCTCTTCATAGGAAGTTTCATCTCCATAGTGAGTTTCCTCCAGGGGAGGTGCATTTGCGTTCACATTCCTGATTTCCCAAATGTGCTTCGTAACCTCCTTCCTTCACTTCGAGGATCTGTGTTAAAGTTTGGTGTCCAAAGAGTTTTCCTGGAGGTGAAGTCTTGGGCCACTGTTTGTGGAATTTGAACAAGTTTCCTGGGAGATTGTTTACCTACCAGCATCTAGAATGGAACCCAAGTCCAGAGCCATTTTCAAATGTCATCCCTTTCTAGTTATGGCAAATAAGAAACCAAGAAACACAACAGGATTTTGGTAAGTTTCACATTCTTTTGGTTT
Organism: Homo sapiens; assembly: GCF_000001405.40. Taxonomy (NCBI): domain Eukaryota; kingdom Metazoa; phylum Chordata; class Mammalia; order Primates; family Hominidae; genus Homo; species Homo sapiens. The sequence goes on along the minus strand of NC_000012.12, from coordinate 101,664,261 downwards.
TCAGGTAATTCTGGCCCATATTTTCTTCTGTCATTTTTTCTTTTTCTATTATTTCTATCAGTGATTTTAAAAATTTATGGCCTTGTTTCTCTTCCCCTCCTAAATTAAACTGATTACAGTTTTATATCCCCAACTCCTGAGATAAGTTACTGCTACATATTGAACTTATTTCTTATACACTCGAGGATTTAATGCTGCTTCCTTTAAAACTAAGAGCAGTTCTTAATTCATCTTATTTTTAGATGAAGGCAGGTGATGATTACTAGCCAAATATGTAGTCTCCCTTTATTACCCAAAATAGGTCACTCTTTTGATAGTTAACTTCAGCTCATTATAGGTTTTAGAATTTCCAACTGGCTTCATCATAACTAGACTTTTATATTGCTGTGGTGCAATTCAATTCCACCAGTTTAAGAAGTGGAAGTCCCCAAAGTTTTGTTACAATCTCTTCCTCCCATCTCTTAGTTCAATTATAGTGTCCAATCTGGCAGCCTAGCCAAGATACTTTTGAGATATCAATTTATAAGCACCAAGTACTAAAAAAGGGCTTAGTTTATATACATCTCAGAAGGATGACGTTTGGCTTGATCTTATTTTCGTAGGAAGGTGATGCGTTCTCAAGAAAGAGAGACAAAAGAAAGGGGAGGGACATATCTCACCTATTGATGACAGTATTCATTTTATCTACTGGTTGTACTTACTTCCTTCAAAGCAATACTCTAGCACATAGCCATCTAAACCTGCTGCACCAATGTGGTCTGGGGGGCGCCACCTCATCGTGACAGTCGTGTCAGTGACAGAGTCCACAGTCAGAAGAGTAGGAGGGCTTGTTACAGCTTAAAGATAAAAGAGACAGAAAAGAATAAACTATTTACTACACAGCTATAGTGCAGGAACTGTGATAAAACCAATGGGGATACAAATAAAAATAGACACAAAAGCCCTACATCTTAATGAAATTCAGTTAAGACACCTTGAGCATGGATGTGTGTAAGGCAAAGAGCTGATCAATGTGAGAATTTTGGAAATGCTGTCATGGATTTTTTTCCAAATTGAGAAGCCGGTGTGGGAAGCTGGGAGGCCCAAAGAAGTTGAAGAAGGCAAGGTTTGGGATCTAATGATCTAGAGTAATTTTCCCATTGCTCTCTAATTTCCAAGTGCAAACTTGTATTACATTTTTTTCCATTGAAAAAAATACCTCATTGCCATAAAATAATGGAGATATCTTTTTTTTTTGCCTTCACTGAACTAACTTTTTTGATTTAATAGATAACATTTAAGGTGTGACCATAAAGCAAAGAAACCAGTTTCCAAGTGTAGCCTGTTGAACCGATCTCAATTTGTTTCAGTGATAGTTGTTTACACTAAGCTGGGTTATATTAACAGGTTAATACCTTCAGAAGGGCAAATGGAAAGTACTCACATGTCCATGGACTCAGCAATATGTTTTCAGTGGGGAATGGCAATCAGAGCCACCCACAGTTGGCACTGGAATTATGGTAACGAATTCCAGGGCCTATGTTATGAAGTTATTCAACTTGACCAAACCTACTTTTTAATTTCTTAGACATAAAATTGTACCTAACTGTTTCAAGCTCCTGCCCACCTACAACTCTAAGAAGTGTCCAGGCCTGTTCCAGTTAGGGATCAGAGAGAAAGCAGTCATACTCTGGGGCAATGATTCTGATGACAAAGACTCATCTCTCTTGACTTACCCAAAGGAACAAAAGGCCTGGAGGGCATACTGGGCTTGGAGATGCCAATGGCATTGACTGCAAAGATGCGGACCTCATAGGCCACACCTTCAATCATCTTCTTGGGCTCAAAAGTTGTTTCTTTGCAGAGATCAAAATTCAGCCTCATCCACCTGGAGCTTTGTTTCTTCTTCCTCTCAATAAAATATCCTGCAGGTATGCAAAATGAAAACTAAGGTTTTTCCTTGGTCTCTGAAATTAAACATTGTCAGATAATAGAAGTCCTTAAAATTTTGCATTTTGTCATCAATCTATGTGAAATAGTCATATATGTATGTAAATATTTTTAACCTATCTTATTCCAAGAGAATAGAAATATTAATATAAAATATAGATGAAAATAATGGGACTAAGAAATTAAAATTATACTACAAAGAGAAGAAAAATGGATCACAGTTAAGTCAGCCATAGCAACTTAGTCACTGTAGGTGAACAATATAATCAGAGGCAATGTAGTTGACTCTGAGTCCCAGCAAGGAAGATAAGAAGAGGGAAATGACCAGTTTTGTGAGTCTCATTATTAGCAAAGAGAAAAAATTCTCATGGCATAGGGGAAGCAAATGCTTCTAAGCATTTAAATATTTTTTCTTTCTTTTTTTTTTTTTTTTTTTGAGACAGAGTCTCACTCTGTTGCCCAGGCTGGAGTGCAGTGGTGTGATCTTGGCTCACTGCAACCTCCACGCCCCAGGGCCCAAGTGATCCTCCCACCTCAGCCTCCTGAGTAGCGAGTAGCTGGGACCACAGGTGCGCACCACCATGCCCGGCTAATTTTTGTATTTTTAATAGAGGTGGGGTTTTACCATGTTGGCCAGACTGGTCTCGAATTCCTAGCTTCAAGTGATCCACCCACCTAGGCCTCCCAAAGTGCTGGGATTACAGGTATGAGCCACAATGCTCAGCCTAATTATTTAATTCTAAAATAAATTTCTTCATAGACAAAATCATGTAGAATCAGACGTTCACTGGCTAGGATGGTGGAAGTTGGGCTTATAGTTGCTTCAAAATTAGTGTGTATAAATGTCAAACAAAAAAAGAAACCAGCAATCAGATGATATTCATCAGAGCTATTTAAATCTCGAGTAATTACAGAGCATCTCAACATATATATTTCATTTTGAATGCATAAAGTCACAGTAAAATAGGTTTTCTTCTAAATGCAATACTTTAAAATGTGCTCTGTACTAAGATGCGTAAAGAGGACACAACTGTACTGGCAGTTACACAGACTAACCAACATGCAGTTACCTAGGATTGGAGAGCCTCCGTCGTAGGCAGGAGGCTCCCAGTTCATGATACACCAGTCATCTCCCACCTCTGTCACAGTCGGTGCCACTGGAGGATCAGGGAAGTCTGTGGCAGACAAAAAATAGGATAAAGTAAAATAAGGAAGAGGGAGTAGAAAAAAAAAGTTAATAGGAAAATATGTTTCTTGGTGATAATCATTGAAACTGTTATTTCTGAGTACTTTCCCATGTTTACTGAATTATGCTTATGATATGGTTTGGCTGTGTCCCCATCCAAATCTCATCTTGAACTGTAGCTCCCATAATTCCCACATGTTGTGGGAGGGACCTGGTGGGAGAGAATTGAATCACAGGGGCAGTTTCCCACATACTGTTCTCGTGGTAGTGAGTAAGTCTCAAGGGATCTGATGGTTTTGTAAGGGGAAACCCCTCTGGCTTGGTTCTCATTCTCTCTCTCTTGTCTGCTGCCATGGAAGACATGGCTTTCACCTTCCACCATGATTGTGAGGCCTCCCCAGCTACAAGGAACTGTGAGTCCATTAAACCTCTTTTTCTTTATAAATTACCCAGTCTCTAGTAGGCCTTTATCAGCAACGTGAAAACAGACTCATACAAGTTAGTAATTAATTTGGGCAAAAATTTGTGCTCAATATGGGATAAGGGAAGATGAGCCCACCCCTTGCCCGAAATAAAAATAATGATGTCTCCAAATCCCTTAAACCCGTGTCCCAACATTACAGAATAAGCCCCATATGAAACCCAAGACTCTCATTCCTTACCTTGAAAATGTTAACCAAGAAATTATTGTCTAAATGTTGAATATGGTTGTTGTGGTTGTTGTTTTTAACTACAAAGTGAACTTCCGCAGAACTGAATCAAAGAGTTTTACAAGACTCAAGATGTTGGCTGGTAGAAATCCAAGTCAAAAATGGCGAGTCACAATATCTTGTAAGTATAGTTCAGTGTCTGATAAAAATGACCTCAGTTTTTGGTCAATTTGAAATATGTCATTTAAGGAGAAACTAAAGTAAGAAGAGGAGAGCATCAGACCTTGGAACAGTAGTAATCTGCTAGACTCATTTTATTCAGCTTTGGGCTTAGGAAAAATGCACTTCGATAGTTGTCTAAGGACAAGGCAGATCTAATCCCTCTGTAATGATTGTGATGTGGGAAGTTATTTAGCAATTGTGTTTCAGTGATGTTTAAAGGGCACCAAAAGGGAATATGACTTTGGAGAGCTAATGACCAGCAACCCCAAATGGCTGACCTTAGCTCTTCTTTCTCCAATGATAAGTCCTCTAGGCAAGAAAAAAAAAGAAGATAAGGGAAAGACAAAGGAAGGAAATGGAAGGAAAGGACAAAGAAGGAAAGTCTACTCTGAATCTTGACATGTCAGCTTGATTCTAGAAGTGCGTTTACCTGGAGGACTTACCCACAACTTTAACCTTGATGCTTGCATGTGCCTCTCCAGCTTCGTTTTTCAGATTGATGTGGTAAACACCAGAGTCATCTCTTTCAGCTATATCAATGACCAGAGTGCTGCTATCAGGGTAAGATTCTGTTCTTATCCGGCCACTGCCTTCCATAATAGCCTAAGAAGTGGAGAAACAAAATGTGGCATGATTTACACAATAAACAGGGCTACTTCAGAGTCTCCTATAAATTGAGCAATTCAGCAGACTATAGAGTGTATAGTGTATAGATTATATAGTGTATTTGGTGGACTATATAGTGTAACTATATAGTGTTCATGCCTATTATATGTTTTCTCAGTTTAATTCTCCCCCAACTCTAATGACAAGGTATTATTATACCATCTTACACATAAAGAAACTGAGACTCATCTTGCTCAAGGTCACACAGGTAGGAAGTAGCAGAAATGGGATTTGATCCCAAAGCCCACTAGCCACCAACTTTCCCAAGAGAAAATTGGAGGACTAAAAATACAAGTGCAGACATGTCATTCTAGGAGAGGAATCCCTGTGTATGAAATTAGAAACCCTCAAACTCCTATCAGAAACTAAATAATGATTTGTTCATTTTCTTAGATGTTTGGAAAATTTTAAAATACCGAAAAGGATTGAAGAAGGCTGCAAGGCCAATTTTCCATTTTCTTTTTCTAGTAAAAACATAAAAGAATGCACATCTAATTCCCAAAGTAAAGACAGAGCGAGGTTGAGCCTCCTATTATATTTTCTTTCTTTTATTTTCTTCTTCTTTTTTTTCACTTTTTTTCTTCTTTCTTAAACCTGAAATTTAAAGCAGGATTACATTTTTCTGATTCCCAGGTTGTATCTTCTATAAGACAATCAATAGCCAATATACAAAGAGGAAAAACAGAGAAGGTCAAAGTAATTTAGAAACTGGTTATTTGCCACTAAATACTAGGTAAACTCTCTACTCTTTTGTGTCTGTATCAGGACTCATAAGTCTTCAATAACCTGAGATTGTGATCACAGTAAGAATACCTGAAATAATTCTCTAATTCTTCCATTTTGTAATAGAACAAAATTTCCTCATATCAGCCAAATTCTAATGTAAGATTTTAATAGATGTTCTCTTTTGTTTTTATTTATTTTTTATTTTTCTCCCTCCCAAAGCTAATCCATCTCCTTTGTATCAATTCTTTTAGATTTTCTACACAACCATGTCATCTGTGAACAAAGACCATTTTATTTCTTCTTTCCCAATTTGTATACCCTTTTTTTCTTTTATTGCATTAGCTAAGCCTTCCAGTAAAATGTTAAAAAGCAGTGGTGACAGGAGGATACTCTTGCATTATTTCTGATCTTGGTAGGAAAGCGTCAAGTTTCTCACTGTTAAGTATAACTTTAGCTGTTGGGTTTTTCTTTTTACGGTAGATTTTTTTTTTTTTATCAGATTGAATACATTTCCCTCTATTTCTATTTTGCTGAGAGTTTTCTTCATGCATTTTGTCAAAGATTCTTTCTGCATCGGTTGATATAATCATGTTACTTTTCTCCTTTAGCCTGTTGATGTAGTGGATTACATTAATTGATTTTCAAATTTTGAGCCAGCATTGCATACCTAGAGTGAGTTTCACTTGGTCTTGGTGTATAATTCTTTTCATACATTGTTGGGTTTGATTTGCTCTTTTTTTTTTTTTTTTTTTGAGACGGAGTCTCGCTCTGTCGCCCAGGCTGGAGTGTGTTGGCGCGATCTCGGCTCACTGCAAGCTCCGCCTCCCGGGTTCACGCCATTCTCCTGCCTCAGCCTCCCGACTAGCTGGGACTACAGGCGCAGCCACCACGCCCGGCTAATTTTTTTTGTATTTTTAGTAGAGACGGGGTTTCACCGTATTAGCCAGGATGGTCTCGATCTCCTGACCTCGTGGCTAATGTTTCATTAGAATTTTTGCATCTACATTTATGAGAGATATTGGTCTGAAATTTTCTGGTTTTGATATTAGGATAAAACTGACCTCATAGATTGAATTAGGAAGCATTCTGAAAGAGATTAAGGCACAATTTCTTTCTTAAATGTTTGGTAGAATTTACCAACAAACCCATTGGGGCCTGTTGCTTTCTGTTTTGTAAGGTTATTAATTATTGATTCAATTTGTTTAATAGAGATAATCCTTTTCTGATTGCCTATTTCTTCTTGTGTGAGTTTTAGAAGATTGTATCTTTCAAGGAGTTGGTCCATTTCAACTAGGTTGTGAAATTTATGGGCATAGAGTTGTTCATAATATTCCTTAACTATCCTTTTAATGTCCATGGGATTTGTAGTAATGTCCCTCTTTCATTTCTGTTAATTAGCCTTGACTCTTCTTATCCTACTTAGCCCGGCTAGAGGGTTATACGTTTTATTGATATTTACAAAGAACCAGCTTTTGTTAATTTCTCTATTAATTTCCAGTTTTCAATTTCATTTATTTCTGCACTAATTTGTATCATGTCTTTTATCTGCTTACTTTGAATTTAATTTACTCTTCTTTCTCTTGTTTTCTAACACGTAAACTTTGATTACTGGTTTTAGGTCTTTCTTATTTTTAAATATATGCAATCATTGCCATTAATTTCCCTTTAAGCACTGCTTTTGCTGCAACTTAAACATTTTGATATGTTGTATTTTCATTTAATTCAATATATTTTAAATTTTCTTTTAAGATTTCATCTTTGAAGTGTGTTGTTTAATCTTCAGGAATTTGAGGGATTTTCAGCTATTTTTCTGTTATGTATTGATTTTTAGTTTCACTTCTGTAATTTATTTATTTTTAGTTTAATTCCATTGTCCCTGAGAGCAGATATTATATGACTTCTATTTTTAAAAATTTGTTAAGGTGTTTTTATGGCCTAGAATGTGTTCTATTTTGGTGAATATGCTATGTGTGCTTGAAAAGAATGTGTAATCTGCTGCTATTGGATGAAGTAATCTATAGATGTTATTTATATACAATTGATTGATAGTGCTGTTGAGTTCAGCTGTGTCCTTACTGATTTTCTGTCTGCTGAATCTGCCCATTTCTGATAGAGGGATGTCAAAATCTCCAACTATAATAGTGAATGCATCTATTTTTCATTGCCGTTCTATCAGTTTTTGTCTCATATATTTTGAGGCTCTGTTGTTAGGTGTATACATGTTAAGGATTATTAGGCTTTCTTGGAGTATTGACCCATTCATCATTATGTAACGCTCATTTCTATTCCAGATAAATTTCTTCGCTTTGTAGTCTGCATTGTCTGAAGCTAATATGGTTACTCATACTTTCTTTTGTTTAGTCTTAGCACAGCATGTCTCTCTCTCTCCCTATACTTTAATGGATGCAACTTTATATTTAAACTGGGTTTCTTATAGTCAACATATCTTTGGGTCATGTTTTTGCTCTACTCTGACAATTTTGGGCTTCTAATTTGTATATTTGGACCATTGACATTTAAAGTAAATATTGGTATAGCTCGATCAATATCTGTCATATTTGTTATTATTTTCTATTGGTTGCCCTTCTTCTTTGTTCCTATTATTGTCTTCTACATTTTTTTCTGCCTTTTGTGGTTTTAATTAAGCATTCTATGTGATTTCATTTTCTCTCCTTTATTAGCATATTAATTTTACTTCCTCTTTTTTAAACTTTTTAAAGTGGTTTCCCTAGTTTACAATATATATTTACAATTAACCCAACTCCACTTTCAAACAACACTACAGTGGTTCACAAGTAGTGCATGTACTTTAAAATAATGAAATGTCCCTAATTCCTTTCTCCCATTTTTTGTATTATTGCTGTCATTCATTTCACTTATATATAAAATACATAAATATAACTATATAAGCATACCTAATTGAATACATTGTTGCTTTTATCATTTTGAACAAAGTATTATTTGTTAGATCAACTGAGAATAGGAAAAAATGAAAAAGTTTATTTTACCTTCACTTATTCTTTATTTTATACTCTTTCTTTCTTTATGTAGATCTGAGTTTCTGACCTATATTATTTTCCTTTTTCTGAAGAACAACTTTTAATATTTTTTTGCAAGACAGATCCATTGGCAACAAATTCCCTAAAGTTTTGTTTGTCTGAGAAAGTCTTTATTTCTCCTTCACTTTTGAAAGATAATTTCAGAGGGTACAGAATTCTAGGTTGGTGGGTTTTCACCCTGAACACTTTCAATGTGTCACTCCACTCTCACATTTTGGCAGTTTGCCCTGTATCCTCACTTCTCTGACATATGTAAGAGGAGTTGCTAGTTTTTCCGTTTGTCCAGCTTTTTACTTGTTAGGATAGAGTGGCAACTTCTAAGCTGATTACATGCCCGAATGAAAATTTGAAGTCTAACTGATTCTTTAAATTTTTTTGGACTTTTTCTCTTGTGTTTCATTTTGGATCATTTCTATTGCTATGTCTTCAAATTTGCCTTCAATGTCTAATTAGCTATTAATTCCATCTACATATTTTTTATCTGAGACATTTTATTGCTTTCATCTGTAGGTGATTAGATTTGGATCTTTTTATATTTTCCATTTCAGTTCACTTTTTTCACTTAACTTTCTCTTAATTTTTATTTTATTTTATTAAATTTCTCTTAAATTTAATTTAAATGGAGAGCTTAACATTTCTCCACCTAACTTTTTGAACATATGGAATACACTTAAAATAACTATTTTCATATGCTCGACTGCTATTCTAATTTACATGTGAGATCTGAATTGGCTGTAACTGACTTTTCTCCTCATTTTGAGCTGTGTTTTCCTGCTTATTTCTCTACCATAATGTTTGACTGGATGGCAGGATATTGCTAATTTTGTCATGTTGGGTGCTTGATATTTTTGTATTCCTATATAAATCTTGAGCTTTGTTTTGAAATGCAATTAAATTATTTGGAAATTGATTGAATCTTTTAGACTTGTTTTTATGACTTATTAGGTGGGTCCATGACAGTGCTCAGTCTAGGGTTAATTATTCCTGCAACCAAGGCAAGGCTTTCCTGAGTACTCTACTCAATGCACTGTGAATGATGAGGTTTTCATGTCTAGCTAGGGGGAACAGGCACTACTATTGGCCTTGTGTGAGTGCCAGTCCACTTCTCTTTAATCCTTTCATATGTTCCTTTCTTGAATCTTGGGTAGTTTCCTCATAAATGTGCACTGATCTTTGCTGAATACTTGAGCGTGTTCCTCTGCAGAGCTCCAGGGGGACTCTCTGTGCAGCTCTCTCCTCCAGTATGTATAGTATGTATCCTATGAACTCTAGCTGCCTTGGTCTCCTTGTACAATGGGAGTCCTAAACTTAGGGAGTCCACTGGGTTCTGTCCAGGTTTTTCTTCCTTGTGCCACTGCCTGGATACTCTTTTATGGCAATAAGCTTGAGGCAATTATAGGGCTTATTTCATTTGTTTATCATATTTCATAGTCATTGTCTTTCACGATCTGATGTCCAATGTCTTGAAACCCATTGTTCACATATTTTGTCTATTTTGGGGGTTATTTCAAGTGAGTAGGTAAATCTGGTTCCTGTTATTCAATTCTGGTTGAAAGTAGAAGTCTCATTCTGCTTTTTATTATTTAATTTTATTTTTAACATTAAAAAAATTTGTTTTGAGATAGAGTCTCACTCTGTCACCCAGCTGGAGTGCAGTGGCGTGATCTCGGCTCACTGCAACCTCTGCCTCCCGGGTTCCAGCAATTCTTGTGCCTCAGCCTCCTGAGTAGCTGGAATTAGAGGCATGCTGCCACCATATTTGGCTAATTTTTTTGTATTTTTAGTAGAGATGGGGTTTCTCCATGCAGGCTCAGGCTGGTCTGGAACTCCTGGCTTCAGGTGTTCTGCCTGCCCCAGCTCCCAAAGTGCTGGGATTACAGGCATGAGCCACCATGCCCAGCCTCATGTCTTCTTTTTAAATGTAATTTTTCTTTTTTTGCTTTTATTTTTGTAGAAAGCCACGGAGTCACACTTGAGCTGGCACTACTCTACCATTTCACCCTCACTTGCATTTCTCCCAATCATTCACTTTGCCCCAGCCATGCTGGCTTTCCTTCTGTTCCTCCAACACATCAGGCTTATTCTCTCCCCTTGGCCTTTGCACTTGTAATTGCCTCCGTATGGAAATGTCTTCCGTTTGATCTTCACATAATGGGTTCCTTGTTCTTCACAGAGGCTGCCATTGACTATGCAGTTACTTGCTATTGTATCATTCTCTTTTATTATCTTCTTGTACTTATTACTATCCAAAGTGACTTTGTTCATTTATTTATTTAATAATTCATTTTCTTTTTCATCCCCCCAATTTCATTAGAATAAAAATGAGGCTTTTTCACTGTGCATCAAAACATGCTTTGCTACATAATAGTCAGAAATATGAGAAGTAAATTAATGATGATCAGATTTGCCTGAAAATCAGTCATCTTTCTTTTTCAAAGGAATTACATCTTTACTGTACTGCTGTACATTTATTTGTTTTCTACCTTCATCTGAATAATGGAGGGCAAGGGGTGGGGTAGGCAGTGTGTCTGCATATGTGTGTGTGCATGTGAGTGTGTGCAAGCATAAAACAAACCTTATCTCCCCGGCTCCACATGGCTTTAGGAGGTGGTTCTCCGCTGATGGGGATCTCAAGACGAAGCTTGTTTCCTGCAATCACTGTCACTGTGTTGTCAGCATCAAGACCATCCAGGATGATCTTAGGAGGATCTAGAATATTAAGCATAGTCTTTGTTATCAGACAGTCATTTCTGTGTAAATATCTGCACTAATGTTTGGCTAGTATGATGGTAGTAACCAATATTTTATCTAATCAAAAAGAATATAAGAGGAGTCAAGATAGTTGGTGCCTGGCACCTTGCAAAACCATTTTATTGTAAGGTGTTGGTATAAGTCACCAATCTTTCTGATTGGTGATTAATACCAATTGATGTATTTTTCCTTAAATGTCACTTAGTTTTGAATATATTATAATTCCATGGTAAGCAAAAGCAAACAAAAAAGAACACAACTATGCAATGAATTATTTTATCTACTCACCAATAACATGAACTTTGGCAGGCAGAGTAACATTGTAGGCATCAGGTGCAAATACATAATCACCTTCATCTTCAGTGAGGGCATTGGCTATCACTAACTTGTGGATCCTAAGGAAACAAGGAAAATGTATTTCTAAGACTCCAAAGATCTAGTTTATATATGACCCAAGCTGAAAAGACACTTGACCTTTATCTGATTAACTTCTTTAGTGCAGGAAAGAGAGGGAGAGAGAGAGAGAAAGAGAGAGAGAGAGAGAGAGGATGAGAAGCCTTAATTATCCTACTTATTGATTCAAATTAAATCTTTATTTTGGACTATATGGAATTATCTCCACAAATAGAATCTGCTTATTGTATATGCAGAGTCTATTATTCTTTTTTTTCATCTCATAGCTTTAAAAAGGCTAAAATAGAACATATCAATAATGCTATACTTTAAGATTCAAGAGATGCCAAGAATAATCTTGATTTTGGCTTTACATCCCAAACCCTAAGAACAATAGCTCTTAACTTTATTGGGGTCACAAACTAGTGAATATCTGATGGACACTATGAATCCTTTCTGTGTAAACAGTATGTATTTTTGTACACATAGAATTTTCTCACAATTTCACAGGAGTTATGGGGCTTCCTAAAGTTCATTTATGATACCCTAAAAGCCCATGAATTCAAAGTTAAACTCTTGCCTTAGATCTTTGCCAGATTCTAGGATATTATGTCCCCTACGCAAATAAAGATTTGTGGGAAGGCATTGTGACACTTATTGGTTAGAGACGGTTAATCCATTTGATCAGGTCCTCAATTAGAATTCAGTATTTTTCCTCTAACTTCATGTTTATTATTTATTTTAGAGACAAGGTCTCTCATTCTGTTTCCCAGGCTGAAATGCAGTGGTGTGATCTCAGCTCACTTCAACCTCCCCCTACTGGGTTCAAGCCATCCTCCCACCTCCCAAGTAGTTGGGATTACAGGTGCATGCCACCACGCCTGGCTAATTTTTGTGTTTTTTGTAGAGATGAGGTTTTGCCATGTAGCCCAGGAGCTCTTGAACTCCTGAGCTCAATTGATCCGTCTGCCTTGGCGTCCCAAAGTGTTGGGATTACAGGCATGAGCCATGGTGCCTGGCCTCTAACTTCATGTTTAAATGGAAAAAGAGTCAATGGATTTTGAATAGACAAAGTACCATAGTGTGAGGTACAGATACAGGATTATGAGTAGGACATGCTATACAACAGAGAAATCACACCTTCTTGCTAGTTGGAAGCGAAGAATCAGGAATAGATGATCTCCCTATGGCTACCCTTCAAATATCCTCACCAAATATGTAATTTAGAAAATGGAGAAAGTAGAAATGGGACCAAACCTCACTTGCGGGTCACCTGGCTCGCTTACCTTCCCTTGTGAACCACCTTTAGACGGTCACTCTCCTGAACAGGTAGGCCATTTTTAGTCCATTTTCCTGGTATGTTTTCAGAGATTTCACACTTCAGGCAGATTTCTTTTCCAAGATTTACAGTCTGATCAGTCAGAGGTGTCAAAATCTTCAGAGGTTTCACTGTAGAAATGATAGACCATCACAAATGCCAAGCCCAAACTCCCAACAGGCCAAGATGGTGGCATTTCACAATGGTATAGTGAGCTCTACTACAATGTTTGTTTTGAAAGTGAGAAGCTGTACCAATGCAATTAATATATTAGAGGATAATTTCACATTTGATTCTGTACAATTTCATTCCTTAGAAAAACTAGGTGAATGCAGAAAATTGCATCCAGCTGAAATGACCCAGCAAGGAATGCACAAAATCTGCAGACTCACACCTCAAACATCTATCAGCTACCTCAGTTCATCCATGTGATATAAGCCACACCCATTTACATCTGAGGTCACAACTACTCATCAGATTTTGAATAATCCTCTTTCTACTGCTTCACAACAGTTCACAAGCCACAACACTTCCAGCATTAATTCTGTAAGCAAATCTCAGGTCTTTTTCAACATTAAGTGCCATATTTATTATATTTATTAACCATTTAGCATGTGTAAAACTGTGCTACTACTTTTTACTGGGTTCTTATATTTTAAAAAATATGTCGCTGACTGATGTGGTTTGGCTGTGCCCTCACCTAAATCTCATCTTGAATTGTAGTTCCTATAATCCTCACATGTCATGGGAGGGACGTGGTGGGAGGTAATTGAATCATGGGGGCGGTTACCCCCCTGCTGCTGTTCTCATGATAGTGACTGAGTTCTCATGAGATCTGACAGTTTTATAAGGGACTTTTGCCATTTTGCTTGGTACTTCTCCTTGCTGCCACCATGTGAAGAAGGACATATTTGCTTTCCCTTCTGCCATGATTGTAAGTTTCCTGAGGTCTCCCCAGCCATGCGGAACTGTGAGTCAACTGAAGCTTTTTCCTTTATAGATTACCCAGTCTTGGGTATGTCTTTATTAGCAGCATGAGAACGGACTAATAAACCAGCAAAATTCTTGAGTGTCATACCCATAATCCCATTTCCCCTACAAACCCTATGGTTTTTACTGCATGACTTTGCATAGCATAATTATTTTTAGAAATGCACATGTTACATCATAGCAGAATGGATTATAATTGCTTTAAATGGATACAAATATCAGATAAGGATCTGTCTATGGCTGAAAGACTTCTTGATGTTAAACTAAAATGGCCACAGATCCATAAAGCATAAGGAATGTATTGGGATTGATCCTGAATAATTCAATGATTATATGAACTGCAACTGGACTAAGCAATAAATGTGGAAGTAAGATTTCTGCTCTTTTTGTGACATCATCTTGAGATATTTGCTGTTTTAATTTTTATGGCAAATTGGGAGAGATTCTGCCATTGCTAACTGACTAGAAGTAGAGGGCATTGAGGGAAGTACATTAATTCTCTCATGCCTCTGAAGCCTACTAGCAAATTAGCTCTTACAATCTTCTCAATTGAGCCCTTTTGGTTTGAATTACTTTCTTCTCATGCCAAATGTAATTGCAGAGTGTTGAATGGTTATTTGATGAATAGCTAGCTAACATTATCAGGATATGACATCGTATCTAAGTATTTATCCCCTATTTTTACGGTCTTGGAATTATAACTCTTCTGGCAGGTGATTTTTATACTTCCTTCCTAATATTGGCGCTCTACTATTAAATTGAGTCGTGGTTCCTTCCTTAAATATCCTGATTGATCTGACATAGACACTTAGCTGGAATGAAATCCATTTTACATACTTAAAAATCATCGCAAATAGAAATCAAATAGAAACTTTTCTGAAACCGAATTAACACAACCATCATTAATAAGCCCACTGAGAAGACATCTAAAGAAGTCTCACTTACAGTCAACACTAAGTTTAGCAGATGATTGTCCTCCTGTTGTCATTACTGAATATTCTGCAGCATCAGCCTTTGTTGCTCCCTCTATGATCAAGATGTGTTTTTTACCCTCAACTCTAATTCGGTATCTTGATTTTGGACCAGGGATAATCTCTTCACCATTCTTAAACCTGAATTAAGATAAAATATTAAAAAGGTTTGTAAAAGATCCTTCAGGAAAAATACCTTGTCCATCTTGCTTATTGCAATATCCTGAAGAATTTCTGGAGGATATGAGACACACAAGAACTATTTGTTGAATTAAAAAATGTACGAATCAATCTCTGTATCCATCAGTAGATTCATAATGTAACAAATATTGTCTACAAAATTGTGTTAAAAGAACACGAGCCACCTGCTCGCACTCAAGATGAATCAGGTGCAACTGCTAAGAGTGGATATTACCCCCATGTAGGCTCTTGAAGCACATTAGTAAGAATATCATTTAATGCATTTTAAAGATAACTATGATTCTCTATTAGAATGAACAATCTACACTGTACCAATTACTACAAATCCTGCTGTGTAATTTACTGTACCTTTCAACATAACATTTCATTTTAAGATTTAAAATTTCTAGTTTTTAATTTTAAGATTACTCACAAGGAACCTGAGAAAACATTCCCCACCTGAGCAAAACAAATAAACTCTTATTTCTAAAAGCAATTGGTGATTCTCAGTCTAAATTTTTTTCCCCTGAGGTACTATGAAAATAAAGTGACTAGGGGTTACATGAAAAACACATGTAAATATGTACTTAAAAATCATTGCAAATAGAAATCAAATAGAAACTTTTCTAAAACCGAATTAACACAACTATCATTAGTAAGCCCACTTAGAAGACATCTAAAGAAGTCTTACTAAACTTACTAAACACTAAATATGTTTTTTCATGTAAGTTGCCAATATGGCATAGTGAGAGGAAGCCTGCTATAAAGGTTAAGAGCATCCATAGGCTTTGGGGTCAAATAGACTTGGGTAAACTTGAGTCATCCACTTAGTATTAAGTACCCACTTCCCTACGTGCTTACCCACATAGATCTCTGGTTCTTTTTTCAGTCTCATGAGTGGAAAAACCCCAGTATATTAGTATACTTTTATTTATCATCTCTACTAACACAAATGAGGTGGAGATTGTTTTCAAAGGTTTAAAAGCTATTTGTACTTCCTGTTCTATCAACTATGAAGGTCCAATTTTTTTGTCTATTAAACATGGACAGACTTCATTAAGGCTATTTACCATTTTACATTGGCATCATCTTCAGACACCTCACATTCTAATTCCACTCTCTCCCCACAATAAGCAGTTGTATCTTCCAGCTGTTTGGTCACCATAATTGGAGGCTCTAGTATACAAAAAGGGGAAATCAGAATCATTAAATATCCAAAGCCTATCCCATGAGCCCTGATTTCTTCACAGATGAAAAACCAACAGTGAGAAAGCAACATCTATGGTTGACATGGTGATAACAGTAAGTGAGGTTTTTGTTTTTGTTCTTGTTTTGAGACAGAGTCTCACTCTGCTGTCCAGGCTGAGGTGTAGTGGCGTGATCTTGGCTTAATGTAACCTCCACCCCCTAGGTTCAAGCAATTCTCCTGCCTCAGCCTCCTGAGTAGCTGGGATTACAGGTGCATGCCACTACACCCAACTAATTTTTGCATTTGCAGTAGAGACGAGATTTTACCACATTGGCCAGGCTGGTCTTGAACTCCTGATCTCAAGTGATCACGTGCCTTGGCCTCCCAAAGTGCTGGTATTATAGACATGAGCCACTGTGGCTGTCTGTGAGTTTTGTTTTGTTTTGTTTTGTTTTCTATGTCTGTTCTTGGCAAAATAAATAGCAGGCAACCCTGGGTAAATTCTCCCAATTTTTTCACAGTTCTCCAAGTCAAATCAATTATTGTTCTCAAGAACAAACAAAACATATATCAAATATTATTCTTTTAGCAAAGAAGATACTAAATGCTAGACATTTCTGATGAAGGAGAATATATAAAACTCAAATCTTTGATCCTAGTTCCAGATGGATGACAGAGATCTCAGGGTTGTCTGTCATCAGAAGCCCTCATAAAGAAAATAAGGAAGACATGGCTGTATTCACACCCTCCAGCTCTTTTCACAATGTCTTAGTAAATGATAATTTTCAGTGTGCTTGGTACCAACCACTTATTAATGAAGCTGGTTTCAAGAGAAACCTATTTGTGATCAATTGAGTGTGTGAAACAAGGATTATCCAGTAAAATCTGTTGGGTTTCAAAGCTATAACTAGAATAATTATTTTTGCAAGATAGTGCTTGGCTTGAGTCAAAACATGAGGCATTTGTACTCAACAGGTTCTCTTTCTCCCCTCTGCTGTTCTAGTCTTCAACAAACCAGAAGACTCATTAGGATCCATAATAGCTGCCAGTGTAGAGGAGCCTCAGTTACTTTCACTTTGATCATTATCCCTGGGAGAAGAAGCCAACAGCTCCTGGTGACCACAATAAGAGATTTCATTTTTACCTCTTACGAAGAGCTCAGTGGAACATTTCTCATCACCGGCTGTCACATAATACTCTGAATCATCTGTCATCTGACAGTTATTGATAAACAGGATTCTCTGGCATCCTTTGTGTTCAAAGATGTATCTGTTTTGAATAGGATGAAAATAAACAGAGTCTGTGAATGTGATTTTATTCTTTTCTTTATTGCCAGCAAATTTGGCTTATAATTTGGTAGTGTTTGAAAGTCAAGGATCTGTTGTTTTTTTTTGAGACAGGGTCTTGCTCTGTTGCACAGGCAGGAGTGCAGTGGTGCAAACATAGCTAATTGGAGCCTCGACCTCCTGGGCTCAAGTGATCCTCCTGCCTCAGCCTCCCGTGTGGCCGGGACCACAGGTGTGGGGCATCAGGCCCAGCTAATTTATTTTTTGTAAGACTGAGTCTCACCATCTTGCCCAGGTTTGTCTCAGACTCCTCGGTTCAAGCGTTCCTGCCTCAGCCTCCCAAAGTGTTGGGATTACAGGCGTGAGCCATCGTGCCCAGCAGGGATATAATTTTGATCTGCTCTTTAGGTATCATATCTTACACAGTTTAACGTCAAACCAAAAAAAAAAACCAATTTTTATCTTTATAATACTTAATGTATAAGCATATTTATATATACTATTTAATTTCCATTATAATTTTCTTTTACATAAGGTTTTTATTTCAAATAAAAATCAGTACTCACATATTTGCTATTTAATTTTTTTAACCCACTGTTGGAAGATAGAGTTGGCTGAGGGTGTCAGATTTTTAACTCTGTACATTCTTTAACTAACCAATTCATGTACTTTATAGGTGGGTAGAGACTTGATCTTATCCATTGATGTATGAATAAGATCTATTCATTACCTATCCCAGTGGTATAGTAGATTTCCTTGGGTGAATAAATGATTATACAATTTAAGAAATAATGTGATATAACCACAAACACACGCAGCAGTTCTATAGAATGTGATGTTCTCTTAAATGAGCTCAAGAACTGGTGCTATCATACAGTTACATGTACTAAGAAAGAATGTGAGTATTTAGAAACGAAAAACTAGAAGCCAAGAAGATTGTAAAATATAATTATCTGTGATCTGTATTATGGAGGAGCACATGATGGGATTAAAATAGACTAAAAACACTGTTTTGGGAATTTCTCAGATTGAAGCCTTCAAGAACAAGATATTTAAAAATATTTTCTACATAAAGATAACCAATTAAAATTATGTTTTTGGTAAATTCAGGCCATCTTCAAGAGATTTTTACACCAGATATTAATGTTATCATCACAAAGTCACTCTAGTGGCATGACCACATTAAGAAATTGGAAACCACCTAATTGTACTCCACAAGTAACAGCTTTCCAGGATTAACATCTTTTATAAATGTACACATGGCTCCTGTTAACCTAAAAAAATATATTGGAGTTGAAAATCTCTCAGGCTGAGGAGGATCTCTGTAAAGTAGTTTTATAATAGACTGGAGATACCATCAGACGTCAGGGATTAGTCTGTCTTTAGTCCGTCTCCATCTGTGAGAAGGCCAATAAATAATAAAACACAGGCTTTGACCCACATTTTGTTTTATCTCAACATTAAAGAGTTCCTTTTATATGCAATATTGCAAGTGCTCAAAACAGTACCTGAATTGAAAATAGAAGGTATTCACCCATTATGAAATATAGTCGTTATTTTGGAAAAGCAAAAGTCATCTAATTATAAGATGGGATTCCCAGGTGGCATATCAAATATGGATTGCAAGTTATTTTTCAATTTTATTTTTTAAAATTGGGAGAAATTTGGCAATACTCTGAAATAATCACATATAACCTATAGCGACACAAAACCATAATTGGAAAACACTTTAAATAGTTTTTTAGAATTAAACATAAAAAAAGGTTTAGTTTATATAGAACTATCATGTTTCCCTAATAAATAAAATGTGACTTAAATGTTTACTCTCTCTCCATATGATTTTGTATTATGAAAATATAAATATCCTTTTATTCTCAGAAAAGTCAGTCGAACTACTATTTGATTAATTTACTGTAGAGCTATCACTGATTTTTGCAAAGCCCACTTACTTGGTACTGGGTCGAATTTCTTGACCATTTTTATACCATTTCACCTCCAACTTTGGATCTGCCAGCTCCACAACAAACCTCACTCTGCCTCCTTTGTCAACCTGATATGCAGGATCAAGAATTTTTGCAAAAGCTGATAGAATAGAAGAAGCAAAAGTATGTTAATATATGTATACATATGCTATGAATTTAAATAGTCAATACATGTAGGAGAACCTAAAAGCAAATGAAAAAATGAATCTCAAGAAAAAAATCAGAAACCTTCCAAATTATCCTTTATATTTCGAACACTGTGTTGACTTATATACAATAAGATGGTTTAAATTGAAAAGAGAATCCACATGTTTCTAGAAGAAAGGTAAGAAAAGAATCATTGAAGAAGCTTTAAAAATGACCTAATTCTTCAGGGAATGTACACTATAAAGCGTTCAGATGAAAGTGAACTTTAAAAACACGCTGGGGCTGGGCACGGTGGCTCACTCCTGTAATCCCAGCACTTTGGGAGGCTGAGGCAGGCAGATCACTTGAGGCCAGGAGATCGAAACCGGCCTGGCCAACATGGGGAAACCCTGTCTCTTCTAAAAATACAAAAATTAGTGGGGTGTGGTGGTGCATGCCTGTAATCCCAGCTACTCGGGAGGCTGAGGCATGAGAGTCACTTGAACCTGGGAGGCAGAGGTTGCAGTGAGCTGAGATCATGCCACTGCACACTCCAGCCTGGGTGACAGAATGGGACCCTGTTTCAAAAAATAAAAATAAAAATAAAAGAACATGCTTATTCTTCCAGCAGAATTACTGTTAGTGTCATTGGCCTTATTTCTGCACTCCTTCTAAGTCACAGATGGTTTTTTAACCACAGAATTTATAAGATAAATTCAGTGATTCATATTAAATCGAATGCCTTTGACTAATTGAAACAGTAGGCTTACTAAAGTTTTTATACTGTGGTAACTTGCCCAAACAGTGGCATTTTAAAAACACCCCTTGCACATACGTTTAGGAATTCAGGATTTCCAAATATTTTAAATAACATAGAACACAGCAATTAAAAAAAAAGTTGTCTTTGAAGGGTCCTAAATAAAGATAGTTAACTTCTTTTTTTAATTTAATAAGTTTTTTTCCTGCTTTTTAAAAGATAATAATTCTCATTTAGCAGTTTGGAAAATACAAATGTGAAATGCTTCATGTTGTCATGCTTGTATTTCCATCATTCCAACCTTATTATACTATTGTTTAGGTAAGCTCACTGTCTCATATTTTAACAAGATAAAATAAACCCTAGCTTTTAAAAAAGCCATCTACCACACACCTTAGGAGATGAATTCAGAGCTAAGTGATAACAATAACAAAGTTCAGCTTGGGGAAAAGAGATGTCAGCTGGCTCTCCCCTGTAGTATTAATACACCTCTCAAAAATATAACTTCAGGAGTTCTGGGATAGTGGGAATGGCTGAACTACATAAACTAAAAAAAACCCTACTACATTTCTCTGGGGCCATTTCTCAACCAGTTTCCAGGAAGTTCAGAAATAAAGGTCAGATTTTTTTTAAAGGGTGGTAAAAATCTTTAAATTCTATTGGAACATTAACAAAATAATAAACAATAATAGGATTGATATATTACTAACCTGATGTGTCATAAAACCCATAACCAATAATGACCGAGTATAGGAAGCTTCGAAGAGCTAATGGTCAGCGTAAAATGTATTCCTTTCTCTCCTTTTTTTCTTTCCACTTTAAAAAGGTATTTCAGACCACAATAAACTGGACCCATTTCAGACCCCCACGGAGCTGCTTATTGGTTTTACAAAACATTTTGCTAACCATATTGGGTGTGAGAAAGTGAACTCTCCACACGCCATCAAGTGGGTGAAAGAAAAGGATGGTGAAAGAGTCCACTCTGCTTAAGTAAAAATCAATAATTTGACAGTGAGTGGGGATGTGGAGGCTGGAGAAAGGGGGCGGCTGAGAAATTCCCAGTAACCGCGGGGGTAATGTACTATTCCATTCTACGTTGTATGTGGACCATGAATCTCCTGTTACCTTGAACCTTCAGGAGCTGTCCGTCTAGACAAGCGTAACCCCTGCACTCCTACCCAGCCCCACTCCCAACCCCGCGGGAGACTGGAAGGAGCTCGGGATGGGGTTCACGGTCAAGGCTTTCGAACGCTGCCACGCCCCTCGGCCGCTGCCTCGCCCCCGGGAGCGCTCACCTGCGCTCTTCTTCTCCTCTCTGCGCATGCGCTTGAGTCGCTTGAGCATGCCGCGCAGGTCGGTGATTCCATACTGGAAGGCGATCTTCTCGTACTCACTGGGTTTCGCGTTCTTCAGCAACTCCCATACGTCCACCTGGGGTTCTTCCTCCTGCTGCTTCACCTCCCTAACCGGGGAGAACCATGGTCTAGTTTAGTAGCTGCACTGACCCTTAGAGACCACGAAGGTCGAGGTATAATTCTGCTTTTTCAGTTCAGTGTAAAAAAGCTCTGTTTAAAGCCTGAGTACTTGAAGCCCAGAAGTCAAGTCTTGCTTGCTGGAATGGAAGTCTTAGGGAAACTTGCAGGTAGTAGAAGATCAAATGTGTGCCCTTATAGTAACACCTTTCGTTTTCCTAGTTAATAAAAACAATTTTAGGGGGAGTAGAGGACATCAGGAAATAGCCTAAAAATATATTTTACTTATTTTCAAATTTAAAGTCTAATTAGAAGATGGGATTTTGAGAAACTTAACAGTTTTCATCTAGGATATGGATATTGAATTATTGAAAATTGGACTAGAACTAAAAGGTTTAGATTTGGCCTATGAAATAAAAATGATCTCTATTTTCTTTGATGTACACACCCTAGCTAAATATGGAGACAGTACAAATACATTATTTCAAACATTTGGATTTTGCAAATAGCATTTTCCCTACCATATTAGTAACTAAGTACATGAACCATTTTTTACCTTTCTTAAAATAAAAAAAAAAAATTGAAACTGCCATGAGTTTTTTGTTTGTTTTTCACATGGTTTTTATGGATACTGATGGTTTTAAAATTTTTTTTCTAAATCGGCAGGGGGAAAGGAGACTAGGTTTTAAAAATTTTCTTACATTTCATCTTAAAGTACTGTCTTGAATGTTTTTTGGAAGCAAATTGGGTATGAGTTATAAAAATACAAATGTTAAACTGTGAAGCAAATGGTTTAGGGCACCATGAACAAGGGAAAGTAACTTCTTAGGGTGCATACCAAAATTATGACCCCAACTTTTGATCATTGACTACAGAACACATAAAGAACATATATGTGTTAAAAATAAGATTTAAGATTTAAGTAAGATTTAAGATTTACACTTGTCTTCCTTTCTTTTAAAAGCATAAAATAAAAATAAAATTCAGAAATAAACACTCTTTTGGAAAACAGGCTTAGTATAAACAAATTGGTTTCCTTCATTGAATAAATAATCCTGATTTTGTTTACATTTACATGACTATTTTTATCAGGTTAATTTAGAAATGTTACAACGACTGCTTACCGTAATGCTGATTTGGAT
Organism: Homo sapiens; assembly: GCF_000001405.40. Taxonomy (NCBI): domain Eukaryota; kingdom Metazoa; phylum Chordata; class Mammalia; order Primates; family Hominidae; genus Homo; species Homo sapiens. The sequence continues at coordinate 101,641,266 of NC_000012.12, read as the reverse complement.
ATGATTTTCTGGAAAACTGGTCAAACATCTTATATATCAGTGTGAAAATGAATTCATGCTATCATGTTAGGGAATGATGGGTTACATCTGTTTGCATTGTCATATTCATTACACCTGTTTCAGAGTGCCTTCTTTTTTTTTTTTTTTTTTTCTTTGAGACAGAGTCTCACTCTGTTGCCCAGGTTGGAGTGAAGTGGTGTGATCTCAGCTCACTGCAATCTCTGCCTCTTGGGTTCTAACGATTCTCCTGCCTCAGTCTCCCAAGTAGCTGGGATTACAGGTGTGTGCCACACCCAGCTAATTTTTGTATTTTTAGTAGAGATGGGATTTCACCATGTTGGCCAGGCTGGTCTTGAACTCCTGACCTCAAGTGATCCGTCCACCTCGGCATCCCAAAGTGCTGGCCACCACACCAGCCTGGAGTGTCATCTTTACACTCATGTGTACTTTGAGAAGGAAATACTGGGTTGTAATCATGGATAAAATATGCAGGGGAGGGGAGGAGATTATAGATATTAATATAGAGTTTAGGGTGGCATTAGGCAAGGATGACATCTGAATATCTAACTTCCATTTTACATTGCCATGTAAGTCTTTTTGCCCAGTGGGTTTGGGGGACATTGAGGCAGAACTCCTGGAAAATAGAAGGAAGTGAAAGGTCACTGGTCTCTCCAATAATCTTGATGGGAAGGACTAGACAACACCATTAGCAAAATGTGCCTCTTAAAAACTCAAGACACAAGCATTATCTTCATCTCACTGAAATAACAGCTACATCCTTTATTAACATGAGAAAATCGAAAAGCTTAAGAAAATTGTCCTGAAATTGGAATATTGGTAATAATTTGCCAGATCCACTAAATCTACTTCCTGGAAACAGTAAACACTTCAAATACATCCTTTAAATATTTTAGTAGGAAGTCTAGGAGAGTCACAATTATGATGTATATGTATAGGCCGGGTGAAGTGGCTCAGTCTTGTAATCCCAGCACTTTAGGAGGCTGAGGTGGGAAGATTACTTGGGCTCAGGAGTTCGAGACCAGCCTGGGCAACATGGTGAAACCCCGTCTCTACAAAAAATACAAAAATTAGCTGGGCATGGTGGCGCATGCCTGTCATCCCAGCTACTTGGGCTGAAGTGGAAGGATTGCTTGAGCCCAGGAGGTCGAGGCTGCAATGAGCCAAGATTGCGCCATTGTACTCCAGCCTGGGTGACAAAGTGAGGCCCTGTCTCAAAGAAAAACCCAAAAAAGATGTATATGTATGTTCATATGTATATATTTTCTGCGGGGTGTTCCCTCAATCTAGATTATTAGTGCTCTATTTTTGTCACATTCCAGCCTAAATATAGTCCCCAGACTATAAAATTATGCCATACTGGATTATGTTAAATTTGTATTTGAACCATGAAGAATTGCACACATACATTACATATTTCAGCTATCCTCCTGACATTGGCGGAGGATTTAAAGCTATCAAGCTAGATATAATTAAAATAGCTAACAAGAGGCACAAGTCACTGAGTCCTACATAGATCCATGAGGTGAATATTTATATGAAGGAAACCAGTAATAAAGATGATAATTTTGAGTGTGATTTCCTGAGTCAGTTTTGTTGGTAGATTTATAAAACCAATCATCCTCACCAGTTTTCATTAAAATGCCAAGATACTCTCCACTCTTATCACATACTTAGTCATATCAAATTTCATATAAGAACACCAATGACCTCTTGCCTATTCCTTCCTTTTCTCTCCATTACTTAATTGTATCTCAAATCGTAAAGAGAAGCATCTATCTTGTACTGAAATGTGAGGTCAAGGCTCTCACCTCCAGCATTTCCTTAATGCACCTGGAACATATCTTTAGTTACTTACCATGGTGGCTGCACATGACCCTGTCTGCATGGCTATGTTAAGTTACAGTGAGGAGAAAAAGCCAAATTTCTGTAGGCACTTCTGATTCTTTTCCAAGCCTCGGGATAGACCTGTATAATACTCACTGTATTTTCATCTACATCAAAATTTCAATAACTTGGTGATCCTAGTGAAGAGTATAACAGTTATAGAAATTTTATGTAGAGTACAACTTACAAGTATTTATACAGGTCAATTCCTATAACAGGATGCTGCCCAAAAGATTTAATCTGATTTAGCTAATGTCTATTTGAAGTAAGCTGGCTTTGTTCAGAGCAGGAAGATCTTTCGTTGTACAGAGATGTTGGTTTTAATCATATTTTTTTTTCTTGTGGGGATTTTGGCACACACACTTGGAGGAGTAGAAATGGTAACCATATGTCATTACCGCAATGAAAACGCATGCAACTCACTAGTAGGAAAACACAATGATTTCTAAAGTTATATTAGTGGATTAGTATAGTATACTAAATGAACATAACATAGCCTTATATTAACAACAATCTAATTATGAATGCAAATCTTAAGCAGGGGATAAAAGAAAATGAGAACTGGAGACATGTTGGCTGCCCATTAAGTGATTTTTAAATTTTGTCATTTTGACTATGTAATTAGATTTATTTTATTCTGGAATTACTGGTTGAAAAAGTCTGTTCTTTTTTCTTTCTTTTTTTCCTTTTTAATCAGAGCAAGGTGCTTAATAATCTACTGTATCACATTTTTGTTGATTGATTGTGTATGTGTTTGTGTGTTGTCTCCTTATGAATATAAACTATGTTAGAGAAAATGACACATTTCCTTAGAGGAAGTACATATTTATTTGCCACCTACTGTGAACCAAGCTTTTTACACTTAATTTAATTTGCACAATAATTCTATTAAGTAGTGTTTATTCTTCACATTTCCAGATGTGAAATCCAAGTCTCAGAGGGGTCAAATATTTGACCAAAGTCACATAATTAGTAAATGGTAGAGCTGAGACTCCAGTCCATGTTTTTACCACTATTTTTCCTCCCACAAAAGTGTATCTATCCTTTTCTATGTGCCAGGCACTGGATTTCTTTTCCTCACATCAGTAGCATTATATTCTACGCAAAGACAGTGTTTAGTATTTTCCTGACTGAGTAAATGATTGCAGGGAGAATACAAAGCTCTCTTGTCTTCCTAAAGTGTCAATTTGTGTTATAAACTGAAGCGCCAGCTTCCAAGGCAAATTCAGAGTGGTATCTTTAATATGGAGTCACAGGAAATGAGCTGACTCATAAAAGGGAAACTTGGGTTTGGGTCCTGGCCCTGCCTCTAACTCCTGTGTGACTTGGGATAAGTCACTTGTTGTCTCTGTACCTTGGTTTCTTATCTGTAGAATGAGGAAACGTGAGGCTCACTTAAGGGCACTTCATATACTATTGCTTTAAATGCATTTGGGGAATTAATCAATACTATTGAGACTAATGGTTATTTGAAGTAGTCTATTGATGGGCTAATAGCCCTCAGGAATTAATAAATCACACCCATTAATATTTCTGTTCTCAACCTACATGTTGAGGGATAGGGGTAAATTTTTCATTTACAGAGACTTCAATACAGCTATCTAACTAAACAGAGAATAAACACAATCCCAGTATATTTCAAGTGTTTGTAATTTGTTATGAAGCATATTTGTACTTGTAGTCTTTTAATAACCATAGAAAGCACTAAAAGTAATTTTAAAAGCCTGGAAAGTTAAATGAAAACTGATATTATATACAATTAATTTAAAATTATAGTTTTACTCTGTTTATTTACAAATTTGCTAGATAAAACATAATCTCAGAAAAAAAGTGTTTCTTTTTGTTGCTTCTGCACTATAGTAAATATCTAGATATCTATAACAGGCATATAATATAGTATATATATAGGGAATCCTAGTGAAGAGTATAGCAGTTATAGAAATATATATGGAGAGAAATCTTATAAAATGGTTATGTTCTAAGTATCCATAATGAAATCCTATAAATTTTATTGCAGGAGAGAACAATGAAAAGTGTCAGTGTGTGATGATACTAAACTTTTATTTCCATTTTGTCACTTCTAAAACACATTTTTGAGGCATTTTAAAGACCTCTGAAATGACAATGCATCTTATAATCAATGGTGTGTCAAACCATTTGGAACAATTTTTTCATTGCTTAGTGATTTATAAAGTGCTGGTGTATCTTAATAGCAGTGGTGTCTTAGACTTGCAGAAATACAGTACATCATAAATAATACATTAAAGTAGGTCTGCCTCTTACAATGTGTATACCTTCAGACTTCTACCAAATCATATGTGCAGTCTTAGAGGTTTCTAGGTATTTGTCTTATGTCTCAGTTTTCATATCTCTTCGTCCCCATTTAAAAAAAAATAGGTGAAGAGTCATGAAACATTTAAAAAGAAAGTTTAAAAGCAACTGTTAAAGGCTTTAAAAGATTAGTATGCAGTTGTTTCTCTCTTTCTAGTCAACTCTGTTATATTCTATAAGCAAAACACATTTTCAGAAATGAAAAATTCTCTGAAGAACATCCACTTTAAACTTGACTTCTCTGAGTGGGTGTCTGAAAGACTTCCAGGCCACAATGTCTCACTCCATCACTTTGTTCTCACCTACGTTTCAGGAGACCACTAAAGTCAAGTTCTCCTGCATCCTCTTGACCTTCTCCACTGTCGTTAACAAAAGAAAAGCAAATCTGGGTTTAATGCAGAGACATACACAACAATTTCCCCCAAACACTCTACATGTAACGTATATGCAATTTTGTGCCACACAAGGACTAAATCAACACAAACTATTTCTTTTCACACAAGTGACATGTTAAGTTTTTGGAGTATGTACTTGTGGAAAAGTAAACATATGAGGAGCTTGTGTTACGCTATGATTTCAGAAGACACATTTTTGTAGATTGCATATATAAAACTGCTTGGATTTGTGTTAAAACCAGGTAACACAAATGCACTTAAGCCAAGCAACACAAAGTACTTTGTTTTTGCAAGTTGGGGGCTGTAGAAACATACCTATGTAAAAAGCAAAGAACTTTTGCTGATCTCTGTTATTCATGTAAGACAGAGATTGGCTTGGAGGACGAAGTGTACCAATGTCAGATATATAAGTACAAAGCCTTATATTCAATGGTAACCTCTTTGTGTCCATGAACAGATGAATCAGATAATGTGATACTAACATGGCAAAAATAAAAAAGGAGCTAACACAGAAATTTTTAAAAGATGCATTCCTTTCTGTCTTAAAGGGTGATAATTATTCTAATTTTCTTATTAATATTTATACCTTCTTAAATATGTTTTAAAAAAATTTGTCTTGAATTGTTAATGAAACTTTTACTAGCAGTTTAAAAAAGTGCTTTCTTGTAGAGAAATGCATCTTAAATTAGGCATGCAGCCACCACTGTGATTTCATATAAACTCTAACCAGAAGCTACAGAGCTAACATTTAAATGGCACTACATAGTTACTTACATGTTTAATTTTTTAAGGAAGTTTTGTTTCCTGCTCTTTACAAATGTTAGTTATGGTTTCTAAGAAAAGAGTCTGTGGGTTTAAAAACAGTGTGTATAACATGTAAGTCATAAGAATTAAACTCAGTAATGTGTTTTCAAAATTTCTTCAGGTGTTTGCAGGCCTTTTGAAGTAAATACATTTCTGTTCTTTTAAAGCTCAAAACTTAGTAGATCATGTTTCCCTCTCCTAAGATATACTTGTATACAGTATGAGCATAGTTTTAGACCTGTGCATTTGCTGAGCATGGGATGAAGGGAAAGTGGAAGGAAAGTAATAAAATTTGAAAGTTATGACATTTTTTAAAATTAAAAAATACCTAATACCAGTAATATTAAATAACTTTTCAAAGTAATTAAAGTTTTGATTTATTTATAATATCAGAGGAAAATATGCCTCATTAACAGGCTAAATTATTGTTTTATAATAGTTTGGAGTGACTTTCCTTATTCAGCAAAACTGTATGTGGATTCTGTATGTGGATTCAGTCTTCGGAAGAACAAAACATTTGGTCTCATTAAAGAATTTATATTATGGAATAATTAAGTACAGAGAATAACATAATGACAGGAAGGGGCTGGTTATATTTCTCAGAGACCAAAAATCTTTTACATTTCTTCCTTGACCGCCCCCCCTCCATTTTTCAGCCTTGGTAATTGCAAAAATATATGAAATAGGTATCTAAATTTTGCCTTTCTGTAGTATTCTTAATGCCAGTTTCATTTAGGATAATCCAATATTATATGGCACTAACTTCAGTAAGTAGCTACTTGGTTGTGGTTTTCTTGGGCACATGGTTCAGTAGCTCCCTGAGTGATTTCTAGATGAAAGGCAATATAAATAAAAGTTTTCTGCCGTGACTTAACCAATGAAATGAGTCTCTTTGCGTATTTCTTTTGGCCATTTGGTGGAAAGTAATGCTTTAAGGAGGAAGCTACATATGAATAAATTGAAAGTGTCTTTCTAAGGCAACTGTGAAACCTCCAAAACAGGAACTTCTTTATAACAAGAACATTCTAAAAAATGGTCAGTATATGCTTGACTGGGCCTTAAACCCATGGTTTTTCTAGAACACCAATGTTTAAATATATGGTGTTTTTGCGGTGAAAAGTGTTGTTCGTATTTGGAATACGGAATACAGGGGAAAGGAAATGTGTTTGAAAATCCTCCACTTCTGTGTTATACAAAAGCTATCTAGATTTTTCTTTTGGAGTTACCTTCTCTTGAAAGCAGATCTGATGTCAATGTTTGGAGTAGTCCCAGTAGATTCTTTGAAAGGAAAGAAAACAATAACATAAATACCCATTAAGGAGGTAGTTTGTGTTCAGTTCCTTTATAGGCTGTGGGGATTCTTTAGATGGAAGAATGTCAGGTGAAGGGGGGAGGCTTTTCTCCTGAATGGCTGTGCTGCCAAGGCCTCATCATACCTCCTCCTCCCTCATGAAGAACCAATGAAGGGACCTTGGGGTCACCTTGTTCAGGTGTCATTCAACTTGTCTGCCCACTAGAATCACTGAGGGACTTAGAAATATATCAGTTTCTTGATCCTCTCTGCCAAAGATGTTGATCCACCAGATCAGGGAGGGGCACCCAGAAATCAATATTCTTAAATAGCCCTCCAGGGGCCGGGCGCGGTGGCTCACGCCTGTAATCCCAGCACTTTGGGAGGCCGAGGCGGGCGGATCACGAGATCAGGAGATCGCGACCAGCCTGGCTAACACGGTGAAACCCCGTCTCTACTAAAAATACAAGAACAAAATTAGCCGGCCGTGGTGGCGGGCGCCTGTAGTCCCAGCTACTCGGGAGGCTGAGGCAGGAGAATGGCGTGAACCCGGGAGGCGGAGCTCGCAGTGAGCCGAGATCGCGCCACTGCACTCCAGCCTGGGTGACAGAGAGGAGCGAGACTCCGTCTAAAAAAAAAAAAAAAGCCCTCCAGGTGATCTTCTCAGAGATGCCCAGCCAGGTTGAAGCAGTGCTGCCCAGGATCCCAGATCCCACCTAATACAGAAATATCGACAGCACCCGACCCATGGCCATCCAGCCTCTGCTTGACATCACTCTCAGTGGGACTCTCACAACCTTCCTGGGCTGTCTATATAGCTTTAACCGAAGAGCTCGTCCTTTTTTTTTTTTGTTGAGACGGAGTCTCACTCTGTTGCCCAGGCTGGAGTGCAATGGCGCGGTCTTGTCTCACTGCAACCTCCGCCTCCCCGGTTCAAGCGATTCTCCTGCCTCAGCCTCCCAAGCAGCTGGGATTATAGGTGCCCACCACCACGCCTGGCTAATTTTTGTATTTCTAGTAGAGACGGGGTTTCACCATGTTGGCCAGGCTGGTCTCGGACTGCTGTCCTCGTGATCTGCCCGCCCCGGCCTCCCAAAGTGCTAGGGTTACAGGCGTGAACCACCGTGCCTGGCCAGCTCATCCTAACGTTAAGACAAAATTCACCTCCTCATCATTTCCACCTTTTGATTCTAAACTGCCTAAATGCTTCTCATGCATGGAAATTTGTTTTCCATTTTCTGTGTGACAGCCCCTTCCCCTCTTTGCAACAAGCCATGTATGCCTGACTTCCTTCACCCACACACTCAAGCTGGATAGGGTGTGGTTTTTGGATTCTTCATCTTCCTGGTTACTCTACTCGAGAAGAGGTCCAGGCAGAGGTATAGTGACCACGGCTAAAGACATCACTCCAAATGTAGAATAAGTAGCATGTTGTAGAGAGAAGTATCACTTCCTAAACTTAGATCCTATAGCACTTGGAATAGCCCAGTTTAAAATTACATTCATGGCCGGGCACAGTGGCTCACACCTGTAATCCCAGCCCTTTGGGAGGCCAAGGCAGGTGGATCACTTGAGGCCTGGAGTTTGAGACTAGGCTGGCTAATATGGCGAAATCCCGTCTCTTCTAAAAATACCCCAGCAAAATTAGCCAGGTGTGGTGGCACACGCCTGTAATCCCAGCTATTTGGGAGGCTGAGGCATGAGAACTGCTTGAACCCAGGAGTTGGAAGTTGTGGTGAACCAAGACAGTGCCACTAGATTCTAGCCTGGGCAACAGAGTGAGACTCTGTCTCAAATAAAATAAAATTACATTCACTTTTTTGTCTTTTGCAACTACATCACACTTTACATTCACCTTAAGTTTATAATATTTGCTGCCAAGTCAACTTTTCCTTTGTATACTTGTAAAAGCGAGTTTTTTTCCAACCTCATCGTATGCATTTAGGCCTTCTATGTTTACTCTGGGTAGTGCACAGAACATATGGATGAAGAACTGCCATGCCTGACATTAGTCGTTATAAGAGAAATTCTCCCTTCCATCTGGGTATCCTGAACTCTCATAGCATATTACCCTATCCCCAAACCTAAGTGGGAAAGTGGACCCCTTGAAACATACATTCTGTAGCAGCAAAAACTGACATCATCTTTTATCTGGGAGATTGAAAGAATATAGATAGCATGGACAAGAGATATTTAGCGATAAAATCCCCCCAATTCTACTTTTATTATAAATTATTTCATTACAATTCAATTCAGCAAGCTTGCTGAGACTACCACAATCAGAAACAGTTTTAAAGGAAAACTTTCTCTGAAATCTCATAGTATTAAATGAACTACTTCTTCTCCATCCCCTCACACCCCATTAAAAAATTACATTTATCTAGGCAAGAAGGCTCTCTTACCGTGCACTTCAAGATCAAATGAACAGCTGTCAAACTTATCCTTATAGGTGACCTCGCATCTGTAATTTCCTGCAAAGTTATCTTTGGCCTTGATGATCTGCATCTCAAATGTGTACACCTGCAATGAAATGCATCCAGACACACACATTTCAGTTTATTTTCCAAATTTCTCAGCATTGGCTTAAAGCTGTGTCTGTCTGTGGGAATTCCAGTACAATGTTCTCACTATAGGAGGGCAAATGTGTCCTGTAGCCCCCGGACACAGCCGGGCAATCGCAATAGAGTGTAGACACTGCAATGGTAACTTCAGAGGATTTTCTGGAACTGAAGTCTCTCAAAGCTGAACCTGAAAATAATCATTTATTCACATAGAAGGAATGCGCTAGCTGAGCGCCTGTCCTGGGAGTTCAGGGCCTTACCCGACTGTGCCTCTCAAAGGTTTCCTTCAGCTGAAGGTGCTTCCCGGCTTTGCTGGCCAGGTCCATCCATTTTCCTTTGAACCATTTGATAGTGGGTTTTCTCAGAAGATCTTCAGCCTTGACTTTGGCTATGAAGGTGATATCTTCACCTAGAAGAAGCATAAGGGATTCAGCTTGCTCTTTAACAAGCGTCATTTGTTTTGCTTTCAACTGGAAGGAGTTGACATGGGACTGCACTACAGAATATGGTGTGATTGGTGCCCTCGGAATTGTGAAATGAATTCGTCCTGATTTTTTTATGAATGCTCTAGAGGTCCTTAGGCTGTCCCAGCTTGTTCTGCTGTGGGGGTTTATGAAGCAGAAAAAGTAATAGGGAAACCAGTGGAAGTAATTTTTATATATGGATAATTTTACATTTGGGTAATTTTTTATTTCATATATATGGACATATATGGATATGTATGATATATGTGAACTTTTATTGCATATATGGATATGTATAAAATTTTATTTCATATATATGGATATGTATGAAATAAAAATGAAAAAATTGAATTTTTTTCACTCTTTTTATTAGGCAAGGTGATGAGAAGCCTGGAATTATAGGAATGTGACTAAATCAAACTGATCTGCTTGAAGTAAACCTGCAATCTGTTTGTATTGAGTGATTTAGACCCTGAGGACGTGACATTGTAGTCCAGCTTCCAGCCCAGCATTTCAATGTCGTACAGGAACATAAGGGGAACCAACATTTCTGTTCACATGCAGTGTATTTTGACATTCTAGCCTGGAAAGAAGTAATTCTGGAATACAGTTGGCTATGTACTCATTTGCATAATATTGATAAGTGTCAAAGACTAGTTCAGATCATAATATATCCCTTATAAAGATTTATTTGGTTAAAATTCTTCAACCCTCAGGTCCTCCTCCAGCTCACCATCCCTTCATAGCACTTGGCATTTGTGATTATTTGTTTATTTTTTTCTCTGCTCCTCTCAGACTATAAATTCTGAGTGCTCACATGTTATACTCAGTGCCTAAAACAGGAGGTATATAATCAATATTTTTGAATTTGAATATTTGAAGAGTTGAACCATTTGCCCAATCAGCTGTCTCAGATATTATGAATTATGACCTAGCGCATGTGTAGATTTGGAATCATCTTATGGAGTGAGTTATGGTAATGTCAGCAGACACTGGCTCAGCATTATGGTGTGTCAGGCACTGTTCAAAATACTTCACAGCTAGGTCCTATTCTTGTCACCATTTTACAGATGGGGAAACTGAGGCATAAAGAAGTTAAACTGTCTTTCCAAGGGTAATAGCTAGCAGGAAGCAGAATCAAGATCAGAACCCAAGGTTCCAGGGTCCAGGCACTGGACTCCTATGTGCTGAAGGTTACTGAAATCATAGCTGTCACTCATCTTTTCAGGTTGTAAAAAGCAGGATTTAGTGTATACACACAGTGGAATATTATCCAGCCGTAAAAAGGAATGAAGTTCTGATACATGCAACAATGTGGATGAACTTTGGAAACATTATGCTAAGTGAAAGAAGCCAGACACAAAAGGTCCTGCATTGTCTGATCCCATTAATATGAAATATCCAAAATAGGTAAATCCAGAGAGACAAAGCAGATTAATGGTTGCCAGGGCCTAGGAGGAGAGGTCAATGAGTAGTAACTGCTTAGTGGAATATAGGGTCTTTTTGGGGTGATGAAAATGTTTTAGAAATAGATAGAAGTAGTGGCTGTACAACATTGCGAACGTACTAATAGCCACTGAATTGTTCACTTTAAAATGGTTAATGTTATAAGTGAATTTCACCTCAAAATTTTTTTTTTTTTGGAGACAGAGGCTTGCTCTGTTGCCCAACCTGGAATGCAGTGGCGCGATCTCGGTTCACTGCAACCTCCGCCTCGTGGGTTCAAGCGATTCTCCTGCCTCTGCCTCCTGAGTAGCTGAGATTACAGGTGTCTGCCACCATGCCCTGCTAATTTTTGTATTTTTAGTAGGGACTGGGTTTCACCATGTTGGCCAGGCTGGTCTCGAACTCCTGAGCTCAAATGATCTGCCTGTCTGGACCTCCCAGAGTGCTGGGATTACAGGCGTGAGGCACCGTGCTCGGCTCACCTTAATTTTTTAAAAAAGGAAGGATTGAATGCTAGGCACTCACCAACTTTCACTGTTCCTCCTTGAGGTTTTTCAATGAACAAGATGGACAGCTGGGAGTTGGCATTCTGCTTGGCTTGTTCCTCCCCAGGAGGAGTTTCGACAAGGGTCCAGTCTGATGAGCAGAAAGGAGGAAAAGGATTATTTCAGGGCCAGGCTCTTCTTAGGCAGTCTTACCTGGATTTGTTGTTCTCACCAACGCTGTAGCTTTTCTTTGTCTAATAAACCTAGATAAATACAACATCATTCTTTCTGCCCCCAGCAGCCATCAGTAGAGGGGAACAGATTCCCATTCTTACAGGGGTATCTCTTCCATGATGGGGCAAATGAACATTATGTAATTCTTAGAAATAGTGGAACTTTCCAGGTAAGCTGTTATTCTCTCTTTGATGGCAATAATTCCTTTGCTTCCCCATCTTGCCTGTCCCCTAACAGGTAAACAATGGTGGCCAGTGTATTCAAGCAGTACTCTTGGTGTTTTTCTAGGTGATGGACTATAAGGCCACATCGATACAACTACATTGAAAAAGACTAAACGGATAGGTCATTTGGAGGGTAAACTGTCTGACAAGGGTCAGAAAGCCAAGCCTGGCCTGGTATTTCTAGATTCCTTGCTTTTGTAAGAGAGTTTTATTAGGGTTGTACAGATGTGGCCATAGTTTGACAAGGAAGTAACAGATCATGACCTGTGGTACAAATTACAAGGATACTGAGATTGTGCTGCAAGGGGGAAAAGCAAAACGAAACAGAGAACTGGAAAGAAAAAAACTGAGGCTTTCCCATAAAGAGAGACAAGCTGGAAATAGAGTTTCTTTTGCATCTTCTCATTTGCACTCTGGTGATAAGTGTTAATCTGCAGTCAATTCCAATTCTAGGATAGTAGAGAGAACTGTAGATATTTCCCCTGTCTCTGAGCCGAATGCAGAGTTCAGGTTCAGCCATTTAGTAACTGGAAAAAAATGCATAGGTTGCCAACTCTCTGCTTGTTGATGTTTCTTGAAAAGAAGGAAAATGCACATTTAATTATTTTAGTTTTCATGTATCAATCATGCTTGATATTTCTATCTGTAGTAGTAGGCCATCATTTTCACAATGAGGTTAAACATTTTCACAATTATGTGACAATCATAGTCATGTGATTACATATTTTTAAACACCCAAGCTAATGTTAAAATTTTGTTGTTTGTGTTTATGATATTAATAGGAGCACATTTAGAACATGAGGATAAGTGTTTCTCTTGTTTTGTTCACTTCTATACCTGCAGTGCCTATAGGAGTGGCTGGCCCATAAGAGGCCCATAATAGGATCATATTAGGTCCTCAGTACAAATTTGTCGAATGAATGAATGAATGAATGACTTCACAGAACAGGAGCTACAGCTGATAGGATGCATTTGAAAATGTTTTATTATCTGTATGTAAAGTTCTATAAAAATGTGAATTATTATCTAACTTTAGTACATCCCCAAAATGAAGATTGATCTCTGTGTATTTGCTAAATATTAAAAATGATAGAACAAACCTGTGGTATTTTTGGCTAGATCCTTGAATGCGTGTGTATCATGCAAAATTAATTGTTTCTCAATACATTAGTTTTCTTGTAAGAGGAAACGTAATGAAAGATTGCCGTAAAAACTACAATCTGAATAAGACAAGGATTAGAATCAATACAGCTTCAAGAAATGAGCTCATTAGTGATTGTATTAGGATGAGGTCAGGATGCCTTCTCTGGGCTTGCGCTCACCTGAATCTTTTCTCTCCAGGGCCCGACTACCCAAACCTGAAAGGAAAGTGTGATTTGGGTGATGCAGAGGGGTGGAAAGGGGATGAAAATGGAGTGCTGACTTCAACCTTCTTGGATTCCCCTAAACCCTGTCTCCTCTGGTGATAGGAAGGAAAAAACCCTACAAGTTGGCTTGGATGGAAAATCAGTAGAGCTCCAAGTATGAAAGCATCTATAAAAGTGTGTGTCTTATTTTAAAATGATAGAAAAATTAAAAAATCCCAGCTGGGGGCGGTGGTTCATGCCTGTAATCCCAGCACTTTGGGAGGCCAAAGTGGGTGGATCACTTGAGGTCAGGTGTTCGAGACCAGTCTGGCCAACATGGTGAAACTCCGTCTCTACTAAAAATACAAAAATTAGCCCAGCTTGGTGGCACACACCTGTAATCCCAGCTACTCAGGAGGCTGAGGCACGAGAATCACTTGAACCTGGGAGGCACAGGTTGCAGTGAGCCGAGATAGCACCACTGCACTCCAGCCTGGGCAATAGAGAGAGACTCAGTCTCAAAAAAGAAAAGAAAAATTTTAAAATCCAAATATCTAAATTTAAAGAACAGGGAAAAGGGTGGATATATAGTGAGAAATGGAAGACAGATATGTTGACCCCTAACATTTATACCCAAGATTTACCAATCTTATTTATTTCTCAAAGAATGCCTCTTTCTAAGAAGTTTCTCACGTAAAACAAAAAATTGTCATTAAAGCCAACATTTCCTTCTTGGTGCCAGCACAGGCGAAAACTGTTGCCCCTGCTCTGTGCACTGACTCAGCAAGGAGGCTCACTGCCTTTTCTTTTCCTCTACCGTCAATGAATAATATATTTAAAAGCAGGGAAAAGGGTAGAAATTATCCCAACCTGGAGGCAAGGCGCTAGGCGGGGAGACTTCCTCTTCATCTGAAACAAGAAATAGGAGTAAAAAGTCAAGGAGAAAAGACTTCATCCCAAGTAACCTGAGAAAAGAGAAATCTGAAAAAGAAGATGAGAAACCACACAATACACTTTCAACTGCTGAGCAAGCCTTAGAAAACTTGGTACCTGAAAAGTGAAACCTGAGTTTTTCAGGCAAAGAAAGAAAAAATAATAAATAAAAAGTTGACAGAGTAGGGTAATCCAAATGGAAGCACAGATTTAAAAATGGAACACTGCAAATTTTTTATGTGACTGTAGGTTAGGAAAAAATGAATGCTAAAAATCAAACCTTGATGAAATCAATAATGGAAGTGGTTTTCAAGTCCTGATTTTGTAACTAAAGTGAATGGCAGACCTTATTCATATATCACATTCGTTTGGACACAGACATAAAAGCCTATATATGTACTATCTGAGAACTCATTTCTACCCAGAAAACCTCATGATTAATTGCTCTCAGTATTTAAGAAACAAAAGTCAAGATAAGTTAATATAAACTTTATAAGCATTTTTTCCAACATTATATTGGTGTTGGAAAATGCTGTATCATTTCTGAATATTTACCCATATGTATTTGTGAAATTCAAAATATGTCTTTTAGTGTTTATGTGCAGAATATTTCCCTTTTAAAAAACATCTGAACTTCAAAGTTCACATTTTATTTATTTGTTTTGGATAAACAAGTTCATTTGTAAATTTAGTCAGCCTACCTAATTGACCTAAAAACTTCAGTAGAAGGATAAATTTTTTTTTTTTTTTTTTTTTTTTGAGACAGAGTTTCACTCTTTTTGCCCAGGCTGGAGTGCAATGGCGTGATCTTGGCTCACCGCAACCTCCGCCTCCCGGGTTCAAGCGATTCTCCTGCCTCAGCCTCCCAAGTAGCTGGGATTACAGGCACCTGCCACCATGCCTGGCTAATTTTTTTTTGCATTTTTGGTAGAGACGGGGTTTCACCATGTTGGCCAGGGTGGTCTCGATCTCTCGACCTTGTGATCCACCCGCCTCGGCCTCCCAAAGTGCTGGGATTACAGGCGTGAGCCACCGCGCCTGGCAGAAGGATAAATTTTAAAACTGCTTGGAAGACCATCTC
Source organism: Homo sapiens (assembly GCF_000001405.40). NCBI lineage: Eukaryota > Metazoa > Chordata > Mammalia > Primates > Hominidae > Homo > Homo sapiens. The sequence goes on along the minus strand of NC_000012.12, from coordinate 101,625,766 downwards.
TATTAAAGTGATTTTCCCAGGACAGTAACCAGATGCAGCCTAACCCAACACCATCTTAATTGGCAGAGGTTCAGTGGGCTGGAGCTTTGTGCTTTTTATAATACAAATGCTATAAGAAAAAGAACGTCGGTATTGTTTCCTGTTAGCAGAGGAGGAAAACTCAACCTAGTCAGGAGACCAACCACAACAAAATGAAAAGCTGCACTAACTAATTAAGAGTATTAGTAACAGATGATGCTGGTGTGAAAAACTTGTATTTTATTCTAGAGCCCTTATAAATAAAATCTCTCCAGTTAGTGTTTATATTATCAGCCAGCGGGTTATTTATCGTGTGGTAGAATGAGGACTTACGCAAGGTATAAATGCGCATAGCATTTCACCACTATGAAAACAAGTGCAGTCCAGTTAGAATAAAACCAACTGAACTCTAAATTACACACACCTTAATGATAAGACTCCCCATCACTTGTGAATGTAAAACATTTAATTTAAAAATGTTAACACTCCAATACATAAAACAGCTATTATGAATGCACCTGGTATATTCTATAGCTGCCAGGTTTATTTATTTATTTTTTTTTTAAGGGAACTATAAGTTACAGTGTGGTTAAGACTTGTGTCTTCATCCTTGAAAAAGCCCACATTCTATCACAGTGATGTATGGTCAGACTTAACAGCCCCGATTTTTAAACACCTGGATCAAGTCATAACCAGTTTTATTGCAAAGGACCCTGTACACATTTATCAATTTAGTACCTTACTAGTTACCCAGCAAGTCACTAACATACAGAAACATTCATCATGAGAAGCAAGAAACACTACCCATCCCTTCTGCATTTTAGCAACTTGTTACTCCTAAGCAACAGTGCTCACATCACTGAGGTCTGTGAACAAAGTTCATATTTTACATCCTTAAAGAGCATTTGTTGTTATCTGAACCTCTGCTCTGCTCTTCCCAAAGCATAAACTAGTGTTTTTATGAATAATAAAATCTTCGTACTTAAAATACTAGAATATTTGTGAATTTGCCTGGGCAACATAACAAGACTCTCTCCGTAAAAAAAAAAAAAAAAAAAAAAAAAATTAATTAGCCGGGCTTGTATATTATTTGCACACTGAGCACTTGGTAGTGTGTGCTGTAGTCTTAACCACTTGGGAGGCTGAGGCTAGAGAGTTACTTGAGTCCAGGAATTGGAGGCTGTAGTGAGCCATCATCACGCCACTGTACTCTAGCGTGGATGACACAGCAAGACCCTGACTCTAAAAACAAAAACAAAAGCAAACTAGAATAACTGTGGATTTCAAAATGTAAATGTATATGACTGTACAAGCAGGATACAGGAAATACATGCCCAGGAATGTTAATTAAAAAGTGCTTTAAAAATTCCTGACAAAAAGACATAAAATAGTATGTTTTTATATAATCTATTAGAATATTTACTACAAGTATTACCCACTGGCCTGAAATTTCTTTTCCCAAACTGTCAAACAGGGATATGTGTTATTACTTTTTAATAAAATTACTAATATAATATATTAATATCATTACTTCAGAATCCAAGAGGTGATTTACTGGGTCATGTGGGATTTGAGATTCTTAACAGGAAGCTCTCTGTGGTCAAAGAAGCTTGAAAAATGCTAGGCTGGAATTAAATGCTTGTATTTTATTGTTTTGTGTTTATGTGTTTACTGCAGGATATCTCAAAGCTCTCAGTGTGCAAATAATGTGTACTGGAAGTGGGGGTGACAAGAAATGATATGGTCGTTAGCACCTCCCAAACTTAGTTCATTTTGAATTTTTTCTCCTGAACTAATATGCATGCATTCACATTCCACAACATTGTGCATTTGCCCGGTATAGGTATTTCTGAGCTATTAGAAGAATTCCGTTATTCAGAAGACTGTGAAATAATTAAAATTTTACATGTTCAAAACGAAAATAACTCACAATTTTCCCATAATATTACTTGCCATAGATTTAATTCAGTATTTAGTACTTTATTCTTGTTACCTATTCAGAGGTTTTTATTTACTGAAATATATAAGATTGTTGATTTAAAGTCCTGTAAAAATTAACAGAAATGAAGTTAAAATTCAATCAAGTCCTAGAAAGGAGCTTTCTTTATTAAATATAAACTGGACGCTTGAACCATTTTGATTCAAATGAATACTTTATAAAGGTTTTGTGGTGGTTTACTTTTTGTTTGTGCACAGAGCATAATGAAACATTGAGTTAATTACCTAGAACACAAAATGAGAAGAGTATTCACTTACTTTCATGAAACTAAAATGAAGAAAAATAATCTTGTCTTTAAAAAATTGATTGATACATCATAATATTTGCACATATTTATGGGGTACATGTGATGGTTTGTTACATGCATAGAATATGTAATGATGGCAGTCTGGGTTTTTTTGTTTGTTTTTTGAGACAGAGTCTCCCTCTATCGCCCAGGCTGGAGTGCAGTGGCACAATCTCGGCTCACTGCAACCTCTACCTCCCAGTTTCAAGCAATTCTTGTGCCTCAACCTCCTGAGTAGCTGAGACTACAGACGTCTGCCACCACACCCAGCTAATTTTTGTATTTTTAGTAGAGACAGGGTTTCACCATATTGGCCAGGCTGGTCTTGAACTCCTGGGCTCAGGCAATCCTCCTGCCTTGGCCTCCCAAAGTGCTGGGATTACAGGCATGAGGAGGCACAGCACCTGGCCGGCAATCTGTTTTTTAAGCAAAAATTTGATAGGTGAGTAGTTTCAAAGTCTACTAAATGTTAAGACTATTTGGAGGACATGCACAGTTGTTTTAGACCATGAAGGAATACATATGAATGCAGCGCTTCAGAGTATCATGAAATAGTCTTCGTCTAGATCACCCAACAGTAGTGTCAAATAGCAATTACTTCTCAATTGGCAATCTTGGATTCATTGCACATAAATTTTCAAATTTATGAAAGTGCTAGAAAACATAATCAACATGAGCAAAGCTTACTGTTTCCTTTCTTTTATTTTTATTTATTAATTAATTTTTTTTTAGACAGAGTCTCACTCTGTCGCCCAGGCTGGAGTGCAGTGGCACCATCTCAGCTCACTGCAACCTCCGCCTTCCAGGTTCAAGCAATTCTTCTGCCTCGGTCTCCTGAGTAGCTGGAAATACAGGTGTTTGTCACCATGCCTGGCTAATTTTTGTATTTTTATTGGAGATGGGGTTTCACCATGTTGGCTAGGCTGGTCTCAAACTCTTGAGCTCAAGTGATCCTCCTGCCTCAGCCTCCCAAAGTGCTAGGATTACAGGCACAAGCCATCTCACCCAGCCAGTTTCCTTTCTTTTAAAAGTTGCTTCAGTCCTGGCACTTTTTTTTAGATTGGGAAATGTAGTTAAGATATTGGGATTCTGACCTTAAATTCTCAAAAAATTGCCTGGCTTGATTTGGTTGAGTTCGATGAGACTGAAATGTTTAATGGTTCTTATTTTTCATAGAAACCAGGTTCTATTGCTAGGAGGTAATTTGAATATCCAAATCTTTCTGGTTGTGTCCAGTTCAACAACATATATATGAATGACGTAGCATCTTACAACATTTTCAAACAAAACAAAAAATATATGTAAGTCATATTTCATTTTTTTCTATCTAAACGTGGTGATGATGAATACATAAACATCAGATTTTAGCTTGTTGGAATATGACATACAGGGAAACCACACACTCAGCGTAGCAGGGCTATCTTCCCCCTAGCTACATAGAAGGGCAGTTTACTAAAGCAGAATTTTATTCATCTGTAAGTCATGGGAAAATAGCATTTGTAAGACTGTAAAAATGATTCTTTAAACAACTGAAGTTCCCAGAGAAGAAATTCTAGAAAGTAGGGAAAGAACCCAGTCTTATATTACAAGCCTGGGGTTTTAGGGGAGTACACATAAATACTTCGTAATATGAGTGAGAGACTTGTAACTGAATAAAAAGCTCCAGAGATAGTAGAATGTGTACATTCTTATAATTATCCAAACTCTCTTGGGCATAAAGCAACTCCTACCTATGGTTGATTTTAAATTGCCTTTTAAAATTAATTAAGCAATATAAACTTGAGACAATTGTTGAGATTTAATAATAAAGACCAAAAGCTTATAAAATTAAAATATATGTGACTTGTAAACAAACAGTGAAATACTGATACAATACCTTGTTTGACTGAGACAAATTCATGAATTCCTCAAGCAGAGTAATCAGTTGTAGTACATACTGGTGTTTGTGACCAAAATAACAACAGCAATAAAATATGGGAGACAATAACAATAGCTAACATTAATTCATCATGTTTTGAGGCATTCGGTTAATTTATTGCATTTTCTTAATGAGACGATACATGCCTTCACACTTTGATGCTTATAAAACCATGATTTATCCTACAATAAGTATGTACATTTAATGAATTTTTCTTCCTCAAATCTATTAAATCAATCTTGCCTAATAGTGGCTGTGTCTTTGAATTGAAAAGTGTGGTGACATTAATTTTTAACAAAGTTCATTACAAAGAAGTAATGTAATTAGAATACATAGATTAAGCATGGAGAAATTTTAGTAGATGGCTGATTGACACCTAAAGGTAAATCGTACAAAAATATTTTAGCATGCTAGTAAAAAGCACCAGGGTAATGTTATTGCAGATGTAAAAGAACCTAAATTTTTTTAAAAATCATTTTTTTAAATTTAAAACAAAATCACATAATTCAGGTTGGAACTTCTGCTGACTCACTTCCTCATCTGCCAGTCACATTCATGAAAAAGAAAGACTTCATCTCAGGTTATGTGAGATATTTAATACACACAGGGTTCATTCACGATAGTTTATGTGGTGAATGCCTGGGAAAAGAAAATAAGGTTTTATTTCCCTTTTCACGATTACCAAAAGCAGTAATAAAAAAAGGAAGTAACTTTACCAATTGAAAAGATACAGACTCTAAGCTAATAAGATGTAAAAATAAAATATCAGCACTTAGGCATGGAAATGAGTACAGGTCTTCAAAGTGGCCTCTGATTCTAATGCTGCTGTCACTTTTTGGACCAGCCACAGAACCATTTTCGGAACTTTCCACAGGGCCAGCTGTTGAGGCACAGCAGAAACCTACTCCAATTACCCTATGTTCAGACATAGGATGTTGGATCTTAGTTGACAAAAAAAAAGTATGATCCCACTTGATCACCCACGTTATTCCCTACACATGGCCCTCTGTGACTCTTGTCTGCTTTCAAAACTGAAATCCACCTTCCTCTGTTGATGGTTGTTCTTCCCCATAAAGTGTAACTTGGCTCCAGGAGGGCAGGACCCAGTGCCCAGATCTGTGCCTGGCATGTAGCCAACACTCAGCAAATCTTGCTGAATAAATACGTGCTAGAATAAAAGGCGAATCTTTGGCCCCACTGAGCATACAGAAAAGAATCTATATTTAGTGTTCCATCAATTTGCTACCTATAATTATTATGAAAGAATTCTAAGCCAGGACAGCGTTATTTGTATAAAGGCATTGCCTCCTGGTATGATTCCTCTAAAGGAGATTTGCACATCTAATTTCTGCTATTGCTGTTGGGCTAAACACATTTCTTTATTGTCATCTCTCTTGTTTCAATTCCAGAAGACTTTGCCCAGGTCCCAGGACAAAGTGGTCAGTATTAAGGAACAGGATAGCTGGATGGATAGCCAGATGCAAGCAAGCAAGCAAGCAAACAATCATAAAACCCCGTGCTGGGAAATTGGCTGCTTTCCAGACAGAGACTTTTAGCAAATATGAAAAAGTTGGCAAATCTAATCACAAATACTACTTCTAAGATTAAATCTTCTAGAATCTACTCTCTGTGGCTTCAAAAAGCATTTTCAGAACATTTCTGAGCTGTTGCAGAATGATTCAATCAATCTGGGAATGATGTTAAGGCTGGATTGCGATGAATAATATTCTTAATAGTGACAGATTTGGAGCAATTAATTGAATATATGTCAACCAATTAAATAGAAGACCAGTTAAAGTGCTGAAAATGTACCAAAATCCAGGCAAGACCATTTTCAGTAGCTTTAGGCAAGTTGGTCTTACAGTGGAAATCATCCTTCTGTTCTGCAGCAGTGTCTCATTCTAACCCTCAGTGACTAAGAACATACATAGGATGTTCATCCTCCTACCCAGCACACATGTTGAATGGAAATAAAAATCTATCCAGATTACCATTGAATGGTCAGCAGCTAAGCCAGCATGGAAATTCAACTGCTCATTCATTTTGCAAGTATTCATTAGATGATTGCTATGTGCAGCTCTCTGCCAGATGCTGGAGGGAATAAGATGAGGGGGCCAATGTCAAAAAGCTTACAACCTGTTAGGAAAAGGAGTCAACCATTAATGTGCGATTATGTGGAGACAAGAGTGATTGAATGATGGAGGCAACAGGTCCAAGAGAAATCAGGAGAAAGAAGGGGAGATAAAAGTAAGCCAGGATGGTCAGGAGAAAGCTGTTCAAAGAAGTGAAACCTGAGTTGGATGGTTAAAAAAAAAAAATAGACTGACAGTTGGAGGAGGGAGGGAGAGCAGGAGAGTTCTAGCTCATGCTGGAGAAAAGGTAGGTTGCACCCATCAATCCTGTTTATGCTCGTGCAGGGCTCCTTTCTCAACTGGGGATATCCAAGTAGCAGTAATTATTGTGTCTACTTTTTGCATAGGTATTTTCTCTGTCCTTGATGAAGAGGACTGTATATTTATTATAAACTTCCATTCACTTACCTTCTTTATTTAGGGATGTCACTTTCTATCCCAAATTGATTTGCTTCCTAGGTATGTAAGGCAAATACATATATATATACATGTATTTGCCATTATATAATATATATACAGACACACACACACACACACACACACACACACACACACACACGGCAGTTTTTGTACCTGGGCATGCAACTGCATGTGGTCATGGTTTTGCTTATCTTCTGCAAACGTCAGAAAAATGCTACTAATTTCAAAATGCCCTAGTCATCTAGCCTTGCTCTTTCATCACGCTGTGTTCTCCATAAATAAAAGAGTTTTTGTTGGTTGGTTGACTTTAAGGAAAGACATTTTCTCATTTAAGCATACAAGTATAATATGGTGACTTTTCAAATTAAGGGTCAGGCACAGGCTTTGTTTAAACTTTGACAGCTTGCCCTCTGGGATTACATCATCTGCTCTGTTGGTTGAGCCTTGCAGCCTGGCCCAAACACCTTTCCAAATTTGGAAACAGAGGTGTATGCCCATTGGCCTTGTAGAGAATAATATTACAATAATTTCAGCCAGGATGCCCAAACCTCCTTGAAACCATCCCATGGAAGGAGTTCTAGGAGTTTGCACTGTCTGCATTCCATAAGCAAATAACCTTCAAACTGCGCCCACGTGGCCAGGATTAGTATTCATGTTACTCTCCATGGGAGCCACTGAAGGTCAAGGACAAAGTGAGTATACTAACGTTATGCGTTCATTATGAGAGCATAAGTTCAAGTTAGCTGAAGGAAAGTAATCCAATCTACTGAAAGAAAGAAAAAAGTATTTTACTAATGTATAGGACACAAGAATATCATAGAAATTAGATAATGAAATATGACACATCAAGAACAAAGAGATACTTAACATGGTTTTGAGCAGTGTCCAGGAAAAAGAGAAACTTCTTGTTGCAGTCAGGAAATAGTTATTCCAAAATTTAAACTTTTTTATTCATTATGCAAATAAAAGGTTCACTTTTAAAATGACAATACAAACATATACAGCAAAGCTGTCTAATCCACCTTCATGAAACTTCCCTCTATGAAAGACTAATGCTCCTTAGCTTAAGACAGATGGTCAGTAATGATAATCATTTCTTCCATGGTGAGACAAAGGAATTAGCATTTCATGGAGTAACAGAAGTATATGATTAAGATTATTTTCTAAAATGAGACTATCTCCATATAAAGTAAAAATAGGATAATATTACAGGAATAGTTTCCAGTTCAAGAAGGGGCAACATGTCTTCTTAATGTTATATTGTGTATCTGTAGAAATCATTATATAAATCTACATGAATACATAGTCAGTGTTACAAAGTGAGATGCTAGCCTTCAAAATTATTAGTGAACCCTGGAACAGTTCACACAATAACATGAAAACATTTAATTTAAAAAAAAACCGGGTAATTCAGATAATTTTCCCAATTGATATAATCCTAAGAAGACCAAACACCTCTCTTTCTTAGCATGCATGTCGAAACTTGGAAACTACCAATTAATTTGCTGGCATCTCAACAAGTGCTTGTGATATTTTTATCATTGTTGTTTTTCTTTTAGAAATACATGTAATGGAAACTTAGCAATGCACCATTTGTCATTATACTGATTGGGACTTGCAGATAAGATGCAAAGGCAGAACGAAAGATAATGCAGAGAAATTCTATGGAGCCACCATGACAATCATTACTGACTTCTTTCTGCTTCTAATTTTGTTGACTTCAGCCTCACTCTCCCTCCCTCCAACTCACCTTTTGCTGGTGTAGTTCCGGCCTCCTTCTCTTTACTTGGTTCTGTGTAGAAAGTACAAGCATATTTTTTAAAGTGCCTTAAAGCATTTTATTGTGTGATGAGCAACGGGGTGGAGAGGGGGAGGGAAGAAATAAATGACAGCAGAACAGGTCATAAATGATACTGAATACTCGTGCTGTACATGAATTATGAATTTAGAAATTATAACTTAGAGCCACACTAAACTTTTAGTGAAAAGCAATTAATCTGATCATTTTTGGAAAAGTACACATAAGAACACTCAATACAGATTTTGTTAAAATGCACTCAACTATACTTGGATCATGTTATATAACATGCTGGAGTAGAATTAGGCAAAACAAATGTGAGCCACTTTATTTTAGACCTCAGCAAGGGACTGACTTTTTAAAGAAAAGTCAGTTTGCCCCATGTAATGATTCCAAGAGTTTGGACTTCTAGATTTTCTAGTAAAGTACAAAATATGTAATTGTGTGCAGTGTATGTTGCTTCAAAGAAAATGTTTCAGTGTCCATGTGAATCTTCTGGATTGGGTTTAGTGGCAATAAATGCAAAACAAGAGCAGTAACATCAGATTCTACCAGTTGAGACCATCTAGTTTGCATTTCTCTGTGTTTGGGATCATATTAGTTTAGACCTGCAAATGGTATCTGACTTATGGAATCAGTAAGAAAAGAATTGTTTCAAGAATGCATTCTCTTTTTTCGGACTGATGAATGGAGATTCAAATCTCAGTTAACTAAGAAGGACAATTTTAGCAGAATTTGGGAGGAGACATTTGAGCAACAGGAAGTCAATATTGTGCAATGAATATGAAATATGACATACAAAGGAAACGATAGTGGCTCAGTGGCAGTAACTGATCTGAAAAACAGAAGGGAAAGGTTTGTTTATAATGGCCAGTAGGTTCTCAGTGTACTCAATGTTGGTCAAAGTACATTTGTTATGGGCAAGGAGAAAACATACCAAGGAACAGGAAGATCCTAAGAAGAATGTCACACATCTACACTAGTTTCAAGATCAAGATCTAAAGAAAATAAATCTGAGCTTTCCCGTTTGAACTCATATGGCACTGAGCCAGTTTTCGTTCATTTCGACACATAGTAATACTTCTCTATACTGTTTAGGGTTTGAGTGTGTGAATCTAGTATTCTTAGCTGGACAAAGGGCCTCTTGTGAGCAGCTAGATTTCTCAAACTGCCCTCCTGAAAAACAATCTCTGCTTGCGCCCAAGAGTTTGAGGCTGCGGTGAGCTGTGATGGTGCCACTGCGCTCCAGCTTGGATAACAGAGCAAGACCCTGTCTCAAGAAAGAGAAAGAAAAGAAAAAAGAAAACAAAGAAAAAAGAAAAACGATCTCCAGGGAGGAAGAGGAAGAGCTTTATAATTGCCTCATAAGTTTTTGTGTGAAAAGATGATTAGAAACTGAGACCTTCTCCAAACTCCTGCTTTCACCTAAGCTGGACCAGGTCTACAGTCACCTGCTGGCTTCATAACACATTGCCAGTTTAAGCAACTCACAAGTAATCACATACTGCTTGGTGTGGGGGGGCGGGGGGGGGGCGGGGGGTTCTTATAATATTGCCTAATGTTTTAATGTTTTGGCTGCATTTTATTTAATTGTTTCCCAGGCTGTATTCTATTTTCTACTTGGCTGCAAACAAACTGAATACAGGGAGATGTTTTCTATGTAGAGTTCCCCACTACATCTGGTACAATATGCTTGCACCTAGCTATCAATACGTACATGATAGGTATGTCTGAATCCCTCTGAAGGGTTAGGTCAGAGTTGTGCACAGGGTAAATACCTAGTGAATAATTATTGAGTGGGATGCCAGTTTCTCATCCTTTTCAAGGAGGAAGAGGGATGAGGAAGGCCACTTTGGAGTCTTTATGGGAAAATGCACATGATTTTGGTTGCTTCCATCTTGGGGCTATTTGGCTGATAAATGACTCTGAAGAGCCATGTTGGGAGTTTAAGCCACATTGAGCTTTCAATCTTTTAATCTTTTAATTTTCTTTTCTTCTTTAGGTGTATGTGGACATAAAAACAAGCTTCATATATTGTGTGTCATAGGGGACTGCCCTACCTGCCAAGGGTCTCACTGGATCTCTGTACTCATTTCCTGTTGCCAGCTGGTGGACAATATGGTGCTAAGAACTCAAGAAGTTGGTCCTCACGTTGAACCTCAGAGGTCACCAAACCTTTCTGGATAGCTGCTAGGGAGTTTCTGGAGGTGCTCAATAGTGACATATGTCAAGTTGAGAAGGGACAGCTGATCTTCCAGGGTAGAGATGGATCCACTCCCCACTCTCATAAAGAAGATGTGGGTTTGTTTGACCTTCACTATATAGGAAAAAGCCTCACAAATTCTTCAGCCCCTTGGATGGAGGCTCAGCCTCCACACTGTAAAATGCGGACATAATAACTTTTACATAATTTGAAAGGTTTCATAAGAATTGTCCCCCTAATATATATGAAGTGCCATCCAAATTAGATTAACACAAGAGGATTATATAAACACAGTGTATTATTTTTATTATTCTCAACTTATCACAATGGTCACCATCCAACTTCTCAGTAGGAGTTAGGTTAAAGCTCACAGCTCACAGCACCCGTGGAGGCCAAATCATGCTGGGATGGACCCTCTGTATTTGCAGCCCAAACGTGTGTGAGTGAGTGTTTTTACTCACCTTCCGGGGGTGGGGCTGGGGCTGGCACTTCATTTTCTAGAAATGGAAAGAGTCATGGAAATGTCAGGCTCATTTATCACAGAGAAGAACTGCTTTCTACAGCCCCAGGCAGCTTCTGCTGCAGGCAGCCATCTCACCTGTGTGTACTCACAAGAGGGATGGAGGAGGGAAACACATTCTCTCTTCTCTCTCTCTCTCTCTCTCTCACACACACACACACACCCTACTGCATCAAGAGGCCCAAGACATACATGCTGCCATTTATGTGTGGTATATAGATTTCCAGGAGGTGGCATGGTGTAGTGATGGAAAGATAAAGGTAGAATGGGGATCCGAGTGTCCTTGCCACTTAGTTATCCCCTCCAGAGGCAGGCCGGGCATTTACTTGTGCTGAGCCTGTTTTCCTGCCTCTAGAGAAATGGCCGCATCTTATATGGGCAGGACTGCTGTTAGGATGAAGTGAAACACAATGGGTAGCAAGCATATGGTGAGCATATCCCGTAGAGTCTAAGGTAAGGTCGGTGCAGAAATGAGACCCCTTTTTCCCAGAAAGCAAGAGCACCACTGCATCGCCAACATTGTTCTGCCTGCATGAGAGACACTTTCTGAAAGCAGATGACATGAAAGTCCTCTGGCTTTGCAGTGCTTTGTTGTTGTTGTTTTACAAGGACGGTGCAATTCACTGGGAAACAGAATTAAGCCCTCTCAGAGTTGTTTCTGGAAGCATACGTGCTTGGAGTAGATTCCCACCTACACCTATCCAAAATTTTCCAGGCTCTGGTTTTGAGGTTTGGTTTTGGTTTACCTGGCTTTCGATGTCTGGTTATTACAGAGCAGTCTGGCTATGAAGTCTGACAAAGAAACTTCTGTTAAAGAACATACTATTTCCAAGTAGGTAAAGGCATCCACATGAACAAAGAGCATAGCATTTCCCGTGCCAAATCCCTGTGGATGCCCAGAATTGGGAATTAGTGACATGTGAGTATCACTCACTCATGAACCACCTGCTTCATCTCCAGGACAAGAAGAGGCAGTTAATGAAGGTGATCGCTTCTAAAATTATCTTCTACTTGATTACTAAATAAAATATAAAGATAACAAAGTTTTTGTATTATAGGCACATTGTGGAATCCTGGGAGCCTTTGTCAGCATATGGGATTTTCCACATTTTTTTCCACAAGTGACTCTTGTTAAGCAGGGCGGACGATGCCCCATAACAAGCAGTTTGGCTGAACAGTCACCACTATGTGTAGGCCAAATGCCCCGTTCTAGTCTAGGAAGGCTGGAATGAGCATAGAAAAATGAATGGATTGCACCGTAACAGAAATCAAGAAAACAGTAATGCAGGCCTGCCAGGATGCAATCATGTCTTTTTCCATCACTGATTTTGGGGCTAGTATAAACTCCAATTTATTGTTTTTTAAAAACTTTTATTCAGATGGCCATAAATAAGTTTATTACTATTTACTAGTGAGGGAGAAGGATATATATAACCAAAAGACAAAAAACATAAACTTATAGATGGACAGAAGAAAACGTGGCAGGATGTGATGTAATTTGCAGATACAGTGAAAACACAAATGTCCCTTGGATGGCATTGTCAGAAATGTTTTTGTTTCTTCACTACATCATGGAAAGAATCACTAGGGTTATCGTCAACCAAAACATGAAACTGTCAGTCAAAGCATTTTATTTTCAGAGATCTGAGTGCAGAAATGGAAATCTAATATTGTCCTCTTGGCTTTGAATAAGTTGTTGCAGCACACGGATATCAGAATACTGAGAGCGAGATGCCAATTTCTTTGACACGCTATCTTTCAGACTGGGCCATTGCCATGCCATGCCCAAGGACTTCTTCCTGGCTCTGTCTACAGACAAGTTTCTCATCCCTCCAGTCTCCTTTCTCCACAGCTGCAGAAGTTATTTATCCTACAACTGTGTTTCATCCCATTATTCTACTTGAAAGTATTTCTATTATTATTTGGTTAGGTCTACACTCCCCAGGTTCGCATTCAAAGCCGTTGTTCATGGGCACTTCTTTCTCTCCCTTCTCTTACTACGTCTCAGTGGCCTCTCTGTTCTAGAGCCATTTCTGTTCCCCTTCTGACCTTTCTGCCACTGTTCTTCCCAGCAGACCTCCTGCTTTTTCTGAACATGTGATGGAGTCAGACTTAGGTCTGAATCCTGACTCTGCCTTATTCATTGTGCAATCATGGGCAATTCCTTAATCTCTAACAGCCTTGGGCTCTTCATCTGTGAAATAAGAATAACAAGATAAATAACCTCTTAGGGTGCCAATTCTATGTAAGATGCATAGGGTAGTTCCTGCTATGTAGAAAGAGCTCTATAATTGAACTGTTACCATTACTATCATTTGGCAATCTTTATCCTTATTGCCAATATTTTTCTCAAGGCTCTCAGAGCTGATTATTCTTTTTTTTTTTTCTTTTTTTTTTGAGATGGAGTCTCGCTCTGTCGCCAGGCTGGAGTGCAGTGGCGTGACCTTGGCTCACTGCAACGTCCACCTCCTGGGTTCAAGCAATTCTCCTGCCTCAGCCTCCCGAGTAGCTGGGACTATAGGTGCATGCCACCATGTCCAGCTAATTTTTGTATTTTTAGTAGAGACAGGGTTTCACCATGTTGGCCAGGATGGTCTCGATCTCTTGACCTTGTGATCCACCTGCCTCAGCCTCCCAAAATGCTGGGATTACAGGCGTGAGCCACTGTGCCCGGCCAGAGCTGATTATTCTATTCTGTTCTTCTTCCTTATTCTTTTGCATTCTGGACTACATCATAACACATTCTCTTTTCACTATGACTTAATTATTTTCTAATAGTCTCTGTATATTTATGTTTCTGTTTCTCCCCATCTAAACAAAGCCAGGGATCTTTCCTTCCTTTCTTATCTCCCTGGTATCTCATTTTATTGCTGAAAACACATTAAATGCATAGAGAATTGATACAAAAGAATTAAGGAGGGCTTCTTTTGGTGGTTGGACATCTATTAAATTGATCATACTTGTTTAGCATCTATGTGACCAATTCCCATTTTTTAAGGGTAACTGTAGTTGCTTAAAATCCAACTAAGGCCAATGGTGAATTCTAATCAAATACGTAAAAGAGAATCATCTTGGGCACTAAATCTGTAAATGTTCCCTAAATGTACATTCTCCATTTCCATTTTGTCTGTAGCCCCCATGGGCTATGTAACAGACCAAAAATCAAAATGATAATTTAAAGGGCTTAATTCAACTTCCACTGAATCCACAAAATATTGGTCATGAATAGCCAACTCTATCAGAGAGAATGGCAGAAACATTATAGGATATTAGGACTGCTAGGACCGTTGTGGGATGGTTGCAGGGAGTAGAAATAGGAAAATGTATACCGGCCTGTAAATAGGCAGATCCAGAACTTTTTCTTCTCAAAATTACAGAAACCTCTTTACTTTATAGCCAGTGAAGGAGTAAATACATTGCAACCCCTTATTAGAACCCACTGCATGTAGGACCTAGTGCATATTAATCCTTATAATCCTTACAACTCTGTGAAATCAGTACTATGATTATCTCCATTTTGCAAGTGGGAACTGAGACTCTTTGAGATCCCACAGCCTAGGGAGTGTGGAACCAGGCTGTGATCCAGGCTTGCTTGACTCAGAGCCTGGGCTCTGCAGCCCGGGCCTGCACTTCCTTTCCCTGCTACCTATGTTGGACAAGGCAGAGGAGGACTGGTGGACTTCTCAGCGCAATTACACCATTTTCCCCACTGAATTGCTTGGTCTTATTCTCAAGACCACATAACCTCATATGGATGTTGCCCTCCCTATTTGTAGGAGTGGGGTGCACATCGATTTCCTCAAGTATGAGAGAAATAATAGCACAGCCTAACTCAGGGGTTATTGGCAGGAATGAATGCATTAACAGGGGTAGAGAACATGGCAAGTGTCACATAGACTTTAACTTTTCATGGCTTTTATCATTATGATCATCATTTTTACTCGGACACACCTACGAAAAGACACTTATGTCTTCCTCCACATGCTGCCTGCTAAGGATATGCCTTATTTCTAGGTCTGTGAGCTGCATGTGTTAAAACGTGTTTGCATTTGGGATGGGGACTGAGGAAGCATCTGGGGACTGGACAGAAGAGGTGAGTCCCTCATACCCCTACTGTAAAGTGGGAATAGTAGTTGAGCTCGATGCAATTTTTATGCATTATAGTTTTTACACTGCAGATAAGTAGATCAATCAACGATTCAATTAATCAATCATGGTGAGACAGAAATGATCAGAGAAAATAGGACCTTAGTCCTTTTCAGAGCATTTGAAACAGAGAATTCCAGTTGTCTTAAACCTGGAAACTGGGAAACCAAGGAGTGGTAAAGGCCAAGCAGCACATGACTTAAATGGAAAATGAAGTGTTGCAGGTAAGTCTCAGAGCCCCCAAGGTGTCCCCATTTACCTTGAAGGAACTGCTCATGCATCTCTCTCGCTCTAATTCATATGTTTGTCTCTGACAGGTCCTGTCATGGCTAGCTTTGCCCGCTTCTCTAAAAATAATTTACATGTTCCTAAAATTCATTGGCTGCCTCTGTAACATTCATTCATTAACAGCAATTTCCACTGTACCTCACTGAATAGGGACCATAGGCAGGAGCATCCTTGCAACCTAAATTCATTGAACTCCCATTATGAATTTAACAAGGTCAAAGAGGTTATAAAAGTGGTTACAATATGATAAGATACTTGTGTTTAAGAAATTCACAGGTAAATGAATTGCCTTTTAGTATCAATTGAGTCATTGAACCAACTCACTCTGCACTCTTAAAACATTCAAGACTCACTACTTCCAGAAATCCTCTAGAACTTCTCAAACTGCAGTATGCGTATTAATCACTTAGGGATCTGATCAAACTGCAGATTCTGACTCTTGGAGTCTGCAGCAGTAGGGTTCATGATTCTGAATTTCAAGGCTGCATGGTGGCTCGGGAGGTCAAGGTGGGAGGATCGCTTGAGCCCAGGTGTTTGAGACCTACCTGGGCAACGTAATGAAATCCTGTCTTCATAAAAAAACATTTTACATTAGCTGGTGCTTCCCAAGTCCCAGCGACTTGGGAGGCTGAGGTGGGAGGATCACTTAAGCCCAGGAGGTGGAGGCTGCAGTGAGTCAAGATTGCACCACTATACTCCAGCTGGGGTGACAGAGCAAGACCCCATCTCCAGAAAAAAATTTTTTTTTAATTTTAAAACTAAAAAGATTCTGCATTTTTACAAGGCTCCCAGGTGATGCTGCTGGTCCACAACCCACACTTTGAGTAACAAGGCTCAGCACACCCCCTAAATATCACCCGTTCCACTCCCTTTTCAAATGTGAGTGGGAACCCTAAAGGGTTTACAGTAGATGGGGACTTTTCTTCTCCCTTTGATCACAAGCTTCTTGAGGACAAGGCCCTTCTCCTTCTCCTTTTCAGATTCCACACAGCAGGTGCTCCATAAATATAGTTGACTGGCAGGCTGTTCCTCCCTGCACAAAAGCCGCTTCTCCTTGCTGCCAAGAAATCCATAACCGTCCCCTGGCATTCCGTGGGCAGCTTTCTTCATCTGTGTTACCCACAAGGAACACTATGTCTTTCATTGGTTCCCCTCCCGCTGGCCAAGGCTCCAGGGGCATTCACCCAGCTCCATCATTTACATTTCTTCTTACTGTCAACACATGTCTTCCATTTCTTAACAAGGGCAGGAGAGCAATTAGGGCTAGAGTTTTGACTCTCAGGAATATTACACCCCTCACCTTTCTAAGGAATCCCCCGCTTTTAAAATCGGGGCTCCCCAAAACGGCAAAGCAACTTGTGTCGAGGAACCTGTCCCACCAGTTTCTTAGCAAATAACACTCAGTCAATCACACCAACTGTTGTCAACAAGGTTAGCTGTGTTGCAATGGTCGGGAGGCACCCACCTTTGGCAAGCTCTCTAAATCATAAACAAGCAAACCGATATTTATTGAGGTGAGGTCCTGCTGTACTTCTGCTTATTCAAAAGCCAAAGGGCAAAGTTCTGTGGAACATTCTTGCTAGGTAAATACAGTTGGTTTTTTGTTCTCCTTTCTTTGTCCTCTCACACAATATCTTTTTTAGAAAACATGCTAACAGGACTAAAGAAGCATATTTTAAAACTTTTTGAATAAAAAGGAAAAACAAGGATACTTTTTGAAAAAAATAAGCCCAAGGGGATATTTTAAGGGACAACCTAAAAATGAACTAGTTTGTGAACCAACAACTAAAGCTAGCCCCCTCTTTCCTGGGCAAGGGCGGCTGTTCTTTGATCCTTTCTAATGAACATATACAGACTTTCTCTCCCTCTGCAGCACTGAAATGCTTTCAAAGGGGTAGATCTATTTATGGTGGATTTTTCCTATGGTCACCTACTGTAAAAAGCACAGGTATGCCACCAATGGCATGCCTGCACAGCCTGTGCCAAGGCATTCTAATTGACGGGCACTGGTGGCAGCTATGAAATAGACAGCCCCATATGTGGCCTTTGTGCTGCTGCAGAAACACTAGGGACCCAGTAACTCCATAAATGGCTTGGCCCTCTCCAATGGAGTCCATTTCTATTTTCAATGATCAAGGGTTTCATGGCCAGTAACTTAAAGGGGAAAAAAAGAAATCTTACGTCTTAAAATTAATTAACCTGTCTCTTTTTATATGTCTGCGTCTATACACATAAAACAAAACAAAACACAACAAAACACCCAGTTCTCTTCTTCCCGTGGGCTGTCTCAAATATTACATTATTTGACCTACTTAACTATCTTATGGGCCCTTATATACCATTTAATTTAGCTTTTTTATAGCATGGAGAGCAAAATTATATCATATGAATATATTATATAGGCATAAAAAAGACAGAAGAAGACACAATAACAGTTATCATTAAATGTTATGATTCTAGTTCTGTTTTTGTGGCTTTCTGTCACTTTCTAGGGGAAAATTTTTTAAAAATAAAAATATTCTTTAGAAATTTGAGGCATAAGAGAAAATTGTATGCTATTCCTGATTATCGTTTCTTATTCTCAAAGTAAAATTCTAGCTTTGAAATAGAACATGTGAAGGCTTTGTGTTTAGTAAACATCATGATGAATAAGGAAGGGTCTACCTGGCCAACTCTTGTACTGTCATTTTTGGTGGTATAGCAAATTATCTTTCTTTTTAGATTAAATATGTAATAAACACTATCAGGTGTCTCCCCTCTTGATGGTGGGGTCTGACACAATATGCATACTCCAACCTGGACCTCATATGCCCAGACACGAGCACAATGGAAGCTCCCATAGCATAAAATATTGCTTTCATGGGGACATTCATAATGCTTAGAGATGTTTGATTCTGTTAATCATAAGTGTACCCCATGGCCGGGCGCAGTGGCTCTCGCCTATGATCTCAGCACTTTGGGGGGCAGATCGAATCGCTTGAGCTCAGGAGTTCACGAGTAGCCTGTGCAACATGGCAAAACCACATCTCTACCAAAAATACAAGAAATTAGTCGGGCATGGTGATGTGTGCCTGTGGTCCCAGCTACTTTGGAGGCTGAGGTGGGAAGATTGCTTGAGCTGGGTAGGCGAAGGTTGCAGTGAGTCAAGATTGCACCACTGCACTCCAGCCTGAGTGACAGACTCAAACAAAACAAAACAAAGAAACAAAAAACAGTGTACCCCCCCAAAATCAGCAAATATAAATGACAGTGTATTTTATTGGCCAAATTGCTTATGTAGCAGAGATGAAGAATTTGGACAAAAATCAATGTTTAATTCAACATTTTCACAGTTACTTGCTTATTTTGTTCCCCACTCTATTCATTATAGGCATTATGGGTCTGGATATTTTATACTTTGGGATTTAACAGAATTACATACTTTTAAAAGAAGTAGGCTGGGCATGGTGGCTCAAGCCTGTAATCCCATCACTTTAGGAGACTGGGGTGGGTGGCTTGCTTGAGCTCAGGAGTTCAAGACCAGGCCGGGCAATGTAGTGAGACCCTGTCTCTATACCAAAAAAAAAAAAAAATACTAAATTGATTTATATTAGTGGTTCTCAAAGTACAGTCTGGGATCTTCAGGAGCTGCCTAGGTAGGGAGTTTACCAGGTCAAAATGATTTTCCTAATAGTAATGCTAAGACATTATTTGCCTTTTTCACTCATATTCTCTAACAAATAGACAGTGAAGTTTTCCAGAGGATACATAATGTGTAATGATATCAATGTTCTGACAGCTAATAGAATTGTTTGTGCATTCTTGTGTGTGTGTGTGTGTGTGTGTGTGTGTGTGTTTCTTTTTTGAGAAGAAAGGTCTCATTCTGTCACCCAGGCTGGAGTGCAGTGGCGTGATCTCGGCTTACTGCAGCCTCGATCTCCCCAGGCTCAGATGATCTTCCCAGCTCAGCCTCCTGAGTAGCTGGGTCTACAGGCATGTACCATGCCTGACTAATTTTTGTATTTTTAGTAGAGACGAAGTTTCGCCATGTTTCTCAGGCTGGTCTCGAACTCCTGGGCTCAAGTGATCTGCCCGCCTCAGCCTTCCAAAGTGCTTGGATTACAGGCATAAGTCACCACACTTGGCTGTATTCTTGTATTTTAAACGTTATCAATTTTACTTTTATTTATTTATTTTGAGACACAGTTTTGCTCTTGTTGCCCAGGCTGGAGGGCAATGGCATGATCTCGGCTCAGTACAACCTCTGCCTCCCAGGTTCAAGAGATTCTCCTGCCTCAGCCTCCTGAGTAGCTGGAATTACACGGGTCCACCACCACGCTCAGCTAATTTTTTGTATTTTTAGTAGAGACAAGGTTTCACCATGTTGGCCAGGCTGGTCTCAAACTCCTGACCTCAGGTGATCCACCTGCCTCTGCTTCCCTGAGTGCTGAGTTTATAGGCATGAGCCACCATGCCCAACCAATTTTAATTTTTAATTCAGTAAATATATGACACACTAATACAATATTTACTGTATTCCAAATTAAAGTTAGTGTGTATAATACACTAGTTATGCACATAAACAAATGATCTTTAGTTTATTCAATAATTGTTAAGGGTGCAAAGGGATCTGAGACCAAAAGGTTTGAACCACTGGTTTTGAATTTATTGCAAATCTCTTTGGAAAAAGATTTTGTGCATGTTATTTTTAAAACAAACTCAGGTCATATATATCATATACATCTGCAGCTTTGATAAAATGAATGAATCAGTCAAAATAAAAACCTTACATTGATTTTGAAGCAATAACTCATTTTCCTAAGTGCACCATAATAGAGACAAAAGGGCAATAGTGTCTAGTAACACCTACCCTATGCAGAATTCAGCTATCTAGCAACTTACCTAACAGCTTCTGACCACCCAAATAAAAGGGCCTCTGAAGGGCCTCTGCATTTATCTCAAGCTCCTACGTTCCAGGCACTAAGAGTTTCTGTGTTTTCCTCATGGAAGAAGGCCCTAGCTCCTCAGTAAACCCAGGGCCTGGGACTTGGGAAAGGTAAGCAGGGTGCCTGAGGAGCAAAATTTAAGGAGGTCACTTAAGGGGCTGAACCTGCATTTTGGTGACCCAGAAAGTCAGTGCCTTCTTAAATGTTGTGCCTTAGGTGGTGCTAAACTCTACTCAGCCAGATTAATTACCTGGAATGGCGTCTATAATAAAGGACAAAGGGGAGTGAGGGGAACAGTTTCATATGCTGACTGACAAGAGTACTAAAGAAGACAGCACACTTCTAGGAGGGATAAAGTAGGAAAGCTAAGAAAAATTGGAAAGAAATTCAAAATACAAATCAATATGAGTCCATTTTTCAAAAGAGCAAATAATTTGGGCCCTCAGGGTGTCACATGCTACTAATAACTGATATCTATAATTTAAGACAAATTATATCCACTGTACTTTATTTTTTAAAGCAAGGAGTAATATATTACATTTTAAGAATGTTTCTATTCAAACTGGTGGAAAAAATAAGGCTCTGAGGTTATATAACAAAATTAACCTTTAGCTGTGCAGAGAATCCAGCTATTCAGAATGATTCAATCAATTTAATCCATATTTATTTACTATGGTCGAATGTTGCCAAAGACTGTACTGTACTCTAATGTTCTGAATAGATGAAGTCTAATTGTACCTTGATCATGTAAATATTCAATGACTCATTATTCAACCTTTGGAATTTCCCTGAATCTACAGGGTTTTTTTTCCTCCCCTAGTCAATTCATTCTTTTGTCCTTCTAATTATGCAAGTTTCATCTCAGGATGTCATTTCACACAGGAAGAGGATTAAAATATGGTCCTTATTACATAGCAACAAATAGCTTCTCATTGTTAACATGGGGCTGGGGGAAAATTGCTAAGATCTGAGGACTTGCCTTCCTCACTACTCTTACCATGTTTTAAAGAATCAAATGGGGTGTGTTTTGCAGGGGAAGATTTACTCAGATTGAAGGAGCTTAAAATTTTAGCATAGGTCAAAAAGAAATTATTGCAAAAGCAATTTGAATTGTTAACAGTTTCCTCCTTTACTGTGTCTTTTTTGGGGATCTTGAATCAGTTATTATTGTTATTATTATTTTGAGACAGAGTCTCACTCTGCCACCCAGGCAGGAGTGCAGTGGCATGATCATGGCTCATTGCAGCCTCCTGGGCTCAAGTGAATCTCCTGCTTCAGCCTCCCAAGTAGCTGGGACTACAGGTGTACACCACCACATCCAGATAATTTTTGTATTTTTTCATGCTGTTTCACCATGTTGCTTGGGCTGGTCTCAAACCCCTGGGCTTAAGCAATTCTCTGGCCTTGGCCTCCCAAAATGCTGGGATTACAGGCATGAGCCATTGTACCTGATCTTGTATCACTTATTTATGTGGCTATAGGGTTATAGGATAAATTTCTTAAAGGCCTTGCTCCAAACTGTTGCTGGACCTCACATTGGGTGACTTTTTAAAAATAGAGGAAGAAGAGTCCTGACGCCAGGTGGGGTCATAAAAATAAAATTCCACCGCAATAAACACAGTGACACTCAATCAATCACCCACCACATCCATATGTGGTCATGGAGAGTTCTTTATGTGGTCATCTCAGGAAAGCGCAGACTGAGGAAGACCCTATCCACCAAAAAGCACCCCTGATAAGAGAGAGAAATCTTCTTTTTTTTTTTTTTGAGACGGAGTTTCACTCTTGTTGCCCAGGTTGGAGTGCAATGGCGCGATCTTGGCTCACCACAACCTCCGTTCTCCCAGGTTCAAGTGATTCTCCTGCCTCAGCCTCCTGAGTAGCTGGGATTACAGGCATGCGCCACCATGCCCTGCTAATTTTGTATTTTTAGTAGAGATGGGGTTTTTCCATGTTGGTCAGGCTGGTCTCAAACTCCCGACCTCAGGTGATCCTCCCACCTCAGCCTCCCAAAGTGCTGGGATTATAGGCATGAGCCACCACGCCTGGCCAGGGAGAGAAATTGTAAAGTCCCACAAACCCAAGACTTATAACCCTTGGAGACAGACATAGATATTGTTCAACTCTGTAGGGTAACTCTTTCATCTAAGTGGGAAAGGCCATGTCCCCACAAGAACAGTGAAGAAACAACCCAACCGTTATCACCTTATGCTGACAACTACAGACCCCCGAATTGGACATGGCTCATTTCAGTAAGAACACAACAGAGGTCATGGAGTATAGACCTTTTATTTGATCTGAGCTTCTATGGGTGAAAGCGAAGATGTATCACCACAAGTAAAAGAAGGAAATATAGTGGTGGGAATGATGGTTATGACTATCATAGCAGCTTTCTTGGCGTGTATTATAAATATTACACTAGTGAGGAGGTGAGCAGTGGTTGTTACATCCCTTATGTTGAGGGAAATGCCATCAGTTTATGTGAAATATGAGGCATTTAATACCTTGTGCCAGACAAGATTTCTGAGTTTACTGCTTTAGGAGGAAAATGCTTGAAATCTTTCCATATGTTAGGCCCTGTTCTAAGCACTTTACCTGTCCGGGCATGGTGGCTCATGCCTGTAATCCCAGCACTTTGGGAGGCCGAGGCAGGTGGATCACTTGAGGTCAGGAGTTTGAGACCAGCCTGGCCAATATGTTGAAACCCTATCTCTACCAAAAAAATACAAAAATTAGCTGGGCGTGGTGGCGCATGCCTGTAACCCCAGCTACTCAGGAGGCTGAGGTAGGAGAATTGCTTGAACCAGGGAGGTGAAGGTTGCAGTGAGCCGAGATCATGCCACTGCACTCTGACCTGGGCGACAGAGCAAGACTCCATCTCAAATAAAAAATAAAATAAGATAAAATAAGCACTTTACCTGGTGTATTTCAGTTAATTCTTACTGAGACCCAAAGAGTTGATACTGTTTTATTCACATACAGATGAGGAAACAGAGGCATACAAAGTGTAAGTAATTCAGTCTATGGTGCAGCTGGAATTTGAGCTGTCTAGAATGTTCTACAAATAGTATAATTTTTTTTATGTCACCATGTTTAATAATGCATAATATTTAAGATGCATAAAGAAAAAGCCAAGACACATACTGTGTGCATAACAACCCTAAAGACATCTAACTCTAAACATGACAAAATGTAGAATTAAAAAGGACACATTTTGAGTTTTAAGTAGAGCATTCTGTTCCAAGATTCATTAAAATTTTTAGAAGGCAAACGATATCACCAGATGCAAGCAAAGCAATTTATAAAGAGTATTTAGGAAAGATTTGGACAATTTTAGAGAAGAAGAATACTTACCAAAATAGCTAAATACACATCAAAAAAAAAGAATAGAACAAAATCATAAGATCTAACATTTGACATATTATTAAATGTAATTTTAGACGCTGCCCTGATGTGCCAAATTGGCCTAAAAAGGATTCCTAAGGGAGTATAAAAGGGCAAGTCTTATCAAAGTGGATTTAGACTTGAAAGGCATAATGAAAGTCAGATTACAGTTAGCTTTTTGTGAACTCATTATAGAAAGAGAAATAAGTGTGAGATTGAATGATTCTGGTCTCCGCCTCTGCCAAATCAATCAATTCATGCCCCAATCTGATGGGACCTAAAAGTTTACTCTGAAAATGTACGTTAAAGCCCATAAATACTCTGTCCCATGAATGGGAACATCTTGAAATTTGGCCTGTGGTCCATCTTTGGGCTGTCTAAAACAAACATACTCTTTGTAAATTAAAACTGAGCCTATCCACACAGAGCAGAATTACGACAAGACAGTATGATCACTTTGACTTTGGGGGGGCTGTCTTTGTAAAAAGCTGCAAGGACAGAAGCCCTCTTCTTATCCAGTTATGAGATAATTTGCATACATGTAGAAAATTAAGTGACAAAGTCTTTTCTTCTTTTTCACAGTTTGGCTTTCCTTAACTGGTATGCTCTCAAATTTTAGGAAACCCCTCATGAATAAACAGTAGCTACTTCATGATTAACCTAACTCAGAACACTAATTCAGCTACTACCTTTCTGTGTATTTATTCAGTTTCCCCAGGATGCAGTACTTTGAACAAACCATGGATTCCAGAAAAGACATCTGTTTCCATCAAGAACTAACATGGAATAATAACAAAGAAGATGTGGCCACATGCTCTCAGGTACACACATGAAATTAAAATTTCCATACTTATGTTTGATTGCTAGAACTTTAATCCTGTTCTTTATCATCTAACACACTTAAGTATGTCTAGAGATGAAGTTTAGAATTACCACAGAACATACTGGCAGCCAAGAGTATTTTGTGTCTCTTAATATAGTTTTCATAGACTAATTAAGGAGCAGTGAAGATAAAAATAGTCATTATTAATTATAATCAAAATTCTTCTCTGTGTCCACAAACAGCCTAAAAATAATTTTTAAATAAAACAATTGCAATAATTTTAAATAAAAGTAACAAAAATGCTTCCTTGGACTGTAAAAACAATAGCAATAATTACACAGCAATCTCCTCTCACAACCATACAAAATTGAAAAGAAGAATGTATTTGTTTACAAAAGTATTGCAAAAATGTCATTTTGTATTTATTCAAGTTTTTAAAGAGACCACTTATTTATTTGTTTTTGTGTCCAAGCATTTTTTAAAAGCAACTTCAGTCTGGGTAGTTGACTTCAACATTCATGTTTGATTCGGGGATACTTTGAAATTGCTGTTAAAAAGGAAACTCTATGAATTGTGTGTGTATACAGAGCCTAAAAAAAAAAAAAAGTTTCAAGGCTGTGTCTCATGGCCAAAATAAAGTGAGTCATTGAGAGCATAAAGGATTGTAAGTTCTTCATGTTTTCCACCCTCCTGGATTCCTTAGACCAGCTAGTGAGTCTAACTTCCACCTTTGACCAGTCCACAGTCTCCCTTACTCCTGACTTCACTGTTTGAAAGGCCTGGGAACAAGAGGGAATTTCTTTAGATTTACTGGGTGAGAAGTAAGGATACAACTTGTTTTTCCAAAGTCTTTTTAAAGTGATATATTTAGGGCGCTTCAGAGGAAAGAATTGGCCAGTCCTTTATTTATCTTCCTAACAGGTGCAGTCGGAGCAGTCATAAAAGCAGGCTACTGAAAAAGAAGGATTCTGCCAAGTATTAAGCCCCTCTAGCACGCATTTGCCCTAGGGTATTCCTTCTTACAACACAGAGCTCAAATATATGCCATGAATCTCCAGCACAGCATGGTGGTTTTTCTCAGGAGGAAAAAATATGATGGCATTCGTTCATACAACTTCTTTATTTTCAATTGAAATCATCAGCTTGGCCTCGATGAACCATTTGAAGTCAAAAGGGAAACAATTGCCCTTGATAAACTATCTTTCCTCCTCCCCTATTCCTTTCTCTTAGTTTTCTGCATAAATTATTAACCTTTCCCCAATTTGAGGTAAGGATAATATTTGTATATAAGATGACTTTCCAAAGACAAATTGATTTCGGTGTTTGAAATAGGCCATTCACTCTCTTGCAGGTAGAAACTGAAGGTCAAAGAAGAGATATGAGAAGGAGTTTTCCCATCAAGGGAGGTCCTTTTCTGATGGATGACTAAGCCCTGAGAAATGCTTAGAAATAGGCAAGAGGGGATGAATGCTGCTCTACATTCAGGTAGCTTTTTGGCTTGGCAAAACTTTAAAATGTGATGAAATCTCTAGAGAGCAAGAAAAAAAAGATACAGAAATGGAAAAACCCTTATGGACCCCAACAACAACAACAACAACAAAACTGTTCTCTATTACCATGGTCCCATCTATTCCTATTGAAATGTAGACCAAGATGGATAAGATGAATATTGTATGTTGACACAGCAAAATAATCTGCAGTAACAAAGCCATGCCTTTGCTTCCTAAAGTTATCAGAATGGCACCTTAAAATTATGGTCATAAAGGAACCTGTGATTGGCCATACGTTTGAGTTTTCAAGAAGAGATCTTACACGGAACATGAGAAAACTACAGTGACTCTCTTGAGATTTTTCGAATGACACACAAGCACCAAAGAGGAACTTTTGCCTTTTCGGACAAGTTAAGTACATTAAATATAATAAGGTCTGATAAATCAGAAACAAAAAGTGAAATTCATGTTAAGGCCTCAACTCAGTGTTTTAGAAGAGAATTTTTCTGGGTTTTATAGTATCTGACAGTTAATAGGCCAGGCACAGTGGCTCACACCTGTAGTCTCAGCACTTTAGAAGACAGAGACAAGTGGATCTCTTGAGCCCAGGAGTTCGAGAACAGCCTGGGCAATATTGTGAGGCCCCCATCTCTACTAAAAATAACAAAATCAGCTATTAGCTGGGCATGATGGCATGCATCTGTGGTCCTAGCTACCGGGGAGGCTGAGGTGGGAGGATTGCTTGAGCCTGGGAGGCAGAGTTTGCAGTGAGCCATGATTGCACCACTGCATTCCAGCCTGGGTGACAGAATGAGACCTTTTCTCAAAAAGATAAAAAATAAATAAAAAATTAAAGGAATCCAGTTAACAGTTGTCGCAGGATGTTAAAGAATCAGGCTTTATGGTTTTAATCATTACATATTCCAGAGGTAAAATTCTGAGGAAATCATTTTTATGGGTTTAACAGCCATTCATACTATTCTTTAATGAACAGAGATTCTGCCACGGAAGAAAGGCTATTGCAATTGTCTA
Organism: Homo sapiens; assembly: GCF_000001405.40. Lineage (NCBI taxonomy): Eukaryota > Metazoa > Chordata > Mammalia > Primates > Hominidae > Homo > Homo sapiens. The sequence goes on along the minus strand of NC_000012.12, from coordinate 101,598,384 downwards.
GTTTGAGGTTGATAAAATTTCTTTTTGACTGGAAAAGAGAAATTTCCAGTGAAAGGTGATTTCTTGGCCGGGCACAGTGGCTCATGCCTGTAATCCCAGCACTCTGGGAGGCAGAGGCAGGTGGACCACCTGAGGTCAGCGGTTCGAGACCAGCCTGGCCAACATGGCGAAACCTCGTCTCTACTAAAAATACAAAAATTAGCTGGGCGTGTTGGTGGGCACCTGTAATCCCAGCTACTTGAGATACTGAGGCACAAGAATCACTTGAACCTGGGAGGCAAAGGCTGCAGTGAGCGGAGACTGTGGCACTGCACTCCAGCCTGGGCCACAGAGTGAGATACTGTCTTAAAAAAAAAAAAAAAAAAAAAGAAAGGTGATTTCTTTACACAGTAGGAACCGGGGGCAATTAACTTTCGGGCACTTACTTGTACTCAATTAATAATTGATATATAAATGAATGTATCAAAGGCATCCTGGGAGATCCCCACAAATCTGAAACTGCCTACAACATCCTCCCAATTTGATCGGAATAACTTAATTGTACTAGGCCTTAGGTTCTGTAAGAATCCAAAGTGGTGTAAGGTAAGTTTTATCTGGAATAGACAGTACAAATAACATAGTTCTCCAAAGAATACATAATATACAATTGATGATGGTAGAAAGTAGAACAATGGGAAGTGGTTACTCCTTAAGAATAATACTTGCTTTCTCCAAAAGGGCTCACTGAGCCACCCAGCATATTCCAAGAGTCTAAACAAGGACCGTTGACTAATTACTTCCATTAGACTTCCTCTTCGAGATCCAAAGTTACATCTGTCCTTCCTCCTTCTCCTTAGAAGAACCAGCTCTCCCAAGATCTAAGAAGAAAACTCCCAGAATTAGGCCACGGTAGGCTGGGAAGTAGTTGAGTGAGACATTTTTTGTACCTTCAGGTGCTGAAAACTCAGCCTCTTTTGAGGAGTTGCCAGATCCTCCTGGATCCTAGGAGGGCCAAACCAGCTCATGTGTCCTATTAAGATTCACAGCAAGTGGTCATGGCCTTCCTGGGCATGGCTTTACGAGCTGTGGGGAAGAGTTCAGAAGACCCATATGGGCTGGAGGAGCCTGTTCTTTGGGAGGGTTTCTGCAGGTATTTTGAAATGATTCTGAAGAACTGGCTCTAGGCCATGTTTTATTTTTCAGAGGGAGGCTTATATGCAATCAAACTAACCCCAGTGAAAATGAAATCACAGTTAGGAGAAGAAGAAAGGACCAGAATAGTTCATGAATTGCCGTACTCCTTACTCTTCTAATGTAAACAATATTAAAATGCAATTATTTCACTAAGGAAAGCTTTTCAAGGTACAGTTCCTTTAAGAATCAGTTCTGCTGGTAAGGGAACCAAAAAAATCTCTGTACTTCCTCAATGGATTTTAAATATATCAGTAACTCTTCTTGCCCCAATCCCCATCATCCAAATTTACACTAACCAAAGAATTTATGGGTATAAAATTACTGTCCTGGGTGGAGGAACTCCTACACAGAATAGCAACATGCTTTTATAGCAAAAGAAGATGATGGAGTCTTTAGCATCCATGCTGTTTTATTCAGAAAGAAAAAAATATATATTGGGGGGGTGGGGGCTGAAGTTAAAGATATATTTTCCTCTTTGCAGCTCTATAATTTCATTCCCCATAAAAGAGTGAATCAGACTGAGTTGTCAAATGAAAAGTAAACTTCATCGCCTTTGCGATCAGAATAATTTAATTAGCTTTATTGGCTCTTACAGGCTGTCACCTTATTTATTGGTTTTTCAGCTTTCTTCTCATTTTCAATTAGGCTTTAAAAAAACAAATGCAAAATCATTCACTAAATTCAGAATAATTAAAACAATATTGTGTTTCCAGTTTGGAAACATGGTAGAATGTATTGCTTCTGGGTACACTTCGGAGAGGTTAAAGTGACAGAGCAGATAAAAAGGACACTTAGTACACACGTAAATCATTTGCATTACAAATAAGATACTTTAGCAGGGGTTGGACTCCCTGCCTGACAGTCAGGATTAAGTTCCCATATTAATACATGCATTTGGTGTGGTTATTTTGGGTGAAAGACTTCATCCATCAATGCCCTCTGCCACTAAGTAAGGCCAACCTGTAAACTGATCACCACAGCCTGTCAACACTGGTTACTTAATTATATAAAGAAAATATGTTTAAAAGACTTTTGATAATTTGGTTAGTATTTCAACATCTTTTTCAAGGTTCCTTAAAATAATAGCTAAAGCATTTTTAAGAATTAAAAACTGAAAACTATGACTATTTTTATGTTTCCTGCTAATCTTTCTTTTTCTTTTATTTGCAGAAGGGAAAAATAAAGATTCAGTAAGCATTAATGAAGATGAATATAAATGAAATAATATTTTTAAAAGATATTTTAATTAAAAATTAAATTCAATGCATGCATAGTATTAATTTGTGCTTATTATTATTTATTTTCATAACTACTAATTCCAATTTACTTCTGTTACCAATTGGTAGCTTTAATACACTAATTTTTTTATAGAAAGGAGAAACTTTGTTAGGGAAAACATTTCTTCTAAGGAAGAATATTTTTATACTTTCAGCTTAACTATTCTTAAAGCCTACTACATATTATGAAATTCTCTACAATAAAACTCATGAAAGAACAATCTATTCATGATATTCAGGGACATCCTTTTTTATCAGGTGTTTGGTTTTCTTTCCATGCAAGAATTTAATAACGAACCTCCAAAGGCACTGATAAGAACAAAAAAAACCCTTCGTCTGTATATTTTAAATATGTTTCCATTAAAAAAAGTAGCAAATATGGAAATAATGTCACAAATTCTTTTTTGAAATCTTGATCCAATGTATTAACCATTTGAGAAAATATTTTAAGTCTCCTACTCTCTGCAAATTGCAAATACATGGTAAAAAATTTGTGATTAAATCTAAGAAAATATGCTTGAAAACGTAATCTGTTTACCATCAGCAATTAACATCCTTAAATTACACTTTAAGGATTCTTTACAATTGAATGATAGAATTATCATTTGATAATTTTAGTCAATATCCCTTTAGAAACTATCGTTATCAGAAATTTTTCAATTCAATATACTCTCGCTGTATTTTTCCTCTGGTCTGTTTAATCTAAAAGATCGTTTCCTTAAATCATAGTGATTTTATTTTCTCATCTAGTTAAGATATTTGTTATTTGTTTGAAGATAAATACCAAAATAAACACTTTATTCAGGAGTACAACAAAAAGATTTCTAGATAAGTCTTACCCTCTTTCTTAGTGGGTTCTGGCATGGCCACAATAAGATGTTATTCTTTAAAGAGTCTCCTTCCCTCCACGACTAGTTGACAGAAACCCCACAGGCAGGCGAGAGATGGTGCAGGTCGGTGTGACAAGCAGTTGGGGAGAAACCCAGTGCTTTTATACTGCCTCTGAACATCAATCATGATGGCACCTCCCTTTCTTCAGCACAAGGATGCAGGAACTTGACAGCTATGGGGACCTTTCTCACATCTGTTGTCTGCACTCTGCTCTCTCGCCTACTGGAAGGAATCTCCTGCCCATCTCATGTGGCTGATGAGAACACCTCTAACTTTCTAAATTCAGCTGCAGCCTCGTGCTCCGTCTTGCTCTTCTCTCTCTGACAGATGCATGTGCTGACTCAGGAGTGCAAAAAGTTTGCTGGATGATTAAAAAAACAAATTAAAAATCATAATATGCCAATCCAACCTATACCTTAATTTTCACTAAGATTAGGCAGAAAAGTCTTTGTATTCAGATGATCACTTTTATGCTCCAATTAGCTTTTCATTTTCATCAGTCCTTAATTATTGCATTTATATTTTTTCTTATTCCTCATTGATATGTCAATATTAATTTTTCAAGCCAAATCTCTAGGTTAAATAACTTGTCTCATGTTCTTCTCTAAGAATAGCAAAGATTTCTATTAGGGGATACTCTGCGTTTGCATTTTTTTCCAAAAACATCATTTTTCAAAATTATAGGACATATAAAAGAATGAGGCAATGACACATGCTACAACGTGGATGAAGCTTGAGAACATTACACTAAGTGAAAGAAGTCAGTCAGACATACAAACGTAGACTATAAAATAATAGATCACTGCTGGGCTCATGCCTGCAATCCCAGCACTTTGGGAGGCTGAGGGGGGTGGATCTCCTGAGGTCAGGAGTTCGAGACCAGCCTGAACAACATAAAGAAACCCCGTCTCTACTAAAAATACAAAATTAGCTGGGCATGGTGGTGCATGCCTGTAATCCCAGCTACTCGGGAGGCTGAGACAGGAGAATCACTTGAACCCAGGAGGCGGAGGTTGTGGTGAGCCGAGATTGTACCATTGCACTCCAGCCTATGCAACAAGAGCGAAACTCCATCTCAAATTAATAATAATAATAATAAAAAATAATAGAACACACATTGTACAATTCCACTTATATGAAATATCTAGGACAGGCAAATCCATATGGTGAGAAAGTATATCAGTGTTTGCCAGTGGCCTAAGGGAGGTGGAATTGGGAGTGACTGCCAGTGCATATGGGGTTTCTTTTGGTCATGATGAAAATGTTCTGGCATTAGATAGTGGTGATGGTTGTACAACTTTGTGAATATATTAAAAACCACTGGATTATACACTTAAAAATATATATGGAGGCTGGGTGCAGTGCTGGGGCCTATAATCCCAGCATTTTGGGAGGCCAAGGTGGGAAGATCACTTGAAGCCAGGAGTTGGAGACCAGCCTGGGTAACAAACCAAGACCCTGTCTCTACAAAAAATAAAAATAAAATAAAAAGATATATATGGGGCCTGGGCAAAGAAAGTCAAATAGACTAGTAGCTATTGTTTTGATTCAAGTGATTCAATTGGAGGGTACACAAATCTAACTTAAGATGTTGAAAGACTGTAGTAGATGTGGTCACTTTCTCCCAAAACGCTCATGGAACTGATAGAGAAATAGGAACTACCAAGTAGTCAACCTGAAGAAGACACCTTACTTTCTTTGTTCACATGCACTAGGACTAACCTGAGTTTATATGAAAAGACAACTACACACATGCCTTTATTGGTGTGTGTTTTCAAGATAATTTTCAAAAACTTTGATTGATTGGTACTGAAGCAGCCACACTGTCTCGTCTAATTTCCCTTGTGGCTGAGAGTGCAGCTGGTCAGACTTAGCTCTACCAAACTCTGTGCCAAGCTGACTTTTCATATAAGGGTGGAAACTAGACTTAGAACTCAATAGCATCATGCTTTAGTTATGTGGCGGGGAGGGGGAGGAAGCCAGTCAAGATGGTAATGAACATCTTTTATAAAGACAGCCCCTCCTTAACCACATTATACTACTGAACACATTTTTGTACTTTAAAAAAAAAAAACGTTCCTTTGCTGAGTCCGCTCTGGGGATATCAATTAATAGATGAAACATATGAAAGAACCTAGAATCTGAAGTTGGTCCCTTGGGTTCTATTTCTGGATCTATCATTAACCAGCTTAGTTACTCTGAGAAAGTCAGGGGGCTTTCTGGGCCTCAGTTTCTTTTTGTGTAAAATGAGGGGCTTAAAAAAAATGATCTTGGAGGCTGCTGATAGGTTTAACACTGTGATTCTACTTGGGAAATCTCTAAGAGAGAATTGTTTTTTTCAGCATTCCCAGCACACTGAACACCACATATGAAATGGACATAGGGCAGAGTGTCATGTTGCATAAGAATGTTTACAGCGAAGGGCAGATTTCACACATGCCACAAAAGAGGTGCCATGCCATCATTGGCTTCTGCAGAAACCCCATTGGGTTTTTAATACACTGATCGTCTTACTGAAGTGAACATATGCCAGGAAATATTGCAATCCACAGAGAAAGTATTTTATGACCTGGGGAACTTTTTGGTAATAAAGGAATTAATTATAAAAAGGCAAAGCATTATTATAGGAATTGGAAGTATGGACAAATTCTAGGACAAATTATTGTACAGTGTATCAGGTGGTTAAGGTAAAATTTTAAATTAGGATAACAAGTAGACTTGTGTAATTTTCCTAGGGCTATATTGTTTTAGGAATACATAACTCCTATTTCAGATCTTATGCATTCATCTAGAAGGTTGCAGATGCCTTAGCTGTACTCTCAGGAAAGACAGGGGGATGGTCAACAGGCTTTTGTTTCTTTTGCTAAATGCTGTATTAGATTTTTCCTTTTGTATTATTGAGGATGAAGTTTGTTCAAATACAACACAAAACTACAAAATACCAACAGTTGAATCAAGATAGAAGTATTTCTCCCTCATATAAAGCAAGTCTAAAAGCAAATGGCTTAGAGTCATACAGTGGCTTCACAGTGTATCCAGGAAACCAGACTCCTCCTTCTTGCTCTACCATCCTCCTGGTAACCTCATGGTCCAAAATAGCTGTGTATCTTCTAGACACTACATTCCTATTCCAGGCAGCTGAAAAGAAGAAGAAGAAGAAGAAGAAGAAGAAGAAGAAGAAGAAGAAGAAGAAGAAGAAGGAGAAGGAGAAGGAGAAGGAGAAGGAGAAGGAGAAGGAGAAGGAGAAGGAGAAGGAGAAGGAGAAGGAGAAGAGGAAGAGGAAGAAGTCACTTTCTTCATTTTAAAGAGACTTGTTTGAAGTCCCACACACATCTACTACATCCCACAGGCCAGAACTTGGTTACATGGCTATATCTGACTACAAAAGGAGCTGGGAAATGTAGTCTTATTCTCAGGTAAAATTGGAATTCTGTTATTAAAGAGACCAAGGAGAATGGATGTCAGATAGGCAAGTATCAATCTCTCACCTTTCAAAATAAAAGCAATAGTGTTCTCCGCGTTAACCAAAGAATATGGAGAAGTATAAATAGTAAATAAGCAATCTCAAGAATTTCACTCTCTCCCCAACCTCATCCTCATTCCAGTGTGTGAATTAGGGTCTAATTTTCCTTTGTGCTCATACATACGTGTATAAATGTATATATTCATATGTAGAGAGTTCTTCATCTATTTTTTAATGAATGGGATTATACTATTTACATTATTTTCCACTTTCTTTTTCCATGTAACCTCCTCTCACAGACATTCATTCATGTTAATATACATAGACCTAACTCAATCTTTTTTAATAGCTAAATAATTGTTCATGGTATGGATGTGCTGTAGTATGCCATATTTTCTCAATCACATACCTTTTGATGGGCATTCAGGTTGTTTTCAGTGTTTGACCACCATAACTAATACTGCAATCAGCATCATGGTAAAATAACAGAAACTGGTGGTGGTATGTCTCTCTGGTAAGTTGGAGGCACATGGCGGGTGTGGATGGGTGGGGAATAAACAACTTTAAACCTCTAATTCACACAATAAAGAAGAGCAAATTATAGAAGAAATAAAGTTTTAAGTTAAAAAATTAAACAATAAAAATATTTGAAGAACAATTATGACAGTGTTTGAATAATACTCTCATAAGTGGAGACACGTGTTAAAGTAAGAAAATCTAGAAGCTATAGAGAAGGTAACAGATTTGAGTAAATAAAATATTAAAATTCTTTATCTCTAGCAAAGACACCATAAAATCAAAAAGTAAAAAAGGAAAGGAGAAAAAGTTATTTTAAACCCATCATAGAGTTAATATTATTAATTTAAAAGTAGAGTAGAAGATTTCAAAAAGCAATTTACAGAAGAAATAGAAACCATGAATACATACGATATATTGCTTAAACTTTCAGGAAAATGGAAACAAACAATGAGTAATCAGTTCTCACCCATTAAGTTGGCAACTTTTTGTTTTTTTAATGATAACATTCAGGGTATGAGAAACCCGGCAATCTTATACATTGCTGATCAAACTGTTGGCTAGGTAACCTTTTGGGAAAGTGGTCTAGCAAAAATTGATTAAAATTTAAACTATGTATATGCACCAGCCAATTAGTAGGATCGATTCTCACTTTTAAAATCAATCCTACTAATTTAAAAGTATCCATATATAAGATTATGGTTCCTTTTTATTCCTAATAAATATTTGTATTTTCTCCCTTTCCGTTGGTAAGTTTTTCCAAGGTATAACTAATTTTATTGGTGCTTTGAAAGAACTAGTTTATGGTTTAATTATGTTTTCTCTTCCTGATTTCTTTTGGTCAAGTTTTTTTTTTTTCTATATTAAGGATTTAGATTAGACCTTATTTTCAGCCTAGGGCTTTAGCTATACCACATAGATTTTGATTTAATGTTATCATATTTATAATTTCTGAATAATCTGCAATTTGGTTGTCATTTTCTTATTGATCTAGGAGTTATTTAAAAGGGCATTTTTTGGCTGGGTGCAGTGGCTCACACCTGCAATTCCCATTTTTGGACACAGAGACAAGTGGATCACTTGAGAACAGGAGTTCAAGACTAGCCTGGGCAATATAGTGAAATCCCATCTCCGCAAAAAATAAAAAAATTAGCTGAGCATGGTGGTGAGCACCTGTGATCCCAGTTACTTAGGAGGCTGAGGTGGGAGGATTGCTTAAGCCTGGGAGGTGGAGGCTGCAGTGAGCCTTGATGGCACCATTGCATTCCAGGCTGGGTGATAGAGTGAGACCCTGTCTCAAAAAAAAAAATTAAAATTAAAAAAATAAAAGATCATTTCTTAATTGCTAAGGAATTAAGATTTTTGGGAGTCACTCCGAACATATGCTGGTTAAGGGAACTGCCCTGAAAAAAAAATTTAAAAAAAGAAATTAAGATTTTCTTGTCGTTGTTTTCTTTTTTAAATTAGTTTTCTATTGAGTTTTTCAAAGATTATTAATACCTTTCAGCAATGTTTTGTAGTTTTCAGCGTCCAAGTCTTTTACCTCCTTGGTTAAATTTATTCCTAGGCTTTGTATTCTCTTGGATGCTATAGTAAATGGAATTGTTCTCTTAATTTCCTCATTGAGTTGTTCCTTGCTGTTGTATTAAAATGCAACTGATTTTTGTGTGTTTACCTTGCACCCCCAAACTTTCCTGAATTTGCTTTTTGGCTCAGGGTTGTGTGTGTGTATGCATGAGTGTGTGTGTGTGTATGCTTGAGTGTGTGTGTGTTCTTTGGAATTTTCTATGTGCATGATTATGTTGTCTGCAAATAGAGATAATTTTCAGCTTGGATGCCTTTATTTTGTTTTCTTGCCTAACTGCTCTGGGTAAGACCCACAGTGTAATGTTGAATAGCAATTGTGAAAGAAAGTATCTTCTCATTTCCCAGATTTTAAGGAAAAGGATTTCCACCTTTCATCATTGAGTATGATGTTAGCCATGAGTTTTTTAATAAATGCCCTTTATCATGTTGAGGAAGTTATTTTCTATTCCTAGTTTTCAGAGGGGTTTTTTAAAAAATCATGAAAAGGTGTCAGATTTTGTCAAATGCATTTTCTGCAATTATGCGTTTCTACATAGAATGAATTTCCCGTTCATTCTATGAATTTGGTGTAACATTGCTTGATTTTCTTATGTTGAGATACTCTTGTGTTTCTAGGATAAATCTTACTTGATCACGGGGTATAATCCTTTTAATATGCTATTGTATTCACTTCTCTAGCATTTTCTTGAGGATTTTTGCATCGATACTCACAAGGGATATTGGTCTCTAATTTTTTTTCTTGTAATGTCTTTGTTTGGCTTTGGTATCAGGATAATACTGGCTTCATAAAACTAATCAGGAAGTATTCCCTCCTCTTCTATTTTTTGGAAAAGCTTGAGAAGGATTGCTGTTAATTTTTCTTTAAGTGTTTAGTAGAATTCACCAGTGAAGCTCTCTGATTTTTTTGTTGTTGTTGGGAAGTGTTTGATTATTGATACCACCTCTTTACTTGTTATAGCTGTTCAAATTTCTATTTCTTCTTGAGTCTGTTTTGGTAATTTGAATATTTCTGGGAATTTTTACCTTTCCTCTAGGGTATCCTATTTGTTATATTTTTGTTCATAATATTCTCTTATAATCCTTTTTATTTCTATAAGGTCAGTAATGTCCCCACTTTCATTTCTGATTTTACTTATTTTCATCTTCTGTCTTATTCTTTGTTATTTTAGCTAAAGGTTTGTCAATTTTGCTGATCTTTTCAAAGAACCAACTTTTAGTTTTATTGACTATTGTTCTTCTATTCTCTATTTAATTTATCTCTGCACTAAACTTTATTATTTATTTCTGTGAGATTTGGATTGATTTTGCTTTTTTTTTTAGTTTCTTAAGATGTACAGTTATTAATTTGAGATCATTCTTTTTTAATGTAGGTGTTCATTGCTGTACATTTCCCCCTTAGCACTGCCTTCACCACATCTCATATAGTATGTTTTTTAGTTTTGGTATGTTGTATTTTTGCTTTCATTTATTTCTTAGTATTTTCTGATTTTCCTGATGATTTCTTCTTTGACCTTTTGGTTGTTTGAAAGCATGTGGTTTGATTTCCACATATTTGTGAATTTTCTAGTTTTCCTCCTGTTATTCATTTCTAGCTTTATTCCATTGTAGTCAGAGAAGATATGTATGATTTACATTTTTAGAAATTTACTGAGACTTGTTTTCTCACCTAACATATCATCTACCCTGAAGAGTGTTCAATGTGCACTGAGAAGAATGTGTATTCTGCTGTTGTTGAGTAGAGAATTCTATATATGTCTGTTAGGTCTAGTTGGTTTATCATGTTGTTCAAGTTCTCTGTTTTCTTCCTGATCTTCTGTCTAGATGTTTTATACATTATTGAAAGTGGGGTGTTGAAGACCCCAACTACTATTGTAGAGTGGTCTATTTCTCCCTTCAATCCTGTCAATGTTTGCTTTACGTATTTTGGGGAACTGTTGTTTGATGTGTATGTGTTTATAATTGTTATACATTTTTAATTGAGCCTTTTATTAACATATATTGTTATTTTTGTCTCGAAATAATTTTTTAGTTAAAATCTATTTTGTCTGATATTGGTGTGAATGCTGTACCTTTCTGACAATAAATAATATTCGACCATGAATGAATAAACTGGAAAAAATTATTTTCTGCCTCAAGGATACATTTTTTATTTTATTTTATTTTATTTTTATTTTTTTTAATTAATTAATTAATTTATTTTTTAAATTATACTTTAAGTTTTAGGGTACATGTGCACATTGTGCAGGTTAGTTACATATGTATACATGTGCCATGCTGGTGCACTGCACCCACTAACTCGTCATCTAGCATTAGGTATATCTCCCAATGCTATCCCTCCCCCCTCCCCCCTCCCCACCACAGTCCCCAGAGTGTGATATTCCCCTTCCTGTGTCCATGTGATCTCATTGTTCAATTCCCACCTATGAGTGAGAATATGCGGTGTTTGGTTTTTTGTTCTTGCGATAGTTTACTGAGAATGATGGTTTCCAATTTCATCCATGTCCCTACAAAGGACATGAACTCATCATTTTTTATGGCTGCATAGTATTCCATGGTGTATATGTGCCACATTTTCTTAATCCAGTCTATCATTGTTGGACATTTGGGTTGGTTCCAAGTCTTTGCTATTGTGAATAATGCCGCAATAAACATATGTGTGCATGTGTCTTTATAGCAGCATGATTTATAGTCATTTGGGTATATGCCCAGTAATGGGATGGCTGGGTCAAATGGTATTTCTAGTTCTAGATCCCTGAGAAATCGCCACACTGACTTCCACAATGGTTGAACTAGTTTACAGTCCCACCAACAGTGTAAAAGTGTTCCTATTTCTCCACATCCTCTCCAGCACCTGTTGTTTCCTGACTTTTTAATGATTGCCATTCTAACTGGTGTGAGATGATATCTCATAGTGGTTTTGATTTGCATTTCTCTGATGGCCAGTGATGATGAGCATTTTTTCATGTGTTTTTTGGCTGCATAAATGTCTTCTTTTGAGAAGTGTCTGTTCATGTCCCTCGCCCACTTTTTGATGGGGTTGTTTGTTTTTTTCTTGTAAATTTGTTTGAGTTCATTGTAGATTCTGGATATTAGCCCTTTGTCAGATGAGTAGGTTGCGAAAATTTTCTCCCATTCTGTAGGTTGCCTGTTCACTCTGATGGTAGTTTCTTTTGCTGTGAAGAAGCTCTTTAGTTTAATTAGATCCCATTTGTCAATTTTGGCTTTGGTTGCCATTGCTTTTGGTGTTTTGGACATGAAGTCCTTGCCCACGCCTATGTCCTGAATGGTAATGCCTAGGTTTTCTTCTAGGGTTTTTATGGTTTTAGGTCTAACGTTTAAATCTTTAATCCATCTTGAATTGATTAACAGAGATATAGATCAATGGAACAGAACAGAGCCCTCAGAAATAACGCCGCATACCTACAACTATCTGATCTTTGACAAACCTGAGAAAAACAAGCAATGGGGAAAGGATTCCCTATTTAGTAAATGGTGCTGGGAAAACTGGCTAGCCATATGTAGAAAGCTGAAACTGGATCCCTTCCTTACACCTTATACAAAATTCAAGGATACATTTCTAATAAAATATTATTTTGTGCTTAATAATGACTTATCGGTCAGTTTCATCTTTTAAGTTGCTTTAATGAATTGTGTACAAATAATACTCATATCAATAACTTAATTTCAAATACATTTAAAAATTACTTTAAATCCTTGTAGTCACAGAACAAAGTTTTTTAAAATTTTAATTTATTTATCTTTTGAGACAGACAAATATAAGGTGAAAAACTTTTTTAACTTTTAAGGCAAAAAATTATATTAAATAGAAGTAGAATCCTGTGAGTTAAGTGGAATGAAAATATTTGCTCAGGGAAAGAAGGAAATAATGTCAAAATCTCCAGTGGCCAAAGAGCTTATTTATATGTCTTTAATACATTAAGATGGGACATTAAAAATGTCATATCACTATGACATTTTTATTGCATAAGAGATATTTAAAATATATACAGTTTTATTTTGATTTTTAATATCAACTCTTACAGAATGTTGGAAATTACAGTCTTTGCAACTATTTAAACTTATGATAGAAAATTTTGAATATTAATTTGGAAATGTGTGAAAAATTACCCCCAAAATTTTAGAAGGTGTTATTATTCAGTTTGGGATGCCATAACAAAATACCATAGACTGGGAGGCTCAAACAACACAAATTTATTTTTCATAGTTCTGGAGGCTGGAAGTCTGAGATCAGGGTGCCAGCATGTTCGGGTTCTGGTGAAGGTCCACTTCCTGGCTTGTAGACCACTGCCTTCTCACTAAGTCCTCACAACAGTGGAGACAGGGAGCAAGCTCTCTGGTGTATCTTCCTAAAAGGGCATTAATCCCATCATGAGGGCCAGACCCTCATAACTTCTTAAACCTAATTACCTCCCAAAGGCCCCATCTCCAAATACCATCACATTGGAAGGTAGGGCTTCAACATACTAATTTGGGGAGGGAACATAGTTCAGTTCATAGCAGGAAATATGTGAACAAAATAGCTTAAGACTTCTGTTTAGATGACTGATATGATATGGCTGTGTCCCACTCCAATCTCAGCTGAATTGTAGTTCCCATAGTCCCCACATGTTGTGGGAGGGACCCAGTAGGAGGCAATTGAATCATGGGGACGGATCCTTACCGTGCTGTTCTCGTGACAGTGAATAAGTCTAACGAGATCTGATGGTTTTATAAAGGGGAGTTCCCTTACAAACCCTCTCTATGCCTGCTGCCATGTAAAATGTGACTTTGTTTCTCCTTTTCTTTCAGCTATGATTGTGAGGCCTCCCCAACCATGTGGAACTGTGAGTGCATTAAATCTCTTTCCTTTATAAGTTACCCAGTCTTGGGCATGTCTTTAGCAGCATGAGAAGAGACTAATCCAATGACCATTTGGAAGAAGATGGTGATCAGGAGGAAGGGGCTCCTGGATCTAAATAACAGTGAACAGATCCTGCCTGTCCCCTGCTGTCCCTCTCTTCATTTGCCTGGGCCCTTGCAGGAGACTTTCCCCAAGATTCAGCTCCTGGCTCTCTGCTGTCTGTGTACATCCTCTCCCTCAGTGAGCTAATCCCCTCTCACATTCTCAGCTATTACTGTGTGAATGACTCTTGGGACCCAACTCTGACCTTGATCCTGAACCTCAACTTCTGAACCTGAATAGTCTATATATTAAATATTAAAAGCTTAATCAGTTAGAAATACTAACAATCACTAAAATTGTTATATGTCCTTTCAGTTTTATCCTATGCATATTTTGTGGGGCTTTTTGAGTTTAAACTAAGTCATGAAAAGCAGAGATCTAGGAGCCAAAATAAAATTTGTCAAAATCCAAAACAAAGCAGATTGTCAAGTAATTTAAAATTTGAAGGATGACTCCATAGGATTATTACTCATGTTCTTAGGTCTACCAGTTCTCCCTCCCATGAATTGCCTCATTGTTCATGACACAAGAAATATCAAGTGGTGCAGGTGGTAAAGATTTGGTGAATTTGGCTGGGCACGGTGGCTCATGCTTACAATCCCAGCACTTTGGGAGGCTGAGGTGGACGGATCACCTGAGGTCAGGAGTTGGAGACCAGCCTGGCCAACATAGGCGAAACACCGTCTCCACTAAAAATATAAAAATTAGCCAGGCATGGTGGTGCACGCCTGTAATCCCAGCTACTTGGGAAGCTGAGGCACAAGAATTACTTGAACCCAGGAGGTGGAGATTGCAGTGAGCCGAGATTGTGCCACTGCACTCTGGCCTGGGTGACAGAGCGAGACTCCATCTCAAAAACAAAACAAAACAAAAAACAGAAATAAAGATTTGGTGAATTTGTGAATTTCAGCATGTTTGTGCTAAGTAATGGCTAAGTGAGTTCTCTCCCTCTCTCTGTGCAGGAGTGTGCATGTTTGTTTGTTGTTTTATGTTCATTTGGAGCTACCAGGACAATGGTATTTCTATCTACTGTGATATAAATTGATATTATGGATAATTGATCCTTAAATTCAGCACTTCAGTGAATGCATGGTAATAAAACTGAAATTGTTCCCCCAAATCCTTTATGAAAAGCCATTTTGTCTTTAAAACTTTTTTGCATGAAAAGTTCTAGGGCTCATCATTCTTGAAATGAAAAAGAAAGAAAACTGCCTTCTTGAAATTCCTTTGTGTAACTTAGAGTTTCATCTCACATCAAGTACAAGTTCATACTGGAAGACTTGCAGGCTATCAATAGAACTCTGCTCACCCCCCTTATTTTAAAGCTAAAGCATGCTAAGCCCTCTAAGCCTCTCCTCATAAGACATACCCTTCATCTCCCAAATTAGTCCTGGTGCCTTTGCTGGATCCCTTCCAAGACTCGGATGTTCTTTTAAGCTTTATGTCCTACCACACACCATGCAGTAGGCTACAAGGAGTGACATTTCCTTTGCTTTAAAATCTCCTTTAATTGATAGACCCTAACAAGTTTTGACCTTCATCATCTTCTACTCTTTGCTTATAGTGCTTACTGGAAAAACACAAAAATTTTCCTAATTCTGATGAATGTAAATCACATTACAACACATTTGTCTCCAGTAAGAAACCAAAAAGCAAAACAAAACAAAACACAAAAATCAAAGTACAGTGTAATTCAGAGGTCCCTGAGTTTGACTCATGATTTTCCACCTATGGGTCTTTGCTCCTATCATTGCTTACAGCTGAATAGCATTCCCTCGCATCATAGTGATTGCAAAGCTGATTCACTTTAGTAGAAGAAACTCAAAGGTGACTTTCTTCACAAAGTCTTCTCTGATGCTCTAGCTGAAAATAATCTCTGACTTCCCTGAAAACTTTATGTACCCTCCTTGTACATTAATTAGTCTTGTCTACCTTCTATTGTCTTTATGTGTACATATTATTGTTTAAAACAGAGGTCTCTACTTGGTAGCCTATGAGCTAAATCCAGTTTGCAAATAAGTTTTATCTGAACCACACACTTGTTTCACATAAAGATATGAAAATTATATAAAATATAAACTTCTGGTTTCTCCTGGCAATAATGAATTTGGATAGAAACAATAAGCTGGAACTCAATAGGGAACACCCTAGTTTGCTTCTTGGGCCCCTTCACTTGTTCATGTTAACTGCCTAGCCAGGTGAACAGTTGAATTTGCAATACCTAATCTAAACTATTATGTTCTTGAGCCAGGATCTTGTCTTAATCATCTTTATGGTTCATAGTTTATAGTAAACATAATTTGTAGCTGAAAAAATGTAAATGGGTTGAGAGTTTTTTAAGTGGCCTTGACGTTGTGTCGTTGGGAGCTGACCAATTCCTCCCTCTCTCCTATTCCATCATAACTTTGTTCAAAATGTATCAGTAAGTATCTGCTCACCTTCTGCTATGTGTTGAAAGTTTGGAGGTACAAAATAAGCAAGTGCAGCACCCTGCCCCTCCTCACAGGGGACTATTTGAGGCCATAAGAAATAAGCACATAAAATAATTTGTGAGCAAGATATCATTGTAATTGCAAGGCAGCCCAGCAAAGAGTTTTAAGAGATGAGATGCTGGATTCAGACAGACTTGGTTTATAATGCAGCCCTAAACCCAGAATCTTGTGATGTTGGGTAAATTATTTAATCTCTCTGAGCCTTAGTTTCTCCAACTTTTGCTAGTCCTCCTCTAAGATCTAGGTTAGGACAATAATCATATCTGCTCCACAGAAGCATAGGAGGATTAAATGAACTATATATGTGAAGTCCTTGGTACAGTGTCTGAACATGGTAAGTGTTCTACAGATGTGGGGAGATATTGTTGGCAGTCTAATGATCCAGAATTATGTATGGTACATACAGAAACATCTAATCAGTATACAAAATTCACCATGCTCCATCTTCCATCCAGTCTGTATTATCAAGCAGTTTGCTATTCTCTACTAAAAATGGCTCCTTAATATTCAGAGTTTACTCTATGTGTGATTGCTGGCTCTGTGTGGGTGTGAGGGAAAAGATCAGCTTCTCACCAGGAGTCCTTTTGCACCATGGACATGTAAAGGCCAGCCCTTGGTCTGCAGCTGCAGCTGCTATTTGTAGCCTGCACGATGAGATTCTGGGGCTCTGATTTATTTTCTGCCCTGTGCCTTTGTTTGAAAGACCCTAGGCCTGCCCAGCTGCCCTGGCTGTTGCTGCTGTCCCACAGTGCTCTTATTTTGCCTCATAGTTGAAGATGTGCTTCCTCCTCAGCTCTCTTCCAGAATATTCAGGGAAATCATCATCTTTATTTATGTATTATTTGCAAACTGTGCATCTGACAAAGGTCTAATATCCAGCATCTATAAGAAACTTAAAACAAATTTACAAGAGAAAAACATCCCCATTAAAAAGTAGGCAAAGGACATGAACAGATACTTTTCAAAAGAAGACATACATGCAGCCAACAAGCATATGAAAAAAGCTTAGCATCACTGATCATCAGAGAAATGCAAATTAATATCACAGTGAGATACCATCTCACACCAGTCAAAGGAGCTATCACTAAAAAGTCAAAAAATAACAGATGCTGGCGAGGTTGTAGAGAAAAGAGAACACTTACATACTGTTGTTAGGAGTGTAAATTCATTCAGCTATTGTGGAAAGCAGTATGGTGATTCCTCAAAGAGCTAAAAGCAGAACTACCATTCAACCCAGCAATCCCATTAGTGGGTATATACACAGAGGAATATAAATCATTCTACCATAAAGACACATACACATGAGTGTTTGTTGCAGCACTATTCACAATAGCAAAAACATGGAATCAACCTAAATGCCATTCAGTGATGAACTGGATAAAGAAAATGTGGTACATATATACCATAGAATAGAATACTATGCAGCCATAAAGAAGAAGAGATCATGTCTTTTGCAGCAACATGGATAGAGCTGAAGGCCATTATCCTTAGCACACTAACACAGAAACAGAAAACCAAATACTCATGTTCTCACTTATAAGTGAGAGCTAAATGATGAGAACTTATGAACACAAAGAAGGGAACAACAGGCCAGGCATGGTGGCTCATGCCTGTAATCCCAGCACTTTGGAAGGCCAAAGTGGGAGGATCACCTGAGGTCAGGAGTTTGAGACCAGCCTGGTCAACATGGTGAAGCCCGTCTCTACTGAAAATACAAAAAAATTAGCTGGGTGTGGTGGTGGGTGCCTGTAATCCCGGCTACCTGGGAGGCTGAGGCAAGAGAATCACTTGAACCTGGGAGGCAGGGGTTGCAATGAGCTGAGATCACACCATTGTACCCCACCCTGGGCAACAGAGCAAGACTCTATCTCAAAAAAAAAAAAAAAAAAAGAAGTGAACAACAGACACTGGGGTGGACTTGTGGGTAGGGGTGGGAGGAGGGAGAGGAGTAAAAAAGATAACTATTGGATACCAGGCTTAATACCTGGGTGATGAAATAATCTGTATACAACAAACCCCTGTGACACAAGTTTACCTATGTAACAAACCTTCACATGTACTGCTGAACCTAAGATAAAAGTTTAAATTTAAAAAAAAAATTGATTTTAGCCAGGCGCGGTAGCTTACGCCTGTAATCGCAGCACTTTAGGAGGCCAAGGCGGGCGGATCACAAGGTCAGGAGTTCGAGACGAGCCTGGCCAACATAGTGAAACCCCGTCTCTACTAAAAATACGAAAATATTAGCTTGGCGTGGTGGCACATGCCTGTAGTTCCAGCTACTTGGGAGTTGAGGCAAGAAAATCGCTTGAACCTGGGAGGCAGAGGTTGTGGGGAGCCAAGATCACGCCATTGCACTCCAGCCTGGGCAACAGAGTGAGACTCTGTCTCAAAAAAAATAAATAAATAAAATAAAATTGATTTTAACAGAATAAAAATAACTTTATTTATTTATTTATAGAGATGGGGGGGGTCTCACTATGTTGCCCAGACTGGTTTTGAACTCCTGGGCTCAAGTGATCTCTCTGCCTCGGCCTCCCAAAGTGCTGGGATTACAGCCATTAGCCACCATGTTTGGCTGATCACCATCATTTAGTAAACATTTACAGTGTCCCCGACATTCTGCTAAGCATTTTTCATGTATTACGTTATTTAATATTCATAAAACACTGTGAGATGGATACCATTGTTATCCTCATTTTAAGATGAGGAAACTGAGGTCCAAGGAGGTTAAATAATTTTCCAAAGCTCACACAGTCAGTAAGAGATAGAGCCAGTATTTGAAAACAGGTATGTTTTCCTGAATCCATGGCCTTAACAATTAAACTATACTTCCTCAAATAAACCTAGGTGAACATCTTTCCTTTGAAAACATATTTCTTCCCACCTGAGTTGTTTATTGCTCTCTTAGCACGACGAAAAATGTGACAAAGGTTTCCCCCTAGATCTCCGTAGCGGCTGCCTGCAACAATACTTTAAGGATTCTGAATCATATTTGGGCTAAGGAAAACGTAGTGATCAATTAGCAAAGGCTGCAGTGGGCTTTCGGAGTATAAATCTATTGATTACGGAGGGGAAGGGACCACAAGTAAGAGTCTTAGAATTTTAATTTTCAAAGATGTATCAATAGAATGATTTTATGAGTTAGGACCACAAGTATGAAGAAGTCATAGGTGTCATTTAAGATATTCCTGAAAGTTATATTGTCCTTAGTGTTCATCAAGCAAAATAGAAAAGCATTTTCATATCTTAGGACCCCACTGAGTTTAAGGTATTTCAAGTTTAATGGAAAATAATTTATGTATACACAAATCCTGTCAAGTTTAAAAGTCTTTGCTGTAAATGACAAACCTATGCACATATATTAAGAGCTGAAGAAACACAAAATGCAAGCAAATGAGCAAACTGGTTTGAAGTTGGCTTCGAATTACAGCTACTTGAGAATAGACAGAGAATTGGGTGATACAGATTAAAGGACAACCTTCTTTCAAGTGTCAAAGCCCAAAACACACTGTTTATAAAAAGAAGCTCAGGATGACAGTGGAGTAGAGAGAAGAATCACTAAGCATCTCCGGAGCTGTAGGTCTCAAGTCTGGACAAAATTTCTAGTTCTAAATGACTTTCATTAATTGGGGTGAGAGGGCAACCTCAGTTAACTAGTACAGTAATCATCTTCATTGAATATTCATTTTTTAAAACCCCAGAAAGATTTAGAACTATGTGTAGAAAATTTTCAGAGAATCAAAACTAATGCATTAATATTAGACATTTGTACTGTGCTAGTTAAGAGACAGTCTTGTAATTCTAATTTAAAATGTGTAATTGTGTAAATAATTTATACTTTTGGCCAGGCACGGTGGCTATCACCTGCAATCCCAGCACTTTCCGAGGCCAAGGTGGGCGGATCATTTGAGGTCAGGAGTTTGAAACCAGCCCGGCCAACGAAGCAAAACCCCATCTCTACTAAAAATTAAAAAAAAAATTGCCAGACATGGTGTCGCACACCTGTGATCCTAGGTGTTCAGGAGCCTGAGGCATTAGAATCTCTTGAAACTGGGAGGCAGAGGTTGCAATGAGCAGAGATTGTGCCACTGCACTCCAGCCTGGGAGACAGAGTGAGACCCTGCCTCCAAAAAATAAAAAATTAAAAAAAATTTATACTTTTGATTTTAAGTTGAAATCTCACTAAATTTATGGGCAGCATTAACATATTTCAGAGCGTTTTCATTTATGCACATGTACATGCACAGCAGTTAAGCATTTAAGAACTCATTTAGTTCATAAAAGCAAAATATTTAAAAAGAAAACAAATATATTAAACTTATAAAATCTAGCCTATTAAAGTGATGTGATGTTTTAGAAAGATTATTTAGCTTTAGCTAACTAGATTTGTAAATGAAACAATATTATTATATCTTCTCAAAAGTGATGGATAGACTGGGCATGGTGGCTCACATCTGTAATCCCAGCGCTTTGGGAGGTCAAGGAGGACGGATCACCTGAGGTTGGGAGTTCAAGACCAGCCTGACCAACACGGAGAAACCCCATCTCTACTAAAAATACAAAATTAGCTGGGGCGTGGTGGCGCATGTCTGTAATCCCAGCTACTCGGGAGGCTGAGGCAGGAGAATCGCTTGAACCCAGGAGGCAGAGGTTGCGGTGAGCTGAGATTGCACCATTGCACTCCAGCCTGGGCAACGAGAGTGAAACTCTGTCTCAAAAAAAAAAAAAAGTGATGGATAAACTTTGCCAGAAAAAATAATAATAATTAGATGTTTAAGCTGAATTTAAAAGTTTTAAAAATTATGCTTATGAATGTATAATTATAATAAATTTAATACCTATTGTGTATTCCAAAGTAAACCTCTGAACAACGTTTTCCGCATACAAAAGCCTCCACAGCACCCTAAACCTTCCACGCATAGGGAGCATCTCTTGCTTCTGATTTGATTCCACCAGCATCCTGAGATAACTAAGACTCTGTGGCCAATCTTTAGGGGATTTCAATTCAATTCATCTCAACACCCCTTTATTGAGCACCTTTTCTGGGCCCAGCACAGTGTTAGCACTGGCTATTCAACAAAGAAGAAGATCCAGAGTGTTGCCTGCATAGAACCTATAGTTTCGGGGAAGACAGGCAAGTAAACAGTTATGCTAGTGGCGGTTTACCACATTATTTCCCATGGTGGTGGGATGGGTTGAGCACCTCTTCATACCAGCTCATTCTTGCCGATGCCATCTTGCCATTGTTGGTCTATGATAGTTTTTGTTGGTGGCACCATGAAACTATTCAAGAAGCCAGATATTATTTCTTTCATTGGTTGAAGAAGCTGTGTCTCCACCTGCATAAAGGATTTCTTAGGGTCAAAGTTGCATTCGCTACACAGAATGGCTGTTGTTTCTCCCATTTTTCTCATCAGGTGAATAGTCCCACCTTCACCCCAATCATGCAGATTAGGAGATTTGACTCCTCATTAACTCCACCATCCTCCAAGCTCTACTAAGTCTATTTCCACCATTACACCATGGTCATTTCCTGTCAGAGACAAATGGAGATTATCATAATTCAACATATAGATCAAGTCTCCAGTTACATTCATAGATCTTTGCTTGTATGCAATTTGCATCCTGGGACATATTTCCAAGCATACTTTCTCAAGTAGAAGATCTAGAGAGTCACATCCAAATGAATTTTATGTAAATGTCCTAAATCTCCAACAGCATGTTAAAAATTCTACAGTTTGCATGTCATCTTGAGCCCTCCACACAGGACCTTGGCCATGTCCCATGAAGTTTGGGTCTGCTCTATAATCTCAATAAGAGAATTCTAATTTTTTTCCAGAAAGCTCCTGAAGATGGAGAAGTTTGAGAGATGGTATCAAAGATATCATGATACCTCTTATACCTTCCTATATGGGATTAAGAACTTTTCCACAAAGATCCTTCTAATCCTAAGGGCTATGTGGATCGGCTGTCTGAACCTTCCAGGCTAACAACACAGAGCAAATATTTTTAAGCTGAAGCTAGGACAACCAACTTGAAAAAATGCTTGACAGCATTTACAAAAAGCTCAGTGTGACCCAGCAATTCTACTTCCAGGTTTATACCCAACAGAAATGCATTCTTATGCTCATGAGAAGACAAATAACAGCATTACTCACGACATCAAAAACTGAAAATAATTCAATTTTATCACAATGTATAGTGGATAACTATGGTGTATTCATGTAAGAGAATATTAAATAGCAATGAGAATGAATGATATGGATGAATCTCACAAAACTAATGCTAAGCAAAAGTTGCCAGACACAGAAGGAACATACTATATGATTCCATCTTATGAAGAACAAAACAGGAAAAGTTAACTTTAGCTATTTTAAGTCATAATATTCTGTTTCTCTCTCTAGAGGCTGGTTATATCAATTATTGTGTTTGTAAAAATTAATTGAACTGTACGCGTATTATATACTCACACTTTTCCACATGTATGTTACTCTCTACTAACATTTTAAATTGGAACAACAAACTATTTTAGATATAAAAAAGCAATTTTCAAAATATAATATTTTCTTCAAAATAATATGGGAAGCTGGGAACTTGGCAGACTATAAATTAAACAATATTGGCTATGAGTTGACAGTTATTAAAGCTGGATGATGGGTCATTATACTCACAGAAAAAAGTGTCATTATACTATTCTTATATTAAAACTTTTGGTACTAAAAATACCAAAGCAAGGGAAAAACCTTCTTTTCCATCCCATGCTAATTATGACTGGAAAGAGATCGTCCTGAGGAAAGAAAATCACCTTTTCCCTCTTTCTCTTAGTGTGAACCTTTGGAAAAGCATAATTTAGTAAATGTCCTTTTATCCAATATAAGATAGTCCCTAATCAAAAACATCTGTTACCCTGATTGTTTTACCACACCTACTTTGACATTTATTTTTGCAATTTGAATGTATTTATGCATCCGACCTAGAGTTTTTTTTAGACAGAGTTTCACTCCTGTCACCCAGGCTGGAGTGCAGTGGTGTGATCTTGGCTCACTGCAAATCCCACCTCACCGGTTCAAGCAATTCTCCTGTCTCAGCCTCCTGAGTAGCTGGGATTACAGGTGCCCGCCACCACGCTTGGCTAATTCTTGTATTTTTAGCAGAGATGGGGTTTCACCATGTTGGCCAGGCTGGTCTCAAACTCCTGACCTCAGGTGATCCACCCGCCTTGGCCTCCCAAACTGCTGGGATTACAGGCATGAGCCACTGCTCTTGGCCTCAACCTAGTTTTTATAGAAATAACTCTCCACATTTATATTTCATCTGTTTACTTAATATTTAATTAAATTCCAACAACAAAAATAACTGGCATAAACAGGTTTGGGAACAAATAATACTCTTGATAAGCCTATAACTGACTCAACTGGTAGGAGAAGAAAGCCAGTACACTTAAGAGTAGCCCAGAATGCTAGTGGCGTCAGTCAGTCACTATGTTTTTTTAGAGAGAGTAAAGGGAGGTGGTTAATTTTGTCATTCAGTTAAGTGGAGGAGGCTAAAGATAGTTAAAATAGTAGTTTATTTCTATTATTTCTTGACTACTTACTGTGAGTCGAGTGCTCTCCTGAGCATTTTGCATATATTATTTAATGCTTATATTCTGCATGCATAATTCCATTTCATCCTTACCATATCCTTGAAAAATTAACATCATCTTTTCATAGATGGTAAAAACACGTTTCAGAGAAATTGGGTAATTTGCCCAAATATGTACATGTTTCAGACGTAGAGGAACCAGAATTTGAACCTGGGTTGTCTGTTTCCAATGCCCACTCCTTACCCCTGTGCTGTACCATTTCCTATGCTCAGCCACGAAAGCTGGGAAGAAATAAGATGCCTGCCCAGTACCTAAACTAGGAGAACTCCATTTGACGGCAAATGTCCTCCAGGTGTAAGTTTCAATGGCTCAGATCATCATTAGAGCTTATGAAATGGGTGATGGGGCTAGAGACTGGAGAAAGCCAAATCCCCTGCTTCATCTTTTCTTAGGAAACTGACTCTGGAAGGAGAAAAAAACACTTGCAAGGATGATGTCATAAATAATAGCAGTGAGGCACTCTCAGCAAGAAAATTTACTTTCTTTAATGAATTTGTGTGGGTATCTTCAGACTTTTACATGTCAGACTCTTTTATCCTCAACTGTCTTGGTTATATCATTAATACAGTCCAGTTGCCCTCTTCTGAGGAAGAGAGGAAAACATACCTCAGATCTTAACCAGATGCTTTGAATTTGCTCATGGAATATAAAATGGGAAATTTCTTTAGAAAATTAGACAGGTCATTTGCAACCCTGTTACATGTCAGAATCTCCAGGGCAACTTTTACTAAACACCCATGTTGAAGCTTCACTGCCTTGCCCAAGCCCATATTCTGATTTAATTGGCATGGAGTGGGGCGGGGCTCTGGCACAACTATTTTTAAATTAATATTCTCCTAAAGGGGAGAAAACGTGCAGCCCAGAGTTGCAACCACAGCTCTCAACAGTCAGACTTTTTTAAAAAATAAATTTTATTCTAAATATTTAAGGTAAACAACATGACGTCATGAGATACATATAGACAATAAAATGGTTACTATAGGGAGCAAATTACCATACCCATCATCTCACATAATTACCCCCTTTGGTGTGTGTGGCAAGAGCAGCTAACATCTGCTCATTTAGCAAAAATCCTAAATACAGTATTACTAACTCTATTCCACATATTGCACATTAGATCTCTAGACTTATTCAGCCTACACATTGGCAACTTTTTCCCCTTGACCTACATCTCCCTATTTCTTCCCCTACTCCCTCAGTAACCACTCCCCTTCCACCTGATAACCAGTGCTTTATTCTCTATCATCATATATTCTTTAAAAAATTTTTTTTCCTGTGTCTGGCTTATTTCGCTTAGCATAACGTTCTCCAGATTCATCCATGTTATGGCAAATGGCAGGATATCCTTCTTTATTTAAGGCTGAATGATGTTCCACTGTATAGATTTATCACAGTGTCTTTATCTATTCATTTGTCAATGGACTCTTAGGTTGTTTCCATATCTTGCTATTGTGACTAATGCTACAATGAACATGGTAGTGCACATATCTTTACAAAGCGGTGATTTCATTTTTGGGGGGTATATACCCAGAAGGAGGATTTCTAGGTCATGTGGTAGTACTATTTTTAGTTTCTTTAGGAACCTTCATTCTGCTTTTTTTATATGGCTACACCAATCTGTATTCCCACCAGCAGTGTAAAAGGGTTCCCTCTCCTACACACCCTCACCAACATTTGTTATCTCTTATCTTTTTTATGATAGCCCATCCTAGCTGGTGTGAGGCGACACAGTGGTTTCGATTAGTGATGTTGAGCACATTTTCATATACCTGTCGCCCATTTTTATGTCTCTTTTGGAGAAATGTCTATTAAATCCTTTACCCATTTTAGACTTTTAAGGGCTGAATAGCTGTAGCTGATTGGTCCAGAGGAATGATTCCCACAGATGTAGCTCGCTTTATGCAATAGGGGTATTTCGAAAAGGCCACTGTAAATATAACACCATCAAACCCAATAACTTTATAATTTCAAAAGGCCTATTCTTCATTTGTGGCTGCTCATTGACACGTCAGCTTTTTTGTCAAGTTGCTAATGATCTAAAACCATCAACATTAAATACACTAAGAAAGCTGATATAAAAGGAATTCTGCACTGAACAGTTTTATGGTTACTTTTAACAGCCTAATACCAAGCTGAGCATTGTATCATATTCTGTTTATAAGTCATACTAAAAATCAGTTTTCTCTCCCATTTCCTACCAAAGTTACCATATATCTTTCGTTTAAAATCTCAAGGTACAGTAAGGTGAAATTTTAGTGTTATATCAGACAGAGAATGAACAAGCAGATTTTTTTAAAACCCAAAGTTGTAGCTAAAAAAGAAAATGTGAAAAACACCTGTAAAACAATAAAATAAAAAAAAAAGAAAATGTGTTTGCATAAATAAGGGAGCAAATAATTCTACATTATTTAATTTCTTAAATGGAAAATTCACCACTTATTTTTTTCCCAATAACAATATCATGATGTTCTTGGAGCACAGGGGTCAACCTAAATGAGAACAAAAACAAAGATATTTGTTGTTTTATTGGGCCATATCACCTAATTGTTTATGAAATATTCTTCTATAATGGACTCTAACCTTAAATGCTCTATCTGGGGTTGAAAGGGAAAGAAGAGGAGGGGAAGAAGATCTGGATTTTTTTTTTTTTTGAGATGGAGTCTCTCTCTGTTGCCCAGGCTGGAGTGGGGCAATCTCAGCTCACTGCAACCTCCGCCTCCCGGGTTCAAGAGATTCTCCTGCCTCAGCCTCCCTAGTGGCTGGGATTACAGGTGCACACCACCATGCCCGGATAATTTTTGTAGAGTCAGGGTTTCACCACATTGGCCAAGCTGGTCTCGAACTCCTAACCTCAAGTAATCCCCCCTCCTTGGCCTCCCAAAGTGCTGGGATTACAGGCATGAGCCACTGCACCCGACCAGATCTGGATTTTTTTAAAAGAACTATACTTTTGCAGGCTATGGTGATGATAAGCAAATCCCATATGTGGTGGTACAAAATCTTCCCCAGAGGACTCAAAGAATTTTCACACATGGCATAGTTGGCCAAATGTATAATAAATTTGTTATTTTTTCCTTTCCAAACATACCCAAAAGCTCGTCTTTCTTATCTACTCCGAGAAAGCCTCACATGCTTGAAATGTTCTTTGAGACAAGAACTCTGTCAGGACATATCCATATTTATAGAAAGGGCAGGCTGGGTGTGACGGCTCATGCCTGTAATCCCAGCCCTTTGGGAGGCTAAGGTGGGAGGATCACTTGAGCCTGGGAATTCAAGACCAGCCTGGGCAACATAGCGTGTAACATCTCTACATTAAAAAAAAAAAAAAATTAGCTGGCCATGGTGGCATGTGCCTACAGTCCCAGCTTCTTGGGAAGCTGAGGCAGGGGGATTGCTTGAGCCCAGGAGGTTGAGGCTGCAGTGAGCTATGATTGAACCACTGCAATCCAGCCTGGGTGACAGAGCTAGACCCTGTCTCAAAAATTAATCCACAAGTAAAATAAAAAATAAAGAATATTAAACTCTTACACTCAGCCTTTCTTTTTTAAAGAAAACTAACACCTGCACATAGAGAACAACACAAAACAAACTGATGTGTTATCACGTTTTTCCCACTTAGAGTCTGCAGTTCCTGCCTTCCTCCATGGCCATTTTAATGCACATATTTATAGTTTTAATGAAATGGACATTATGTATATATTCATCCCATCAACTTCACATATTCAAGAGTAATTTTCTTAATATAATTGACTAAAACCACTCTCAACACAAAACCTTAAAGTCCTTGCAACTCTGCAGTCCCCTCTATAAACGGAGTAAATTCAGCCAAAATATGAGTCTGATATTTTTAAGAGAAAGAAGTCATTCTGCAGATGCAGAAAACCAATTTTCTCCTCTAGAATTTCCTGGTTTCTAAAGACAGAGAAAGAGAGACACTGGTTGAGAGGCCCTCCTATGGGGGAAGATTCTTCATCCCAAAATAAACTCTTCCTGCTCAAGTTAGAGCCTCGGGCTTAAAGTATCAGCATCCTGGAACTAGAACAATACAAACATGGGATAAGGGGAATGAGAGAGGAGCATTTGTATGTGATGTGGTCATTGCCGTGTTAGTGCAGGCTCACTGACATGTTGGGAATGCAATGAAGTTAGAGGGGATTTTAGTCCATCATAAAGGAAGACTAGGTGCCATCTACTGGTGAGGAAACTGAAAATAAAACATACTTTGCATTTTTCCAACAAAATTCAGTCTCTTCAGACAATGCAGTCTGCAAGATATATGGATATTTATAGGATATGCAAATGATCATCCTGTGGTCATGATAAGTTGGAAAGGCTGCTTAACCCATTCGCCAGCCTGATTTGGAAACTTATTTTTCCATTTCTAAAAATTTACTTTACAAATCTCTGTGCACAAAGTGGTAAAGTTATGTAAAAGGATGTTCACTGTGGCACTGTTTGCAATTGCTAAAAAAAGCCCAAAGTCCAGTAATGAGAGTTTGATTAAATATATTATACATATTTGCTGTACATTAAAATGGTACATACAAAGGAACATATGCACTGGGCATGGTGGCTCACGCCTGTAATCCCAGCACTTTGAGAGGCCAAAGCAGGAGGACTGCTTGAGCTCAGGAATTTAAGACCAGCCTGGGCAACATGGTGATACCCCATTTCAACAACAACAACAACAAAAAAAAAATTAGCCAGGTGAGGTGGCATGTGTCTGTCGCCCCAGCTACTTGGGAGGTTGAGGTAGGATGATCATTTGAGCCTGGAAGCTTGAGGCTGCAGTGAGCTGCAATAGCACCACTGCACTCCAGCCTGGGCAACAAAGTGAGCCCCTTTCTCAAAATAAATAAATAAATAAATAAATAAATAAAATAAAAAATTAAATTAAATTAAAAAAAAGAAAAAAAACTTCCCTCTCCCAAACAAAGGAGCATATAACCATCAAAATGATAAGAATTATACATATTGACATGGAGTAATGTGTTTGAGATACATTGAGGGAAACAAGCAAATTGCAAAACAGCATTATAATAACATCCTGTAATATAACAGTATTATGATAGAGTCCAGGATTATAATAGAACCCATAAAGTTATTACTATAGTTAATAATAATATGGAGGATTACTTATTAACTTGGTAACAGTTTTTATTTTTTATACCGTGTACCACTTGTAACCAGGATAAAAAAGAAACTGACAAAAGTAATTTTAAAAAGAAAATGAAAAGTTTTAGAAGTTTTATCTATATAACATTTTATTATTTAAATTTGCTGTATTTCTAAAGTAAAAATGGCCTATACTCTTCTAAAAACTTTAGTTTGTACAAACACTTCCTCTTCTAGGAATTTATTCTACAAAAAGCACTTGCAAAAGATGGCAAAGATTATGTAAAATCACGTAGATGTAGACAAGATATAGAAAAGCTATAGAAATTTTAAAATCCCATGCAATATAGAAAAGAAAAAATAAATCATCTGAAATTCCATTACCCATGCATTCAATGTCATTGGTGTATTTCCTTCCTTTCTGTCAATCTCACACCGTTCTATACACATGTATTTCATGTGCTGTTTTCTGTGTTGTTTTAACTCTAGAGACTGACCCGTTTTATAATGTCCTCTCTTTCATCTCCTCTATTGCATCTTGATGTCACTTGAAACAAAACATTTGCAGTTTTACCTTCCTATCTCAACACTTTCTCTTTGTTAGCCTTGTTTAAATATTGTTTACATGTCGCCAAGGATAAATCTCCAGCATCTTCCAAAATAGAGACCAAGGAAACGATCAGATTTCTTTAATGCTCAACTCAGTGCAATAACTTGGCTAATGGAATAAATACACGCTGAACAGTGGCACACTTGCCTTATGAAGAAAGGGCTGGCTGAGAATATCACAATTCTTGCAAAGTCCGACAAATTACAAAAATAAGATCCTTTGGTGAAAGGAAAGCCGCTGATCGGGTTCAAATCCAAGTGAAGAACAGCGTAAGCCACAAGGAAAGCTTATTTGGAAGAGAAGCACCTGATATGTCCGCCTTCTATATATTTCCCTATAACTGGCAGAGAAACTCCTACTGGATTTGGAAAAGTAAAAATAAGGAGTTTATGCAACTTTGAGTGTTGACAGAAAAATTTATCCAAGTGCTTTGCTTGCCTAAGAGGGGAGGAGAGAACAATTGGGTTGACAATGATGACAGGTCCGAGACTTGTGGGTTTAGTTACGTGAGGCCCTACTGTATTACACTTCAGGGTTATTTTGAGATGGTCACGAGAGAGCACTTGAACCCTGAACAAAGAACCTCTCTTGCCTTATCCTATTACAGATGACAGTGAAGTGTTTTAAGTGCCCGGAGTCTGATGCAACTGCAAAACCCCAACCAAAAGGCAAGTGAATGGGGGGTCTTCCATTCTCTTGCTTTGCTTTCCTCTTTAAAAGCCTCTTTGTTCCAAAACTCATGTTTCGCCCTGTTTTTCTGCGGCATTTATAATGGTCTGCCTAAGGAGACATTAGACAGGACTGGTGACATGTTCAGAGTGGGCGTCTGAATTAGCTGGTGACAGGTACAGTAAGAAAATCTTAATAACTCCAGTTACACTTGGTTTTAGCCAACTTTGTCCTCAGAGCAAAAGGAAAACTAGCATTACCAAGAACACATGCCCAAAGCCAGCTTTCCTTGCAGATAAGCAATTCAGGAATATTCAAGCCTTCAAGCCTTTCCTATGACAGAGACAGTAGAATAAATTTAAAATACTAATAAAGAGAAAGCCACTCCTTAAAAAATAATAAACAAGCCACACTATACTTTGTTGGACAATATTTACATCCCTCCAAGTTCAACATTACTTGGTAGCCACTCTGGAAAATATCTCTGTGGCAAGTTAAGACATCGATCCCAAGTCCTGTCTTAGATTAGCACCAGTTAACTGGAGTCTTCCTCCCTTTCCTTCCATTTACATGAACTTGACTAAGATCCCAAATGAATAAGGATCTTTCATCTCAGCACCAGACTTCCAGAGCAGTTATAAATATAGGCTCAAACTGCCTCACTCATGGGGTTAGGTTTTAACTTCTGACATACGAAGTGCTAATGGTTTCAGTGAATACCTGGCCAAAAATCTGCAGTGCTGTCTTTGCTCGTCATATATTATGATTCTATTATCCCAGCTAGTAACAGCTCAGTCAAATGAAAATTTCTCCCAGCCCCTTTGTTGTTGTTTTTTTTCTCACTCCCTTTAGATTTAGTTACAATGCTCAAGCTCTATATCATCAGAAGGTTTAATAGAAGAAAGAAACCATTCTTAACTCTCCAACTCAAGGTGAATGTGATAATGTCACTGGTACAATGATTTATCAAGTACAGCAGTCCTATGTGGTAGGTATTAATGTCCTCATTTTACGGATGAGGAAATTCAGGAATAAACGTTTAAGTAGTTTGCCCAAGGTCACAGAGCTGGGAAGTAAGGTGGAGGTGAGATTTGACTCTAGATTGTCAGGCTGCAAACCTATATTCCAAACCTCAGAGAAAATAAGTTCGCTAACACCCTGGTCTTTCATCTTCTCTGCTCCTCACAACAATAAGCTTGTTCATGCATTTCGAGCAAAATCTGGTAATGTGTTTCTTCTCAATTTGATTATTCAGTAACTCACTTTCACATGTGACCCTTAAAAATTTAAGCAATAACATCTACTCCAAAGATGTCAAATCACCTTATATTCACGGATAGAATTAATTTTGCAACTGTGAAAATTCTACCACATGCGTAACATCCAACAGACATATCAATAGAGTAGAGGTGGTATTTTAAGTTACAATCAGGTTGTTGAGTCATCCCTTCCTCCCCTCCACCCTGGCAAACCCCCCTGCTGCTATTCCTTTCATGTGCCTTTCCACTCCTAATTTGGTTGTCTCCCCTTAATTTGACTATGACACATTCTTTCCTACAGGTTGCCAAACATCCTTGTTATGGGACTCAAGAAAAAGCCACGTAAAAGGAAAGAAAGCTTTCCTTTCCTCTCTGGCCTGTCAAAGGGCATTCTCCCCGCACCCAGACTCCTAAAGAGGAAGGATTCTTGCTTATGGAAGGAAAGCTAGGTGAGCCTAAAGAAAAAGTTGGGGATGGAGGTAGTAGGAGTTAGAGTGAAAGGAAAACATTCTGGGAATGGATGTTAGACGTTTGGAGATGCTGGAGAAAGGTTTGCAACTGCAGAGTGCAAAGGAGGTAGATGAGACAGGAGAGAGGATTTTAATAAGTGCTGCAGTGAAATATGCATTTGGGTTTTTTTTTTTGAAATTTCTTTGAGAGATGCAAGCAAAAGTGGAAGACTTTTATAATTTTTTTTCTGTTGACTTTTGCTTCTTGTTTTTTTGTTTTGTTTTGTGTTTGAGACA
The DNA here is from genome assembly GCF_000001405.40 of Homo sapiens. Lineage (NCBI taxonomy): Eukaryota > Metazoa > Chordata > Mammalia > Primates > Hominidae > Homo > Homo sapiens. The sequence goes on along the minus strand of NC_000012.12, from coordinate 101,565,978 downwards.
GAGTCTCACTCTGTCACCCAGGCTGGTGTGTAGTGGTGCAATCTCAGCTCCCTGTAGCCTCCGCCTCCCAGGTTCAAGCGATTCTTGCCCCAGCCTACCAAGCAGCTGGGACTGCAGGTGTGCACCACCACACCCGGCTACTTTTTGTATTTTCAGTAGGCATGCGGTTTCGCCATGTTGGCCAGGCTAGTCTCAAACTCCTGGCCTCAAATGATCTGTCCGCCTCAGCCTCCCAAAGTGCTGGAATTACAGGCGTGAGCCACCGCGCCCGGCCAACTTTAGCTTCTTTAAATGCAACTCTGTGCAGAGATGGGTATGTACGGAACTTCCCCCTTCTAGATTTATTATTGTTACATCTTTGTCCACACTTCACATCCCTAGGCAAAGATCAAGGAGAAGACTGTTTCTGGAAGAGGCAGAGGGAACAGACAACGCGAAGTCCCTAAATGGGAACAAGTTTGAGTTATTGGAGGAAGTCGGTGTGAGTGGAGTTTAGGGGAAGGCAGGGAGTTACAAAATGAGGTTGGAGTGATGGGCAGAGGTTAGATCCTGCAGCACTCTGAAGTTCAGGAAAGATTTCAGAGTCTATTCTAAGTGTAGGGGAAAATAAATGACTTAAAACCTTCCATTGGAAGGTTTTAAGAAGAGGAGTAGTGTTATGAACCAAATGTGTATGTCTCCCCAAAATTCATATGTTGAAATCCTAACCTCCAATGTGATGGTGTTAGGAGGTGGGTCTTTCAGGGGTGATTAGGTCATGAGGGTAGAGCCTCATGAATGGGATTAGTGCCCTTATGACAAGAGACAGGAGAGCTTGCCGTCCTTCCGCACTCCAGCATGTGAAGATTCAAGAAGATGGCCATCTGTAAAACCAGGAAGTGGATCCTCACCAAATACTGGATTGGCCAAGCACCTTGATCTTGAACTTCTCAGCCTTCAGAACTGTGAGAAATAAATTTATGTTGTTTGTAAGCCACCAGTTTATGGAAATTTGTCATAACAGCACAAACTGAGACAAATGGAATGATTTATTTTATTTTTTAAGAGTTTCTGGGCCAGGTGCAGTAGTTCAGGTCTGTAATTCCAGCACTTTGGGAGGCCAAGGTAGGAACACTGCTTGAGCTCAAGAGTTTGAGACCAGCCTGGGCAACATGGTGAAACCCCGTCTCTACAAAAAAAAAAAAATACAAAAACTAGCCAGCCGTGGTGGCACACACCTGTGGCCCCAGCTACTGGGGAGGCTGAGGTGGAAGTGTTGCTTGAGCCTGGGAGGTTGAGGCTGCAGTGAGCCATGATTATGCCACTGCACTCCAGCCTAGGCAAGAGCAAGACTTTTAAAAAAATAAGTAAATAAATAAGACTTGGTTTGGGCACGGTAGCTCACGCCTGTAATACCAGCACTTTGGGAGGCCGAGGTGGGCAGATCACCTGAGGCCCGGAGTTCAAGACCAGCCTCACCAACATGGAGTAACCCCATCTCTACTAAAAATACAAAAATTAGCCGGACGTGGTGGTGCATGCCTGTAATCCCAGCTAACAAACATGCCTATAACAAACATCCCAGATAACATGCCTGTAATCCTAACTAACAAAGAGGCTGAGGTGGGAGAATCACTTGAACCCAGGAGGTGAAGGTTGCGGTGAGCCAAGATCGCACCATTGCACTCCAACCTGGGCATCAAGAGCAAAACTCCGTCTCAAAAAAAAAAAAAAAAAAAGACTTTCTGGTTGCTGTTGCTGTGATGAGATTGGATTTATGGGGCAGGTGGCAGCAGAATCAGGGAGATCAGCTAACAGGTTTTTACATCTGTCTAGCTGGCTTGGATGATACTGGTGGCAAGGGGATGGACAGATGTGTAATATTTGGGATATGCTTTGGAGATTAGAGTTTACAGGGTTTGCTGATGAATTAATGTAGGGAGGTGGGGGAAAAAGAAGAAATCAAGGACCTCATAAATTTTTAGCATGAGTCTCTGGATGTGTGATATTGCCATTTATTGAGATGGGGGAGACAGAAGAGGGAGCAGATTTGGGGAAAAAAAGTAAAAAGTTCTGTTTTGGACATGCTGTTTGGGATGCCTGGTACAGACATCCACGTGGAGAGATTAAGTAGGCAGTTGACTGTTTGAATCTAGAGTTCATTCAGGGAAGAGTTCAGGGCTGGAGGTATTGATTTGAGAGTCATTGGCATATCAATTGAACCACAGGTCCAGATGAGATGTCCTAAAATTCTGCTGCTACAGAAGACAGCGGGCCCAGGAACAAACTCTGAGACTCCAAATTTACAGGCAGACCAGAGTTAGTAAAGGGGACTGAGGAGTAGAGGCTTGAGAGCTAAAAAGAAAACAAGTAGAGTATGATAGCAGGGAAGCTGAAAAGAAGAAAAGTTTTAAAAGAAAGAAAGCCAAAGGTACCAAATGCTGTTGAGGGATGAAAATAACACTAGAGAAATGACTGCTGAATTTGGCATGATGGAAGTCACCAGTGACTTTGGTGAGTCCTAGTGGATAGGAGGAAAGGAAACCAAATTGAAGTGACTTGAGACGGAGGTGAGGAAGTGGAAGCATCAGCTTCCAATGACTCAAGACACTGTCATGTGTGAAGGAGAGGCAGCTCAAAGACAATGCTCAAGACAGGCTTTGTTTTGCTTTTACATGAAAGATTCTAGAGAATGTTTTCATGCTGATGGCAATGATCAACAGCTTTATTTAATCCTCACAATAAACTCCTGATGAAGGTATTATTAAATGCATGCTCATTTTATAGATGAGGAAACTGTAGGCCAGAGAGGTCAAGCATTTTCCTGAAAGTTGGTTCAGCTGTTAAGTGGTGGAGCCAAGATTCTAAATCTGAGCATTACAGAAATAGCAATGTCAGCCGGGCATGATGGCTCATGCCTGTAATCTCAGCACTTTGGGAGGCCGAGGCGGGCAGATCATCTGAGATCAGGAGTTCAAGACCAGCCTGGCCAAAAATTAGCGGGGCATGGTGGCAGGTGCCTGTAATCCCAGCTACTCAGGAGGCTGAGGAGGAGAATTGCTTGAACCCAGGAGGCGGAGGTTGCAGTGAGCCAAGATTGCGCCACTGCACTCCAGCCTGGGGGGGCAGAGCGAGACTCCATCTCAAAAAAGAAAAGAAATAAATAAATTACAAATTACAATGCAATTTCTATAATGCTCAGATTTAGAATCTTGGCTCCATCACTTACCAGCAGAGTTATTATAATTACAATGTAATTTCTGTAATTAACAGGGCTAATCAAACAATAGGGGCTTAATAAAAAATGTATAGTTAAATATGCAGTCAATTCACTTATGAATAACATGGAGAAAAAGGAAAGCATAAAAAGGGAAGAAAAAAGAAAATATCAGAGTAGCATATATTACTATGTTTGAGCTCATGGAAAGCAGAGATTAAATTAGGTGAAGTTATTATCATAGTTATTTTTATGTTTCTTGTAACTAGAACCCTCTGGGTGACATTTGAGCATGACCTAGGTTTATACTTAATTCTGTGTTATAATTGGTTGTGCACTACTGAGATACTGGATTCAATTATCCTTGGATGTCACTAAGTGATTTTTTTCCCCTGTGTTTTCATTCTCCATGTATTTTGCAGTTCTTGCCAATGAATAGGTGTTGGATGCCTGCTATTTATCCATGATTGTGCTGGGTGAAAGAAAAACAAAAATGAGTAGGGGTGATAGTCTAGTTAGGGTCATCATAGAAAACCCAATAGTTCCAGTACAGGGTGGTAGGTGCTCTGGAGGAAGAATGTACCCATGCAGAATGGACAGTGATTCCACATTCTGTGGGAAGGAGAGAAGAGAATGATCAAGCAAGTTTTTCAGGTGAGGCTGGAGGGATGTGGAGGAGAGAAAGCAGCCAGGGCAAAGGCAAGCAGGTGTGTATGTCATGGTGTGTGCAGGGACTGGTGAGAGGGCTGGTTTGGCCAGAGCAAAGGGTAGGGGCCTGGGTGACTAACAAAGAAGCTGAGCCAGTTCTGAGGGGACTCGTCTGCTCTACTAAGGACCAGGGGCTTCTAGGGTTTTTGTTTGTTTGTCACCAGGCTGATATAGTTTTCCTGCATAGGTACACAGTGTCTGTGTGTTCCCTGCTCTTGGATCTCTGACTTGAGTGAATCTGCTCCAACTGCCTCAGCCAGCCCTGGCCTTGGTCTTTCTGGCAAGACATCCTAGAAGACTGTATTTTGCTAAGACTGCAACTGCCAGCCACAAGCTTGATGAGCAGCCTAGGGAATGTGGTACTATTCTGGGAGGAGGGTGTGTGTGTGTGTGTGTGTGTGTGTGTGTGTGTGTGTGTGTGTGTGTAGGGAATGTGGGGGAGACATAATAAACACTTGTATAAAGCCTACCACAAATCATTACTTTTTATTGTCAAAGAGTAGGCTAAACAATTTTGTTTCTTGGATTTGCTTTCAATATGATATAGTTACTTAAGCTATTATGTAATTAAATAATTAACCACCTTTAAAGTAAAGTATCAGGTGGGTGCACTGGATCCCACCTGTAATCCCAACCCTCTGGAAGGCAGAGGTGGGAGGATTTTTTGAGGCCAGAAGTTCAAGACCAGCCTGGTCAACATAGCGAGACCCTGTCTTGTTTAAATAAAAATTTTAAAATAAAAAAAAAGAGCTTCTGCACAGCAAAAGAAACTATCACCAGAGTGAACAGGCAACCTACAGAATGGGAGAAAAATTTTGCAATCTACCCAACTGACAAAGGTCTAATATTCAGAATTAACAAGGATCTTAAAGAAATTTACAAGAAAAAAACAAACAACCCATCAAAAAGTGGGCAAAGGACATGGACAGACACTTCTCAAAATAAGACATTTATGTGGCCAACAAATACATGAAAAAAAGATCAACATCATTAATCATTAGAGAAATGCAAATCAAAATCACAATGAGATACCATCTCACTCCAGTTAAAATGGCAATTATTAAAAAGTCAAGAAACAACAGATACTGGTGAGGCTTTGAGGAAATAGGAATGCTGTTACACTGTTGGTGGGAATGCAAATTAGTTCAACCACTGTGGAAGACAGTGTGGTGATTCCTCAAGGATCTGGAACCAGAAATACCATTTGACCCAGGAATCCCATTACTGAGTATGTACCCAAAGAAATATAAATCATTCTATTATAAAGATACATGCACATGTATGTTTATTGCAACACTATTCACAATAGCAAAGACATGGAATCAACCCAAATGCCCATCAATTATAGACTGGATGAAGAAAATGGGCCGGGCACGGTGGTTCACGCCTATAATCCTAACATTTTGGGAGGCAGAGGCGGGTGGATCACCTGAGGTCAGGAGATCGAGACCAGCCTGGCCTACATGGTGAAACCCCCATCTCTACTAAAAATACAAAAAAAAAAAAAAATTAGCCGGGTATGGTGGCAGGTGCCTGTAATCCCGGCTACTTGGGAGGCTGAGGCAGGACAATCACTTGAACCTGGGAAGCGGAGGTTGCAGTGAGCTGAGATCGTGCCATTGCACACCAGCCTGGGCAACAAGATCGAAACTCCGTCTCAAGAAGGAAAGAAAGAAAGAAAGAAAGAAAGAAAGAAAGAAAGAAAGAAAGAAAGAAAGAAAGAAAGAAAGAAAGAAAGAAAGAGAAAGAAAGAAAGAGAAAAAGAAAGGAAGGAAGGAAGGAAGGAAAGAGAGAGAGAGAAAGAAAGGAAGGAAGGAAGGAGAAAAAAAGAAAAGAAAGGAAAGGAAAAGAAAAAAGAAAAAAAAAGGAAGGATATATGGTACATATACACCATGGAATACTATGCAGCCATGAAAAGGAATGAGATCATGTCCTTTGCAGGGACATGGATGAAGCTGGAAGCCATCGTCCTCAGCAAACTAACACAGGAACAGAAAACCAAACACCACATGTTCTCACTCATAAGTGGGAGCTGAACAATGAGAACACATGGACACAGGAAGGCAAATAACACACACCAGTGCCTGTAGGGATGGTGGAGTGGAGGTGGGGAGAGCATCAGAATAAATCACCAGTGCATGCAGGGCTTAATACCTAGGTGATGGGTTGATAGATGCAGCAAACCACCATGGCACACGTTTACCTATGTAACAAACCTGCACGTCCTGCACACGTATCCTGGAACTTAAAATAAAATTAAATTAAAAGAATAAATAAATAAAATAAAGTATCAATAAAATTAAAGAGACAAATAATTCAATGTTAAAATACCAACTACTGACATTTACAAAATTTTAAGACCTTTTGCTTTTAATCATTGTGTAAGTAATTTTTGTAAAATTAAGATCGAGCAACATATCCTAATCTGCCTTTTCAAGTAACAGTAACTTACAGAGTTTTCCATTCACATATTCATTTACTTATTCATTTCATAAGTTATAAAGTGGTAGTAATCATAATGATATGCATATCTCATTTAATCCTCAGAGCAAATCTATGAGCTAGACACTATTGCTATTGCCATTTCTAAATAAAGACATCAAAGCTCACAGATAAGCAACGTGCCTATGGTCACACAGCCAGCAACTAGTAGAGCCAGAACTCAAACACATGCCCAACAGATACCATACTTCTGGCCTCTACTATTCTATTGCTCTATGACTTAGTACCTTGTGGTTTGCTTAACTACTGCCTGCTTTTCAGCCATGTGGGTTTTCTATAGCACTGCCGTAGAAACATTCATACCCTTTTTTATTTATTTATTTTTTATTATACTTTAAGTTCTAAGGTACATGTGCACAACGTGCAGATTTGTTACACATGTATAAATGTGCCATGTTGGTGTGCTGCACCCATTAACTCATCATTTACATTACGTATATCTCCTAATGCTATCACTCCCCGCTCCCCCCACCCCACGACAGGCCCCGGTGTGTGATGTTCCCCACCCTGAGTCCAAGTGTTCTCATTGTTCAATTCGCATCTATGAGTAAGAACATGCGATGTTTGGTTTTCTGTCCTTGCGATAGTTTGCTCAGAATGATGATTTCCAGCTTCATCCATGTCCCTAAAAAGGACATGAACTCATCCATTTTTATGGCTGCATAGTATTCCATGGTGTATATGTGCCACATTTTCTTAATCCAGTCTATACATTGATGGACATTTGGGTTGGTTCCAAATCTTTGCTACTGTGAATAGTGCTGCAGTAAACATACATGTGCATGTGTCTTTATAGCAGCACGATTTATAATCCTTTGGGTATATACCCAGTAATGGGATCACTGGGTCAAATGGTATTTCTAGTTCTAGATCCTTGAGGAATTGCCGCACTGTCTTCCACAATGGCTGAACTAGTTTACGTCCCACCAACAGTGTAAAAGTGTTCCTATTTCTCCACACCCTCTCCAGCACCTGTTGTTTCCTGACTTTTTAATGATTGCCATTCTAACTGGTGTGAGATGGTATCTCATTGTGGTTTTGATTTGCATTTCTCTGATGACCAGTGATGATGAGCATTTTTTCCATGTGTCTTTTGGCTGCATAAATGTCTTCTTTTGAGAAGTGTCTGTTCATATCCTTTGCCCACTTTTTGTTGGGGTTGTTTGTTTTTTTCTTGTAAATTTGTTTAAGTCCTTTGTAGATTCTGGATATTAGCCCTTTGTCAGATGGGTAGATTGTAAAAATTTTCTCCCATTCTGTAGGTTGTCTGTTCACTCTGATGGTAGTTTCTTTTGCTGTGCAGAAGCTCTTTAGTTTAATTAGATCCCATTTGTCAATTTTGGCTTTTATTGCCATTGCTTTTGGTGTTTTAGTCATGAAGTCCTTGCCCATGCCTATGTCCTGAATGGTCATACCATTTTTTTTTTTAAGGAAAGAAGTCATAAAGAGAAGAGATGTAGCTATTTCTTTGGCTATATCCCAAAGAGAGTATAATTCATTTAATCCTCCCCATAATGATTCCACTGATTTTCAAGGTCCCCAAATATCTGTCCACATACCAGTTTCTCAACGGACCGCCAACACGGAGGATTCTTTTTCTCAACAGTTTATACCTCCAACCTCAAGGTAACTAATGGTAACAGTTGATGTGTATCCTTCCACACATTTTTCTATTTTGGACAAATACATTTGTGCATATGTAAGCCTTTTCCTTTTTCCTTTTTAAATATTTGAATGTGCTGGGTGCCATGGCTTGTACCTATAATTTCAGCTACTTGGGAGACTGAGGCAGGAGGATGACTTGAGCCCAGAAGTTTAAGGCTGCAGTGAGCTCTGATCATGCCACAACACACCAGCCCAGGCAACAGAGCAAGACCCCATCTCTGAGGGAAAAAAAAATGTTGAATAGATTGAACTATGCACATTATAGTACAAATTTTTGATTTCCCTCAATATATCTCGAATATTACTAAGGCAATACATATAGCACTAATTCACTATTTTTATTAGTGTGAATATATAAAAATTTTTCATTTTTTCCATCTTATTGGTCATTCGAGTTGCTTCCAAAATTTTTGCCCAAATAATGCTTCAGTAAACATCCTTATATGAATAGCTTTATATTCTGGTACTTTCATTTATTTAGGAGAGACTTCAGGAAGAACAATTCCTGGGTAAAGGGGTATCATATTTTTTATTTTGGTGCATACTGCTACGTTTCCTTCCCCAAAACTTGTAGTAACTCAAAGTCTTAACAGCAACATATCGCAATGTCTATTGCACAATATCTTTGTCAGCACTGAATGCTACCAATATTTTAAATATTTCCCCCAATATTTTCCCCCCAAAATGGTATCTTATTATTATTATTTTTTGAGATGGAGTCTCGCTCTGTTGCCCAGGCTGAAGTGCAGTGGCACAATCTCGGCTGACTGCAACCTCCATCTCCTGGGTTCAAGTAATTTTTGTGCCTCAGCATCCTGAGTAGCTGGGATTACAGGCGCATGCCACTCTGCCCAGCTAATTTTTTAATTTTTAGTAGAGATGCAGGTTTCACCATTTTGGCCAGGCTGGTCTCAAACTCCTGGCCTAAAATGATCCACCCACCTTGGCATCCCAAAATGCTGGGATTAGAAGTGTGAGCCACCGCGCCCGCCCAAGAGTCAATATCTCATTGTTTTGATAGGGACTTCCCTGATCACCAAGGAGGTTGAATATGTTTGTTAGCCCTTTGGAGAACATTCTCTATTATGAAGCTATTTTTATTCATAAACACTTTATAATGTGTTGCTCTGTTTGAAAATTCATGTAAGAGAAACAACAATTTTTATAAATTTATAAATTTAAAAGTGCGTGTTTCAGATGGAGATAAGAGTTGTATAGAGTTAATCGTGGAGATTTTCTATTTATTGTTTAAAATGTTTTGTTAATGGATCTCACTACTCTACACACACGAACACACATGAGCAAACACACATACACACACACTCAGCTCATCTCTAGCTTCTCCTTTGTTCTTGCCCTTTGCTCTGCTTCTCTCTTCCTCTATAGCAGACCCTGTTGGTGCCCTACCCTTGTCCCCTGGCACCAACCATGCCAGTATGTGCCTCCAGGATCTTACTGACTCTCCACCCAATGGTCATTTCTTGACCCTTGAGGGACAGGCCAGGTGGATGGGAGATGAAGTATAAATGCCCTAGCTTCCTCCCTGCTGGGGGAGAGAGATAGTTTTGAGATGTGTGTGATATGGCCTCCCAGAACCCCCAGTAAAATTGTCTCAATTGCTCAGAAACGCACCCTGTATTGGCTTCCCCCCTTTTTCTGTATTACTTCACCATCTCCTTGTTCATGCTTCCTCAGGAATATTACTGAACCTCTACTTTTAGCCAGGCACTTTGTGAACTGCTGAATCCACACCAATGAAGAAGATGCCCAAGGTCCTTGACCATATGATCTTAGCCACATGATTTCCAATTCCTGTCCTTCCAAATTTGTTGAAGAGCATCAACAAGTGCAGGTTGCGGAAAACAGCTTCTGCAGAGACCCAATATTATTCATAAAGAGGCCTAACATTCAAACAGTATCAGCATGAATTCAGAGGGGTGGAAAACTCGGAATCTGCTCCTTTTCCTATTCTTTGTTAGAAATCTGATATGGGCTGGGCGTGGTGGCTCACACCTGTAATCCCAGTGCTTTGAGAGGCTGAGATGGGAGGACTGCTTAAGGCCAGGAATTCGAGACCAGCCTGAGCAACATGGCAAGACCCTATCTCTATAAAAAAATTAAAAACTTGGCCAGGCATGGTGGTGCGCATCTGTAGTCTCAGCTACTTGGGAGCTGAGGCAGGAGGATTGCTTGAGCCCAGGAGTTTGAGGCTGCAGTGAGCTACGATTGTACCACTGCACTCCAGCTTAGGCAACAGAGCAAAACCCTGATTCATTTAAAATAAAGAAAAGGAATTTGATATGAATTTCTGTAAGCTGACCACTCTTGAACAACCACATGTTTCTAAGTCTCAGGTGTTTACATTCCCTATGCCAGTGCTACACCATCCCCACCTCTCATCAGGCATCCATCCTGAATGATAGGTAAATTGTTAAGTCACAGGGGATCTCAGAGCCCAATGTTAGTCTTGACACTGTGTCCTGTTTGATAGATTGTAAGTACTTCTTCCTACACACACACACACCCCTCCGCATCCACCCATTCACCCCCGCACCCCATTACCTCAATGAAGAGACTGCGTACAAGATACAGAAAACTTCCCTTTTGATATGTGGGTTGCTATGCTGCTAGGAGATCTGTGGAATTGACATGCACCTGCAGACGTTATCATAAATAGAGGCTTAATTAATCTTCACGACCATTTTCCTCTCTGAGTCAAGCTTAGACTGGAACATTGTTGGGGCTTCCTTGACTTTGTGGTGAACATGTCTCTGTGTTCACTCATTTTGTAATTTCAATGTGCCAGATGATTGGTGTGCAGTGGGAATACAAACAGACACAGTACCTGCCTGCCGGGAGTCCACAGTGAAACGATGCACCTTTATTAGCAAGTAGATGCATAAGGAGGATAAATGGTATCAAGAAAAAGGAAGGACCTGTAAGAATAATAACTTTTTTTTTCGACAGAGTCTGGTTCTATTGCCCAGGTTGGAGTGCAGTGGCATGAGCTTGACTCACTACAACCTCCACCTCCCAGGTTCAAAAGATTCTTATGCCTCAGCCTTCCAAGTAGCTGGGACTGCAGGCGTGTGCCACCATGCCTGGCTAATTTTTGTATTTTTAGTAGAGATGGGATTTCACCATGTTGGCCAGGCTGGTCTCAAACTCCTGGCCTCAAGTGATCTGCCCGCCTTGGCCTTCCAAAGTCTGGGATTACAGGTGTGAGCCACCATGCCTGGCCAAGAATAATGACATTTTATATTTGTTATTTATTTACGTATTATATTTGTGATAACTTGAAGAGAAAAACAGAGCATCTACTTTGGTTTGAGCTGGACGGGGCAAGGAAGTATTAAAGTAAATCAGAAGAATGAGGAAACATCAAGAAAGGTCAAGCATGTGGGGTTGGCATGAAGAAGAATGCTCCAGGAAGAGGAAACAGCACGCCAAGGCCACAGGGTGGAAAAGACTGCAACATCCTGGGACTGAAAGAATAGAGAGGTGGATATGCAGTGAATGAGAGAGAGTGTGGTGATGGGCACGAGTTGGGTGGCTTCACATGCCTGTTGAAGATCATTATCCACCTCCTAGGAAGCTCATCTCGGGAATGCCCAGTGTGTGCTGCATCAAAGGCAGCCCTGGCTTTTTCACCTTCGACTTGGCTTCTCTGTGCCTCAACTTCCCTCTCTGAAATATGCACCAAGGTTGAGAATTGGATCATCTGATTGGGAAAAGATGAACTTGCTTTCAAGTAAGGACAGTTACTACAAAGGAATAAAAATGACCTATGTGGGCCAGGCATGGTGGCTCACGCCTGTAATCCCAGCATTTTCGGAGGCCAAGGGGGACAGATTGCTTGAGATCAGGAGTTCAAGACCAGCCTGGGCAACACGGTGAAACCCCGTCTCTACTTAAAATACAAAAATTAGCTGGGTGCGATAACGCATGCCTGTAGTCCCAGCTACTTGGGAGGCTGAGGTGGGAGGACCACTTGAGCCCAGGAGGCAGAGGTTGCAGTGAGCCAAGATTGTGCCACTGCACTCCAGTCTGGGTGACAGAGTGAGACCCTGTGTCAAAAAATATATAAAATAAAATAAATAAATGAAAATAAAAACAAAAATGACCTATGTGTCAGGAATTCCACTAAGCCTTTGGGAGTGTATCTCTGTGTTGCATGTGAGATTCACTTGCCAGGGTCACCTGAGTGGATCTCCTCTGCTTCTCGAAGCACTACCCTCTCTTGGCTTCCATGACCCTCTCCTAGTTTTCTTCCTACGCAAACATTTTCTCCTCTTTCTCCTTTGCAGGCTCACCCCTGTCCATGGGCTTTGGAGTGATGAAGACCCTCAAAGATCAGCTCTCATTTCTGCCTGGTTAACTCCTATCCAGCCTCCAAATCTCATCCCAAGCATTACTCTTATGGGGAAGCCTTTCCTGGTCTCCTTGACTAGTCAAACCTCTCTCATAAGCATGCATAGCACAGGCTCCTTTCCTTCACAGCCCCTGTCATGGTCATTTTTTTTTTTTTTTTTGAGACAGAGTCTCACTATGTTGCCCACACTGGAGGGCAGTGGTGCAATCTCGGCTCTCTGCAACCTCTGCCTCCCAGTTTCAAGCGATTCTCCTGCCTCAGCCTCCCGAATAGCTGGGGCTACAGGTGCGTGCCACCATGCCTGGCTAATTTGTCGTATTTTTAGTAGAGGTGGGGTTTCACTGTGTTAGCCAGGATGGTCTCGATCTCCTGACCTCGTGATCCGCCCGCCTTGGCATCCCAAAGTGCTGGGATTACAGGCGTGAGCCACCACGCCCAGCCACAATTTTAGATTAATTAGTGTGATTAATAAATTTCTTCACAGAAACTCAGCTCCATGAAGACAAAGTCTCTTCTTTCCTGAGGCTTATCATCAGGGCCAGCTTCATGGACATACAGTGCAGTCCCACAGGGCCCTATACTCAGAAGGGCCACGTGCTTGGTTTCATGGTCTGCCATTGCCATCTTGAAATTGGTAATGATATTTGAACAAGAGGTCCTGCATTTTTCTTTTGCACTGGTCCCACAAATTATACAGCCGGTCCTGCTTATCATTATATCTCAAGCACCTAGCACAGTGTCTGGCACATAGATCCTTAATGAATATTAGTTGAATGAGAGAGAGTAGATAAATGCTGGACTAACTAAATATAAAGTGCTCAGAGCAAAGAATCATGGATGGGTCTGTCTGACTCCAAAGCCCATGTATTTTCCACCTCTCCATATTCCGCTAATTAATTACATTCAGATATGGATCTGAGTTTGACTAAATCTTCCCAGGGACCTGCCTTCCCCACTCATTGCTCCAAATTATTTTCTCCTGGGGCATCTGAGGGTAGTATTGCAGTGGCAACATTCTCTGGCGTAAACATCCCTCTGAGTCATAGAGCAATGCCGTTGCAAGAGCCCAAACAGCTGCTGCTGTCAGGCATCTGCGAGTTACTTCAAGAAGGCATGAAAAATATCTCCCAATTGGTTAAATCTACCTTATGCCCTGCCCCCAGATTTGTAGGATTGACATTTTCTACAGAATACTTTCACATGCATGTGAAAACACAGCACCAGCTGCTGAAAAAAAATGGACCTCCTCAAATTCAGCTGAGATAATCCCTTACTTTAATATTAATTTAAATTTTATCTGAAGCTCTTTGAGCCTTCTCCAGTCATATTGAACTTAGAGAAGTAGTATGAAAGGATTAGGCTTGGGAATCAGAAATGGAAAATTGATTCTGATTAGGTAAAGGGAATGTGTACATTGGTCTGCTTTTCTGAGGCTGACAAGTCTGTCTCGATGGTTAAGTATACAGCAGATAGAGGTGTAAAATCCTACCTTGAAGCAACAATCAAAGTGAAAAAGCTAGGGCTGCCTTTGGTGCAGCGCCCACTGAGCAAATATTTAGCTCTTTCAGCATTCCAGACATGAGCTCTTTGCCCATAAGCCATCTTCAAATGGCATGCTGGGGAGACACTTAGGCTGCAAGAGAATTAGCTGATGTGCTTTTGGCCATGCATAAATCACAGCCAGGGTGAGGGGCGAGGGGCAGGGGTTGCTATGCAAATGGGTCAGCCCTCAGACTGGCATGGCCTATCATTCTTTAAATAAGAAGCTGGGCAGGGATGCAGGGACTGCTTCGTGAGATTATGCTGTGCCACATCAACCATGTCACTTTCCCAATCATGACCACTCCACCCCTGCTTTAGTTTGTACTCTTAGTATGAGGAGGCAGGGTGAATAACAAATCCTGTCTGTTTTCAGTTCCTTATAAAGGTGCAAGGCAGTAGTTTTGGATCTACAGGTTTAAATGTCACGTGGTTAGAATCGCAAGGAATCTCTGTCTGCCTGGTGACTCTGTGTATCCTAGAAAGGTCTCAAGGGCAGAGTTTAATGTCCCTTCAAGTCTTTGATGGATACAGAAAGAACACTGTGATAGCTGGGTGTGGTGGCTCATGCCTATAATCCCAGCACTTTGGGAGGCTGAGGCAGGTGGATTTCTTGAGTTCAGGAGTTTGAGACCAGCCTGGGAAACATGGCAAAACCCCACCTCTACAAAAAATACAAAAAATTAGCTGGGTGCAGTGGCTGACACCTATAATCACAACACTTTGGGAGGCCAAGGTGGGAGGATCAATTGAGGCCAGGAGTTCAGGAGTAGTCTCCACAACATAACAAGACCCTGTCTCTACTGAAGTAAAAATAAAAATTAGCTGGGCGTGATGGTACACCTATAGTCCCAGCTACCTGGGAGGTGGAGGTGGGAGGATTGTTTGAGCTTGGGAGGTGAGGCTGCAGTGAGCTGTGATCATGCCACTGCACTCCAGCCTGGGTGACACAGTGAGATTCTGTCTCAAATGACAAAAATAAAAAATAAAAAAGAACAAACACTGTGTTATATTTATTCATCCTGAAAAGATCAAATACCGATTCACTCTCTGATATCATCCTAAGATAACACTGGGCCAGAAATATCTCCTTCCAATCACTCAGCTCTCATGTATACTAATAGTACTGAACTTCATAATAGAGTAGTCACTATTACTTTTTGAATGATTACTATAGATAGAAACTATTCCAAACGCTTTACATGCATTAACTGATATTCTCCCTATGACAACCCTCTGATATAGGTACCATTGTTACTGCCCTTTGACAGATGAGGAAACTGAGGTACAGAGAGTTATATAAGGTCACTCTATCTTGATAAGGGACTACAGTGGTTATCCTAAGGACATTTTAAAGAGTTTATGTTGTAGAATTTTGCAAAGACGACTTGAGAAATATTTTTAAGAGATCTGAAAATGCTGAGATCTTAAAGGATGGGGGTTTAAATAATAGAAGGAAATAAATCAATACAGTGTTTAAAAAATCTAAAAAGGACATACACTGATATGGTTGGGCTGTGTCCCCACCCAAATCACATCTTGAATTGTAGCTCCTGCAGTTCCCACATGTTGTGGGAGAGACCTGGTGGGACGTAATTGAATTATGGGGGCAGGTCTTTCCCATGCTATTCTTGTGATAGTGAACAAGTCTCATGAGATCTGATAGATTTATAAAAGGAAATTTCCCTGCAAGAGCTCTCATCTCTTGTCTGCCGCCATGTGAGATGTGCCTTTTACCTTCAGCCATGATTATGAGGCCTCCCCAGCCACGTGGAAATGTGAGTCCATTAAACCTCTTCTTTTTTAAATTGCTCTGTCTTGGGTATGTTTTTATCAGCAGCGTGAAAACAGACTAATACAGTAAATTGATACCAGCAGTGAGGTGTTGTTGCAGATACCTGAAAATGTGGAAGTAGCTTTGGAACTGAGTAACAGGCAGAGGTTGGAACAGTTTGGAGGGCCCAGAAGAAGATAGAAAAGTGTGGAAAAGTTTGGAACTCCCTAGAGACTTGTTGAATGGCTTTGACCAAAATGCTGATAATGATATGGACAATGACATCCAGGCTGAGGTGGTCTCAAATGGAGATGAGAAACTTTTTGTGAACTGGAGCAAAGGTGACTCTCGTTATGTTTTAGCAAAGAGACTGGTGGCATTTTGCCCCTACCGTAGAGATTTGTGGAATGTTGAACTTGAGAGAGATGATTTAGGGTATCTGGTGGAAGAAATTTCTAAGCAGCAAAGCATTCAAGGGGTGACTTGGGTGCTGTTAAAAACGTTCAGTTTTAAAAGGGAAACAGAGCATAAAAGTTTGGGAAATTTGCAACCTGACAATGCAATAGAAAAGAAAATCCCATTTTCTGAGGAGAAATGCAAGCTGGCTGCAGAAATTTGCATAAGTAAGGAGGACCCAAATGTTAATCACCAAGTCAATGGGGTAAATGTCTCCAAGGCATGTCAGAGACCTTTGGGGCAGCTCCTCCCATCACAGGCCCAGAAGCCTAGCAAGAAAAAATGGTTTTGTGGGTTGGGCCCAGGGTTCTCATGCTATGTACAGTCTAGGGACTTTGTTCCCTGCATCCCAGCCACTCCAACCATGACTAAAAGGGGCCAAGGTGCTGCTCAGGCTGTGGCTTCAGAGGGTGCAAGTCCCAATCCTTGGCAGCTTCCACCTGGTGTTGAGCCTGCAGGTGCATAGAAGTCAAGAATTGAGGTTTGGGAACCCCTACCTAGATTTCAGAAGATATACGGAAACACCTGGATGTCCAGGCAGAAGTTTGCTGCAGGGGCGGGGCTCTCATGCAGAACCTCTGCTAAGGCAGTGCAGAAGGGAAATGTGGGGTGGGTGCCCCCACACAGAGTCCCTACTGGGGCACTGCCTAGCGAAGCTGTGAGAAGAAGTCCACTGTCTTCCAGACCCCAGAATGGTAGATCCACCTACAGCTTGCACTGTGTGCCTGGAAAAGCAGCAGACACTCAACACCAGCCCATGAAAACAGCTGGGAGGGAGGCCGTACCCTGCAAAGCCACAGGGGCAGAGCTGCCCAATACCATGGGAACTCAACTCGTGCATCAGTGTGATCTAGATATGAGACATGGAGTCAAAGGATATCATTTTGGAGCTTTAATATTTGACTGCCCTGCTGGAGTTCAAACTTGCATGGGGCCTTTAGCCCCTTCATTTTGGCCAATTTCTCCCATTTGGAATGGGTGTATTTATCTAATATCTGCACCCCCATTTTATCTAGGAAGTAACTAACTTGCTTTTGATTTTACTGTCTCATAGGTGGAAAGGTCTTTCCTCATCTCAGATCAGACTTTGGACTGTGGACTTTTGAGTTAATGCTGAAATGAGTTAAGACTTTGGGGACTGTTGGGAAGGCATGATTGCTTTTGAAATGTGAGGACATGAGATTTGGGAGGGGCCGGGGCAGAAAGATATAGTTTGGCTGTGTCCCCACCCAAATCTCATCCTGAATTGTAGCTCCCATAATTCCCATGTGTTTTGGGAGGTAATTGAAACATGGGGGTGGTTCTTTCCCATGCTAGTCTTGTGATAGTGAGTAAGTCTCATGAGATCTGACAGTTTTATAAAGGGAAGTTTCCCTGTACAAGCTCTCTTCTCTTGTCTGCCTCCCGAGTATCTAGGATTATGGGCATGTGCCACCATGCCTGGCTAATTTTTGTATTTTTAGTAGAGACGAGGTTAGGCCATATTGGCCAGGCAGGTCTCGAACTCCTGACCTCAGGTGATCCACCTGCCTCAGCCTCCCAAAGTGATGGGATTACAGGCATGAGCCACCAAGCCTGGCCTTAATTGCACTTTTAAAAATAACTAAAAGACTAGAGTTGGATTGTTTGAAACACAAAGGATAAATGCTTGAGGTGGTAGATACCCTATTTACCCTGGTGTCATTACTATGCATTGCATGCCTATGTAAAAATATCTTGGCCAGGTATGGTGGCTCACATCTGTAATCCCAGCACTTTGGGAGGCCGAGGCAGGCAGATCATGAGGTCAAGAGATCGAGACCATCCTGGCCAACATGGTGAAACCCCGTCTCTAGTAAAAATACAAAAAAAAAAAATTAGCTGGGAGTGGTGGTTCACACCTGTAGTCCCAGCTACTCAGGAGGCTGAGGCAGGAGAATTGCTTGAACCCAGGAGGCGGAGGTTGAAGTGAGCCGAGATGGCACCACTGCACTCCAGCCTGGTGACAGAGCAAGACTCTATCTCAAAAAAAAAAAAAAAAAAAAAAAAATCTCAGGTAACACATAAATATATACACCTACTATGTACCCACAAAAATTTTAAAAATAATAATAATAGTTTATGACTTTAAGGCAGCTCAGGCCAATCAAACTCAAAAAATGAGTCTGAAGAAAGTGATTTCATGATTTTGTCTTGTCAGACCTGCCTTTCGTCTTCAGCCATGACTGTGAGGCCTCCCCAGTCATGTGGAACTGTGAGTCCATTAAACCTCTTTCTTTTATAAATTGCCCAGTCTCAGGTATGTCTTTATCAGCAGGTGAAAACGGACTAACACAGTAAATATTGAAAAAAAGTCCACTCAAAGCATAGGGCTGATTTGGGGAAATTATACTGAAGTAAGTTAACAAAACTTCTCACCTGGCATTGTTGATGCTCTCGGTAGGGATTCTTTTCCATATTAGGGTTCAGATCAATCTAAGCACGTGTCAAATGTCAACTCAAGCCTCTCTTTCAAAAAGCACAAACTAAGGCACAATCTAACATTGCCCCTCTTGGAATCTCACATTGAAGAAATAGCTGCAAATTTTTAGTCATGAAATCACTTTCTTCATACTCATTTTTTGAGTTTTGTTGGCCTGAGCTGCTTTAAAGTCATAAACTTTTATTTTTTATTTTTTAACTTTTGATTTTGTGGGTACATAGTAGGTGAATATATTTATGGGTTACATGAGATATTTTTATATAGGCATGCAATGAGTAATAATCACATCAGGGTAAACAGGGTATCTGTCACTTCGAGCTTTTATCCTTTGTGTTTCAAACAATCCAATTCTACTCTTTTAGTTATTTTTAAATGTACAGTTAAGGCTGGGCATGGTGGTTCATGCCTGTAATCCCAGCACTTTGGGATGCCAAGGCAGGTGGATCACCTGAGGTCAGGAGTTTAACACCAGCCTGGCCAACATGGCCTAACCCCGTCTCTATTAAAAATACAAAACTTAGCCAGGCGTAGTGGTACATGCCTGTAATCCCACATACTCGGGAGGCTGAAGCACAAGAATTGATTGAACCCACGAGATGGAGGTTGCAGTGAGTGGAGATCATGCCACTACCTGCTAGCCTGGGTGACAGAGCAAGACTCTGTCAAACAAACAAAAAAAAAGAACAATTATGTTTTACTATAGTTACTCTGTTGTGCTAGCAAATACTATGTCTTTGTTGTTTTAACTATTATTTTTGTACCCATGAACCAACCCCCTTCCCCCATCCTCTCCAACTACACTTCCCAGCTTCTGGTAACCATCCTTCTACTCTGTCTCCATAAGTTGAATTGTTTTCATTTTAGCTCCCATAGATAAGTGAGAACAATGTGATGTTTGTCTTTCTGTGCCTGGCTTATTTCACTTAACATAGTGACTTCCAGTTCCATCCATGTTGTTGCCAATGACAGGATCTCATTCTTTTTTTATGGCTGAATAGTACTTCATGGTGTATAAGTACCACATTTTTTTTATCCATTCATCTGATGTTGGACAGTTAGGTTGCTTCCAAATCTTGGCTATTGTGAATAGTGCTACAATAAACATGGGAGTGCAGCTATCTCTTCTGTATACTGATTTCCTTTCTTTTGGGTATATAGCTATTAGTGGGAGTGCTAGATCATATGGTAGCTCTATATTTTAGTTTTTTGAAGAACCTCCAAACTGTTCCCCGTAATGGTTTTACTAATTTACATTTCCACCAACAGTGTATAATGGTTCTTTTTTCTCCACGTTATTGCTAGCATTTGTAATTCCATGTCTTTTGGATAAAAGTCATTTTAACTGGGGTGAGATGGTATCTTATTATAGTTTTGACTTGCATTTCTCTGATAATCAGTGATGTTGCACACCTTTTTATATACCTGTTTTCCATTTGTATGTCTTCTTTTGAGAAATATCAGTTCAGATCTTTTGCCCATTTTTAATTGGATTATTAGATTTTCTTCCTATAGAGTTATTTGAGCTCCTTGTATATTCTGGTTATTAATTCCTTGTCAGATGAGTAGTTTGCAAATATTTTCTCCCAATCTGTGGGTTGTCTCTTCACTTTTTTAATTGTTTCCTTTGCTGTGCAAAAGTTTTTTTTAATTTGATGTGATCTCATTTGTCCATTTTTCTTTTGGTTTTCTATTCCTGTGGGATATTGCTTGAGGAGTCTTTGCCCACTCCAATGTCCTGGGGAGTTTCTCCAACATCTTCTTTTAGTAGTTTCATTGTTTCAGGTCATAGATTTAAGTCTTTAATCCATTTTGATTTGATTTTTGTATATGGCAAGAGATGGGGTCTAGGTTCATTCTTCTACATATGGCTATGCAGTTTTCCCAGCACCATTTATTGAAGAGACTGTCCTTTTCCCTGTGTATGTTCTTGGCACCTTTGCTGAAAACTAGTCCACTGTAAATGTTTGAATTTATTTCTGGGTTCTCTATTCTGTTCCACTGGACTATGTGTCTGTTTTTATGCCAGTACCACGCCGTTTTGTTTACTACAGCTCTGTAGTATCATTTGAAACCAGGTAATGTGATTCCTCCAGTTTTGCTCTTTTTCCTTAGGATAGTAGAGTCATGAGTTTTAGATGGAATTAATCTCCCTTTTCTCCCTCCAATGGGATGCAAATCAAGCTTCCAGAATAATTAATATTTTTTTTTGGAAAAAATAACCAAAGGTATGCAGAGGTAATTAGCAGATTTTCAAATTCACATTTCAAACTATAAACACAGATGGAGAGTAGATGTTGGAGAAGCATCTACAATTACTGCACTATGTATATTCAGGAAACATAAAAGTAAAATAAAAGAATGTATTTCTACTATTAGCTCCAACAGGAAGGGATCTTGTTTTGTTTTGTACACTAATGTACCTCAAGGGCCTAAAACAGGGCCTGGAAAAGATTAGGTACTTGATAAGTATTGTTAAGCAGGTAAATAAATGGATAGATGAATTTGTCAATTACAAAAGCAAAAAATTCTGTTTCTCTCAGTGAGTACAATTTCTGTCATTTTAGACCCAAAGTGTTTTGACCCATGCACTCATCTTTTTTTTTAAACCTACTCTCCTTTTCACCCCTTCTTCCCATTTTCTGAATCTATGTTAGATTCTTTCTTTCTTTCTTTTCTTTTTTACTTTTTTTTTTTTTTGAGACAGAATCTCGCTTTGTTGCCCAGGCTGGAGTGCAGTGGCGTGAACTCAGCTCACTGCAACCTTCACCTTCTGAGTTCAAGAGATTCTTATGCCTCAGTTTCCCAAGTATCTGGGATTACAGGCACGCACCACCATGCCTGGCTGATTTTTGTTTATTTTGTAGAGACGGGGTTTCGATATGTTGCTCAGGCTGGTCTTGAACTCCTGAGCTCAAGCCATCCATCCGCCTTGGCCTCCCAAAGTGCTGGGATTACAGGTGTGAGCCACCATGCCTGGCCTCTTTCTTTCTCAAGCATAAGATTTTCCAGTAGCACCCATGGGTACTGCTTAGACCCATAGCAAAACTCAACCTTCAGGATAAGTTTGCAGGAGTAGAAAAAAACCTTCCAGATGAGTGTGTAGGAATAGAAAAGAGCTTCTGCTCAGCAAAAGAAATAATCAGCACAGTAATCAGACAATCTTCAGAGTGGGAGTAATTTATTTGCAAACTATGCATCCAACAAAAGACTAGTTAGTATCGAGAATCTATAAGGAACTTAAATAAATCAACAAGAAAAAAACAAATAATCCCATTAAAAAATGGGCAAATGGGACCAGGTGCAGTAGCTCACACCTGTAGTCCCAGAACTTTGGAAGGCTGAGGCGGGAGGATCACGAGGTCAGGAGATCGAGACCATCCTGGCTAACACGGTGAAACCCCGTCACTACTAGAAATACAAAAATTTAGGTGGGCGTGGTGGCAGGCGCCTGTAGTACTAGCTACTCAGGAGGCTGAGGCAGGAGAATGGCATGAACCCGGGAGGCAGAGCTTGCAGTGAGCCAAGATTGTGCCATTGCACTCCAGCCTGGGTGACAGAGCGAGACTCTGTCTCAAAAAGAAAAAAAAAAAAAAAAGGCAAATGGCCAGGCATGAAAGCTTATGCCTGTTATCCTAGCACTTTGGGTGGCCAAGGTGGGAGGAACCCTTGAACCCAGGAGTTCGAGACCAGCCTGGGCAACACAGGGAGACACCATCTCTATTTAAAAAAAAAAAAAATGGGGCCAGGCACAGTGGCTCATGTCTGTAGTCCCAGCACTTTGGGAGGCCAAGGCAGGTGAATCACCTGAGGTTGGGAGTTCGAGACCAGCCTGGCCAACATGGTGAAACCCTGTCTCTACTAAAAATACAAAAAGTTAGCCAGGTATGGTGGCAGGCACCTGTAATCCCAGCCACTCAGGAGGCTGAGGCAGGAGAATCACTTGAACCCAGGAGGCAGAGGTTGCAGTGAGCCAAGATCGTGCCATTGCACTCCAGCCTGGACAACAAGAGCAAAACTCCATCTCAAAAAAGGAAAGGAAAGGAAAAGAGAGGAGGGGAGGGGAGGGGAGGAAAGTAGGCAAAAGATATGAACAGACACTTCTCAAAAGAAGATACAAGTGGCCAACAAACATCTGTAAAAGATGCTCAGCATCATTAATCATCAGAAATGTAAATCAAAACAACAAGATAAGAATCTTATACCAGTCAGAATGCCTTTTATTAAAAAGACAAAAATAAAAGATGTTGGCAAGGATGAGGAGAAAAGGAAACTCTTATACACAGCTGGTGGGAATGTAAGCTAGTACAGCCACTGCAGAAAACAGTATGGAAACTTCTCAAAAAACTAAACATAGAATTACCATTCGATCCAGCAATCCCACTACTGCATATCTACTCAAAGCAAAATAAATCAATATATTATGTTGGTGCAAAAGTAATTGGCGGCTTTTGCCATTAAAAGTAATTTTTGCCATTACTTTTAATGGCAAAAGCCATAACTACTTTTGTACAAACCTAATATCAAAAGGAAACCTCCACTTGCATGTGTATTGCAGCACTGTTCACAATAGCAGAGGTGTAGAATCAACCTGTGTCCATCAAGAGATGGCTGGATAAAGAAAATGTGGCATATATAGGGAATTCATACCATGGAATACAACACAGCCATAAACACGAATGAAATCATGTCCTTTGCAGCAACATGGATGGGAGCTGGATGCCATTATTCTAAGTGAAATAACTCAGAAGCAGAAAATCAAATACCACATGTTCTCACTTATAAGTGGGAGATAAACAATAGGTACACCTTGTCATAAAGATGAAAACAATAGGCTTGGCGCGGTGGCTCACACCTGTAATCCTAGCACTTTGGGAGGCCGAGGCAGGGGGATCAGTTGAGGTCAGGAGTTCAAGACCAGCCTGGCCACCATGGAAAAAACCCATCTCTACTAAAAACACAATAATTAGCCAGGCATGGTGGTGCACACCTGTAATCCAAGCTACTCAAGAGACGGAGGCATGAAAATCACTTGAACCTGGAAGGTGGAATTTGCAGTGAGCTGAGATAGCACAACTGCACTCCAGCCTGGGAGACAGAGCAAAACTTGTCTCAAAAAAAAAAAAAAAGAAAGAAAATAATACACACTGGGGATTCCAAAAGTGGGGAGAATTGGAGTGAGGCAAGGTCTGAAAATGACCTATTGGGTGCCATGTTCACTGTTGGAGTGATGCGTTTGCTAGAAGCTCAAACCTCAGCATTATATACAATACACTCATGTAACAAACCTGCACTTGTACCCCCCGAATCTATAATTTAAAAAAAGAAAAAAAAAACTGAAGGTCTTCACCATATTAGGAAAGGCAACAATTCCCAAACTTTAAAGAACGTTGATCACCAATCAGGTGTGTGATGATTTTCAGAAAACACCCTGTAAGGCCAGGCCTACATTTATTAGTTTTTCTCTGACACTTGATATAAATGCTGTATGACAAATTTGAGGAAATCATCCAGAAAACCTGGCAAAAAGAAAGATATGAAAAATAGGACCTGAAGTTGCCTAGGCAACGGTGGCTCAAACCTGCAATCTTAGTATTTTGGGAGGCCGAGGCAAGTAGATCGTCTGAGGTCTGGAGTTTGAGACCAGCCTGGCCAACATGGCAAAACCCCATCTCTATTAAAAAGACAAAAATTAGCCGGGTGTGGTGGGCATGTGCCTGCAATCCCAGCTACTCAGGAGGCTAAGACAGGAGAATCACTTGAACCCAGGAGGCAGAGGTTGCAGTGAGCTGAGATCTCGCCACTGCACTCAAGCCTGGGTGACAGAGCAAGACTCTGTCTCAAAAAAAGAAAAATAGGAGAGTGGTAGCTCATACCTGTAATCCTAGCACTTAAGGAGGTTGAAGCAGGAGGATCGCTTGAGCCCAGGAGTTCGAGACCAGCCTGGGCAACACAGTAAGAACCTGTCTCTACAAAAAAACAGAAAAATTAGCTGGGCATGGTAGCACATGCCTATAGTCCCAACTACTTGGCAGGCTGAGGTGGGAGGATCACTTGAGCCCAAGAGGTCAAGGCTCCAGTGAGCCATGGTTGTGCCACTGCACTCTGGCCCGGGTGACAGAGTGAGATGCTGAAAGAAGAAAGAAAAAGAAAAAGAAAATAAGGAGAGATACTGGGTATGGTGGCTCACGCTTGTAATCCTAGCACTTTGGGAGGCTGAAGCTGGTGGATTGCCTGAGCTCAGGAGTTAGAGACAAGCCTGGACAACAGGCAAAACCCCATCTCTATTAAAAATACAAAAAATTAGCCGGGCATGGTGTCACATGCCTATAGTCCCAGCTACTCGGGAGGCTGAGGCACAAGAATCGTTTAAACCCAGGAGGCAGAGGCTGCAGTGAGCCGAGATTGCGCCACTGCACTCCAGCCTGGGCAATAGAGTGAGACCCTGTTTCAAAAAAAAAAAAAAGGAGAGAGAAAGATAAAATTACAGGGCCAGCATAGGAGCTCCAACACCTGAATAACAAGAGTTATAGAAAGAACAGAGGAAATGAAGGGAAGAAAAGCATCAATTAAATATTTCAGCTTGAAGTACCTGAGCTTCCAGATAGAAAGCATCCATCAGGCATCTTGCTCAAAGGATAAGAATGGACCTATACCAAGTCACATTATTATAAAATCTTAGCATTCTTTCAATTAAAAAAAAATCCACAAAGCTTTCAGAGATGGTAAAAACAAAATCAAAAACAGATTATATATAAATAATAATAAGACAGGATTGTATCAGAGTTTTCAGTAGCAATGCCAGGAACTAGGAAGCAAAACAAACAAACAAAAAGCCATGTTTTCAAAATTCTGAAAGAAAATTAGCTCCATCCAAGAATTCTATGCCCAGCTGTGTAAGTGTGGAAAAATAACCTCAAGACTTGCAGTTCTTCCCATAAAGAGGTAGAGTCACCACCCACCCCAACCCCATCCCGCCCCTTGAATCTGGGCTTGAACAATAGAATGTGGCGTAAGTGATGTTCTGCAAGTTCCAAGACCTCAAGAAGCCTTGAAGCTTCTTCTCTTGCTGCTCTTAGAAACTGCAACTACTAAGTGAACTAGCCTGGGCCAGGATGGTGGATAATGAGAGACGTATGGCCCAGTAAACCTTGTCACCCTAGCCAACAAATAGCTGATCCCAAGAAGCAAAACAACCTAGGTGATTAGCAGCTGGCCTCAGACACACTAGTGAATGAACTCAGTAGAGAACAGCCAAAATTGGCATCCCATAGAAATGTGTGCTAAATAAATGGTTGCTGTTTTAAGCTACCAAGTTTTGGGGTAGTTTGTTATGCAGCAGTAGATAACTGATACACCAGCCAAATCAGCAATTAAGTGCACCAGCAGAATAAAAATGTTTAGGGCCAGGCATGGTGGCTCATACCTGTAATCCCAACACTTTGGGAGGCTGAGGCAGGAGGATCACTTGAGGCCAGGTGTTTGAGACCATGCTGGGCAACATTGTGAGGCCCTATTTCTAAAAAAAAAAAAAAAAAAAAAAAAATTGCCAGGTGAGGTGGCAGAAGCCTGTAATCTTAGCTATTTGGGAGGCAGGAAGGTCACTTGTGCCCAGGAGTTTAAGGCTGCAGTGAGTTATGATAGCACCATTCTAGTGTAGCCTGGGTGACAGAATGAAACCCTGTCTCTACAAAAATAAAAAATATAAATAAATAAAAATGTTTTTAAGTATGCAAGGTTTTGTGTAGCTGAATTTCATTTACCTCTTCATCCACATAACAATATTTATCAAGCCTCTATTATGTACCAAGCACCATTCCAGGTATTAACACTAGGAATTAAAATCTTTCTTAAAAACAGCCTTTTAAATGATCTTCCAATTTTCAGCCTCATCTCCTCATGCTTCCCCAGATAACTGATAGTGTTATGCAATTCTTCTTGGCTTTCCCTGCTTCTGGCATGGGCTTCTGTTTTCTCAGATCTGCTAAAGCCGGTTAGTAATTACCAATGTACATTCAAACTTCCAAAGTGTTGTGGGTGAAGTCTTATCATCCGTTCTCTTTGTCCTTGTTTGGGTTTGTAACTGTTCTTTAACCCTTTTACTGGCTTTTTAATGGGGTATTTAGGAGACCGTGGAGAATATTGCATATATTTCATCTGCTATCTTTATCTAGAACAGATTGATATTCATAGGGAAATACTGTATTCCAAAAGGAAGATGGAAGCATGCCCTTCATTCATTCAAATACTTATTAAATAAATACCATGGGCCAGGCACTGTGCTGGCCCTAAGGGGCACATCACTGAAAATGGCATAGTTCTGTTCTCAAAATGTTTATGATCTCTTCCTCTGAAAGGAAAAGACAGTAGCAAGAATTACAATGGAGGAGCCAAGAAGTAGACACAATTGAGCCTCCTATAGTTTGAGGCTGAATGTTCTTTCTCAGCAGCGATCTCAAGGACAAAGCCCATGGTTGACTCGTGTCTGTAACCCTCACGTCTGACACATGGTAGAATCTTGATCTGGATTAGATTTGAGTCTCTGATATGACCTTTGTTACACTTAGAATGAGTATGAACCAGTGAGATTTCACACATGTTGCCGTTTTGAGCAAGACCTTTAAGGGTTTGAACTAGATATTGTACGTGATTCAAAAGCTAAAGAGAAATCGTTGATGTCACATTGTGCATGTATTAGTGGAGAATATGTGTCTCTGGTCTGAACCTTAACATCACTGCTTACACCACATTTTTTCTTGGATATCTTTGAGGCATCTCAAATTCCACAAGCCGAAAATTGAACACATAGTCTTTTCTCTCAAATCTTGTTTTCTCTGTGCTCTGTGTCTTGAAGAAGGGCACAGGCATCCATCCAGCTATACAGCTGAAAACTCTGGGAATTATTCTCGACATCTCCCTCTCCCTTACCTTCTATATCCAGTCATTACCAAGTCCAGTTCTGACCTTCTAAGTATCTTTCAAATTTGTCTACTTGTCCTCATATTTAATATCACCTCTTGCCTGGACTATAGCAAATAGGATTCTTGTCTCCCTGCATGTTCTCTTTAGCTCCTCTAACAATTTTTTTTCACATTATATTTAGTTGTCTTTTTTTTTTTTTTTTTTTAGACGGACTCTTGCTCTATCACCAGGCTGGAGCACAGTGACGCAATCTCGGCTCACTGCAACTTCCGCCTCCTGGGTTCAAGCAATTCTCCTGCCTCAGCCTCCTGAGTAGCTGGGATTACAGGTGGGTGCCACCACACCCAGCTAATTTTTGTATTTTCAGTAGAGGGGGCATTTTGCCATATTGGCCAGGCTGGTCTCGAACTCCCAACCTCAGGTGATCCACCTGCCTTGGCCTCCCAAAGTGCTGGGATTACAGGTATGGGCCACTGTGCCCAGCCAGTTGTCTTTTCTAAGGCAAATCTAATTATGTATTTTGCCTTTGCCTCCTACCTAGAACTGAGACTCACGGCCTTAAACATGTAAGAGCTTCACTTCCTTGTCTGGAAGAGTTGGTCTCTTCTGAAGTTCACCTCTAAGCTGCGGTCCAACTTATCTGTTGTCTGCCCTCCCAAACGTCAAGACAGAAATCCTGAGACAGAGGCTCAGAATTGGTTGGATAACTGGAGAAGGGTAGCCGAAGGGAAGACCAGAGACAGGGGTTACATGGCTATAGTGTCAGGTTGCACTTGATAGGGAATAAAAGGCACGTGAAGCCCTTTGCCTAGTCTCTCTATCTCTTGATGCACTGACATTTTTATTTAATCACCATTATAAGGAATCAAAGTGTGGTTTAACCCAGCAAAGAAAAGCATCCTGAAGTGTTGGAGACCCAGTAACAGCTTCCCAGTGTTCTCCATGTAAATATAAATTCTTTAATAGCTGTCAAGAGCCTGCTATCTCTGGTCCTACTGTTTCTCCAGTCAAACCTCAGCTCTGTCCTTACTCTCTGTGTAAGGCCCACTGCCCTCTTTCCATCTCACCACACTCCTGCCACACCAGGATTTCTGTTCATGCTGTTTCCTCACCTAGGATGCATTTCCCTCCCTCTCCACCCGGTTAACTCTGCCTATCCTTCAGCTGTCAGCCTCATCAGCACTTCTTTAGGGGAAAACATCACTGACCAAATCAAATTTCCTCCTCATAGACAATCTGAGCAACCTTTCCTCTTCTTAATAGCAATGATACCAGTTGGCAAGTTTATTTGTGTGATTATTCAATTAACGTCTTTCTCCTCGACTGGACAGTAAGCTCACAATTTACATATCACGGTGCTTAGGCCCTCAAATATATCCTGTGATTTTTATTTTTATTCACTTATTTATTTTTTGAGACAGGGTCCCACTCTTTCACCCAGGCTAGAGTGTAGTGGCGCGATCTTGGCTCACTGCAACCTCCACCTCCCAGGTTCAAGTGATTCTCCCACCTCAACCTCCTGAGTAGCTGGGAGGCGCGTGCCACCAGCACGGCTAATTTTTGTACTTTTTGTAAAGACAGGGTTTCACCATGTTGGTCAGGCTGGTCTTGAACTCCTGGCCTCAAGTGACCCACTCACCTCAGCCTCTCAAAGTTATCCTGTGATATTAATATGGATTTGTGGCTGGAAGCCATAGTTTTGAGAAGACAAGTACTATCTTCTTACCCTGGTAAAGTAGGGTTTAAATCTCTTGAGAGATCACCAAAAAACAAGCTGGGAAAATTCTATAGCTGTGAACCTAATTTTACATCCTAATAAAAATATGATACTGCTTATTTTCAAAATTCAGTAAGAGTCTATTTGCAGACTTAATGGTGTAAAGAAGTTTGTCAGATTACAGGTTGCCCAGCTGTGAAAGTACAGCTCAAGACCAAACTTTCCGTGTTAAGCTTTGAAGTGAGGTAGGAGTTTTGAAATGGCATATGATTTTCATCATCTTAAGATATCAGACATACGGTTCTAATTTAGAAACCCCAAAGTCAGACCTTACTGAGAGATTGCTTTGATCATTAGGAGGTGGTTAAACTTATATCTGATTACAGTAAGAGCTAACATTTATTGGACACCAACTCTGTGCCAGGCAATGTTTTAAGTGCTCTTTTAATCTCCATAACAATTCTAAATGAGGTTTGTACTATAACTTCTCCCAGTTTATAGACAAGGAAACTGAAGCACAGAGAGATTATGTAATTTTCCCAAGATTATACACTTAGGTCTTCTATGTGTATACTAGCCCATGGGGCTGTTGGGCACTTGAAATGTGGCCCAGCCAGAATTAAGATGTGCTCTGAGTATAAAATACATACTAGATTTTGAAGACTTAGTATGAAATGCTATATAAAAATCTCAATAATTTTTTCTATTGATTGTGTGTTGAAATGATAATATTTTGAATACACAGGGTTAGGTAAGACATTATTAAAATTAATTTTTCTTTCTTTCTTTCCTTTTTTTTTTTTTTTTTTGAGACAGGGTTTCACTTTGTCACCCAGGCTGGAGTACAGTGGTGCGATCTGGGCTCACTGCAGCCTCAACCTCCTAGGCTCAAGCAATCCTTCCACCTCAGCTTTCCCAGTACCTGGGACCACAGGCATGCAACACCACGCCTTGTTAATTTTTGTTTTTTTTTTTTTGTTTATGTTTTTAGTAGAGAACAAATTTTGCTATGTTGCCCAGGCAGGTCTCGAACTCTAGAGCTCAAGCAAGCTGCCGGCCTCGGCCTCCCAAAGTGCTGGGATTACAGGTGTGAGCCACCATGCCCAACCAACATTACTAAAATTAATTTAATCTATTCTTTTTCTTTTTTTAATATGGCTACTAGAAAATTTGCAATGATATTCATGGCTTTCATTCTGTTTCTGTTGGACAGTGCCGATCCACAATCTCACACTACATTATACTGTCTCTCCATCTGGTAGCAAAGCCCTTTGTGGCTAATGGCTGCATTTTGCATAAGGCTGTCGGTAAGGTGAATAATGCATTGAAGAATGTGGAATGAAAAACAAGAAGAGAAGCAGAGATGTCATCCAAAAGTATCAGCATTAAAATCCTAAAGCAGGGAGACAAGTTAGCTATTGTCTTCATCACCTACAGCTCCGTGGAGCTATTCATTGTATGCAATGCCTCCTCATGTCTAGACTCTGTCCTGGCTAGGGCTTTGATAGGCAGATACCAACAACAAATCAACACCTTCTTTGTTCCCTTCTAGACAACAGAAGAAAAACCATGCCTCTTGATGACTTACCTTTGTGTCTATTAATATAACACCTCCCTCTACCCAGCAGTTGTATTCATTCATGGATTTATTCTCTCCCTGCCAGTTTTATTGAGGTAGAATTAACAGATAAAACTTGTGTATACTTACAGTGTACAATGAGATACTTTGATACACATATACATTGTGAAGTGATTATCACAGTGAAGCTAAGTAACCTATCCATTACCTCATATACCTACCTTTTTTAATGTGTGATGAGAACACTTAAGATCTACTCTCTCAGAACATTTCAAGGATACAATACATTGTTATGAACTATAGTTACCATGCTGTACATTAGATCTCCAGAACTTATTCATCCTATAAATGAAAATTTGTATCCTTTGACCAAAATCCCACATTTCTCCAACACCCCCAGCCCTTGGGAACCTCCTTTGGTACTTCCTGATTTTATGAGTTCAACCTCTTTAGTTTCCACATATAAGTGAGATCATGCAGTATTTGACTTTCTGTGTCTGGCTTATTTCACTTAGCAAATGTCCTCCAGTTTCTTCTATGTTGCTTCAAATAACAGGATTTTCTTATTTTTTACGGCTGAACAGTATTCCATTGTATATGTATACATTCCACCTTTTCTTTATTTCTTCATTCATCAGTGGACACTTAGGTTGTTTTCATGTCTTGGCTATTGTGAATAATGCCTTAATGAACAGGGAGTGTGGATATCAATTCGAAATACTGATTTCAATTTATTTGGATAAACACTCAGAAGTAGAATTGCTGATCATATGGGAATTCTATTTTTAGTTTTATGGGCAACCTCCACATTGTTTTTCATAATGGCCACACCAATTTACAATCCCACCAACAGTGTACAAGAGTTCCATTTTCTCCACACCCTCAATGAACACTTATCATTTGACTTTCTGATAATAGTCATTTTAACAGGTGTGAGGAGCTATGTCATTATGGTTTTGACTTGCATTTCCCCAGTGATTAGTGATGTTAAGCACCTTCGTATATGCCATTGGTTTATTCCCAAGTCAGACAGTATCCTCGTCCTTGATATTTTGAGGAATACAGTCTTCTCTTCCTTTTTGCAGATTCTATGGGACAAAGGATGTGGGGCTGTGGGAGAGAGGAGAAATGGGAGGAATTAGAAGTGAGAGACTCAGTGTGAAAAGGAGGAGGCCACGATGGTCGTGGCCCAGACATAGAAGGGGACCCACTGTCCTTTCGCTCTTTGTCCAGGGGCGACAATACCCATCACAGGATGAGCTTTGCTCCATCCCCACCCTCCAACCACCTCCATGATTCTCACTACTCTGAAGCTTCTTTCAAGATTTAAGTTTTAGTTGTTTTCATCAGAACCACCAAAGGGGCAGGGTAATTAGCCAGGTTAGTCTTGCAGGAATAGAAGATGATGCACTACAAACAATATGCGTTCTGTTAACTCCAGGAAACTTTCTTTTTAAGACCAAAATAAATGTTTCAGAGTCATAAGAAGAAACGGTGATGCCTGACAACTTGGTAAAACCTGAGACATGAACATTGAGTCCTGGACTCGGATTGTCTGGCTCTCAGGACAGGATACTCCAGAATTCACTCTGAGGCCTCCACTGGGCAGTCATTGGTCTGCTAAGAACATCACACCGTGGGATAAACTTCCTGAAGTCATAATTTAAACATTGAGTTTTCCTTTTACCCCAGCAAGGCCTTTATGTTGGCTCACAAAGCAATGTAATGACAATCTTGCTTAAAAAAAAACAAAAAGAAAAGGAAAATGCTCCCAGCATATAGGAAAGGGAAGAAACAATAAACACCTTACTGAACAATAACAAAATCATTAGCCTGATTTAGTTGTTAAATTTGTATATTTTCCTGAGTCTTTAAATATCATCTACTAGAATGTAAACACCATGATGGCAAAGGTTATTTGTTTGTTTTGGTCACTGCTGTATCACCATCACCTGGAAAAGTGTCTGGCCCGTAGCACCTACTAAAAAGATGTTTGTTGAATAAATAATGAGTGAACGCCCAGTCCCACTCATATAATTAGAAAGAAATGTCTCAAAATGTCAAAGAGGGTTATGATTGTTAGTGAATTGTATTTTTTCTTTATAATATTCTGCATTTACCAGTTTTAGGAATAACCATGAATAATTTGTAATTGGGACAAAATAGATATCACTTTAGAAAGGCATTTAGACAATAACTTCTTAAAGTATATTGGTGTGTTTAATTAACATACATAGTTCCTCCTTTTGACCACATATTTTAGAACATCTTTATATAACAGGCCAAATTAAAAGACGTTTGGTATGGAAGCTACTTTTTTTTTTTTTTTTTTTTTTTTTTTTTTTTTTTTTTGAGACAGAGCCTTTTTCTCTCACCCAGGCTGGAGTGCAATGGCACCATCTCGGCTAACTGCAACCTCCGTCTCCTGGGTTCAAGCATCCGGGTTATCCTGCCTCAACCTCCAGAGCAGATGGGATTACAGGCACCCACCACCATGCCCAGCTAATTTTTATAGTTTTAGTAGAGAGGGGGTTTCACCATGTTGGCCAGGCTGGTCTTGAACTCCTGACCTCAAGTGATCCACCTGCCTTGGCCTCCCAAAGTGCTGGGATTACAGGGGTGAGCCACTGCGCCTGACCTGGAAGCTGCATTTTAACTGAGCAAACATTTATGAGGACCTACCGTGTGATGAGCAGATGAGCACTACGGACATAGAAGGCTGAATGATAAAGTTCTCGTCCTTGAAGAAGATCACGGAAAAGAAAATCTGAAGAAGTGAAATATTGCTTTAAAAAAATCCTTGCAATTGTATTGGGTTTACCATATTACTTTAGTCATCACATTAAAATACATAGAGCATTTTTGAAGAAGTCAGTCAGGCAAGTGCTATTATTCCCATTTTACAGATGAGGCTATGCTGCTAAGAAACTGAGGTACTTGCTCAAGATCATATGGTTAGAAAGTGGTAGATCCGGGCCAGACGCGCGGTGGCTCACGTCTGTAATCCCAGCACTTTGGATGGCCAAGACGGGTGGATCACGAAGTCAGGAGTTCAAGACCAGCCTGGTCAAGAGGGTGAACCTGTCTCTACTAAAAATACGAAAATTAGCCAGACGTGGTGGTGCGTGCCTATAATCCCAGCTACTCAAGAGGCTGAGGTAGAGAATTGCTTGAACCCGGGAGGCGGAATTTGCAGTGAGCTGAGATCGCACCACTGCACTCCAGCCAGGGCTACAGAGCAAGACTCCGCCTCAAAAAAAAAAAAAAAAAAAAAAGAAAGAAAGTGGTAGACCCACACATTAGCCGGCCTTTACCCAGCATTATCAGCTTTTCAAAGCACTACCACAAGAAGGCTCTGCACACATATTGAGAAGGAACTCCAAGCAGACATCTGTGCTCTCCAATGACAGCCACTAGCCACATATGGATATTTAAATTGAAATTAATTAAAAAATATTAAATATTCAGGTTTTCAGTGGTGCCAGCGACATTTTAAATTCTCAATAGCCACTTGTAGCTAGTGGCTACCAGATTGAACAGCACAGAATAGAACATTTCCATAATTCCAGAAAATTCTATAAGCTAGCACTACTACTAATTCATTTTAATTGGCATGTATTAACAAATAACAATCAATGCTTATTAACGTGAGACTTCATTTAAACTTCGTAACAACCTCACGAGGAAGGCTGTATTATTATCTCCATTTTCAGACGAAAGAACTGAGGCCAGAAGGATTAAGCAACTTGCTCAAGATCACGTGTCTAGTGAGGAGGTATAGTTGGGATTTGAATTCAGTTAGTCTAGCACCAGAGTGGGTGACTTAACCACTGTGTCAGTCATTCTCCAAGTGTGGTGCCCCAGGCAGCAGTAGCAGCACCTGGAAACTTGTTTGAAATTCAAATGATCAGGCCCCACCAGACTGCTGAATCAGAAACTCATGGTGGGGGTGTCCAGCCATAGGTTTTAACCAGCCCCCTCACCCCCAGCCGACACTGATGCAAGCTCAGGTTTGACCACGGCACTTTTCTATGTTGCATCCCACTTTTTAAGCGTCTCTGACATGCCCAGTGCAATGCTAAGCCTTGACTATTGGAGTCTTTTAAACAGGAAATAATGTGTCCAAGGAATCTTTTTAACAGAATAAAAAGAATAATTATTAATTAACATGCACTGAGCACTTGCCCTACAGAAGAGTTGGGGGTCCATTTTTCACTGAAGTAGACTCAGAGCCATTATCTAATTTGCCCGTGGTCACCCGGCTCCTATGTGGTGGGCTAAGGAATGGGAAGCCAGGACCCAGACTCCACCGGCCCTCCTCTTCCCCACCAGGACAGTGGACAGTATTTGGTGGACCTGTTGAGTAAGAAGTAACACGTCCTGTCCCTAAATACAAATTCCTTTTTTAATCTACTGCTTGGAGTGTCCTCACTTCTATTCTCCTAAAGGAAACAGACTCTCCCTTTTTCCCCTCCAGGTAACATTCTATCGATTTTTAAAAAATAACTAGCCCAACAGAATAATAACTTTTCACCTCAAAAGATTTCTATCCTGGAGCATGCCAACCTGAGATTCAGAATTTTTTTTTTTCTTTCTTTTGAGGCAGAATCTCACTCATTCTGCTGCCCAGGCTGGAGTATAGTGGCGCAATCTCAGCTCATTGCAACCTCCGCCTCCCAGGTTCAAGTGGTTCTCCTGCCTCAGCCTTCCAAGTAGCTGGGATTACAGGCGCCCACCACCACCATGCCTGTTTAATTTTTGTATGTTTAGTAGAGACGAGGCTTCACCAGGCTTAGCCAGGCTGCTCTCGAACTCCTGACCTCAAGTTATTGGCCCGCCTCGGCCTCCCAAAGTGCTGGAATTACAGGTGTGAGCCATTGTGCCCGGCCAAGATTCAGAATTTCTATCATTGGAGGATTTCAGATAAGATCAGGCCCATTCTGGGTGATATGGCCATATACTTTCTGGAGGTTTTCAAACAGCAGACATCCCTCCATTTATTCTTCCATGTAACAGATCTTTATCGAATACCTACTATGTGACACACACAATCCTAGGCAACAAAGAAGCAGCAATGAATAAAAGACAAGGCTCCTCCCCTCACAG
Organism: Homo sapiens; assembly: GCF_000001405.40. Lineage (NCBI taxonomy): Eukaryota > Metazoa > Chordata > Mammalia > Primates > Hominidae > Homo > Homo sapiens. Next base: position 101,529,984 of record NC_000012.12, on the reverse strand, counting down.
GGCTTATATTCTTAGTGTCTTATAAGAAACTATATTCTTATATTGTTTGTGGGAGAGACACACAATACATAAGCAAATACGTAAAAACAATAAATGCAGATTGTATAACACAGTAAGAAGGCTGCTGTCTTAGGGAGTAAATGATGATCATTAGGGAAGACCACTCTGCAGAGGTGATGTTTAGGCTGATGTATAAAGGATGAGAAGATGCCTGTCTTCTGAAGAGCCTAGGAGATGGCATTTCAGACAGGGACAATGGCATTTACAAAGGCCCTGAGGTGGGAAAGAACTTGGCCAGTTCTAGGAGCTGACAGGCTGTGGGACATAGAGGACAATGGATACAGGTGGGCTGAACTGATTCTGGAGAGGTAGGCAGAGGCCAGGTCATGCAAGGCCCCATGGCCAAGGTAAAATATTTGCATTTTATTGTGAATGAGGGTTTGTGCTTTAATAAAGGAGCAGCACGATCTGATCACAATCTTTTACAGTTTTGAAAGATCACTCTGGCTGTGAAATGGTTTGAGTCTAGAGTGATGCTAAGCACGGTGGCTCATGCCCGTAATCCCACCACTTTGGGAGGCTGAGGCAGGAGGATCACTTGATTCCAGGAGTTCAAGATGAGCCTGGGCAACATAGTGACACCCCTTGTCTAGAAAAAATTAAAAATTAGCCAGGCATGGTGGTGTGTGCCTGTGGTCCCAGTTACTCGGGAGGCTGAGGCAGGAGGATCACTTGAGCTCAGGGGGTTGAGGCTGCAGTGAGCTATAATCATGCCACTGCACTCCAGCCTGGGTGACAGAACAAGACCCTGTCCCCCCAACAACGACAACAAAAGAGTCAAGGGTGGAAGTAGGGAGATCAGTTAGGAGGCTGACTGGATGATGGCAATGGAGATGGAGGTAAGTAAATAAACACAAGAGACATTTTGGAGGAAGATGATAGTGTACTCAGTACCTGATTAATAGACGGTGGAGACAGATGTGGTGGTGCACACTTGGGGTCCCAGCTATTAGAGAGGCTGAAGCAGGAGGATTGCTTGAGCCCAGGAGTTTGAGGCTGTAGTGAGCTATGATCACATCCTGCACTCTAGCCTGGGCAACAGAGTAATACCCTGTCTCAAAAAAAAGGAGGGGTGGTCAGTGAATAACTATGTACTCAATGAATGAGATAGTTCTAGATCCCACCCCTGGACAGTGTCTTAGTCAACATGTCTCCTCAGTACTTAATACAGTGCCTATTTAATAACTATTTGTTGAACAAATAAATCCAGCATGAGGACTCTAAAATGGACTCAGTAAGAAGAGTGCTAAGATCTCTTCTCTTCTGGCAGCTCTAATTTACGGAGTACCTTTTGTAAGCCAATTATACATTCATCAATTTGTCCTCACAACAACCCTATGAAATGGGTACTATTATCATCCCCATTTTACAGCTGGGAAAACAAATTCACAAACATATATACTCAATACACTTACTCTGTAAGTGTGTATCCAGTGTCTTATGTGCAGGGTTCCACGAATAATAAGTGGTAGAGCTAGTTTTGAATCCAGGACAGTCTGATTTTGAAGCTCATGCACTTTCACTAGGTTTACTACCTCTAGTAATAATTAAAGAATTGAAAATTCTGCTGGGCCTGGTGGCAGATACCTGTAGTTCCAGGTATGCCAGAGGCTGAGGCGAGAGGATCACTTGAGCCCAGGTGTTTGAGACCAGCCTGGGCAACATAGCAAGACCCCCCACCTCTAAAAAAAAAAAAAGAGAGAGAGAGAGAGAAGAAAAGAAAAGAAAAATGTATAACCTTGCCAAACCTGCTCCATAATTTACAGATAACGGCATGTACAAAATGGGAGCTGGTTAGGCTGGGTTTAGATCACACCATAAGCCTGTACCCCTGACCTTTTATCCCCAACTCAGAATACTCCTATGCCTGACACCAGGATATCTTGCCACGGGTGGAGACAGGGAGCTGGCCGGCTCTGTGTGTCTGCATTCCCACTCGCTGTCCCAAAGGCCCAATCGCTTGCAGTTCCCCGACGTCGTGCCTTGATTGCTAAGTCTGGTCTGGCACAGGGGCAGAGGGACTCCAAGGCCTAGGAGCTGAGAACTCTTGCTGGTGGCTCAAGAGAGCCAGATAACACAAGCCAGACGCCGGCATGCTAAAAAGAGGGAGTGCTATTTTGAGAATCTGGTCAAGCGATGTTTCACAGTGGAAAAGTGGTGGCACTCTGCAGCAGGATGTGACCTGACATGAGTTACAGCTCAGGTGTCAGTGCTCTGGGTTTCTATTTTTATTGCTAAACTTGCAATTTGAACTCTAAAAGGGCCGGCCCCCTAGGAAAGAGGTAAAAGTTAATATGAAATTTGAAAACCTTACTGGCAAATGTCACAGATAAAGACTGGAGATTCAATCTGTTGAGTCCATCATAAGACGGCTACACAAATGAACACCATGCAGCTATAAAATGATGATACGAAGTGTTGCTTGTCAACAAGGAAATACATTCATATGAAATTTTTCCATGCAAAAAGACGGTTACAAAACAGTGTAAGTTATGGCATCATTTTATAAAGTATTTGCATGTGTTTATGTGTATAGAAAAAGGAGACCTAAAATGGTGGTTATTGAGTCTTTATATTTAGTCGATAAACTTTTTTTTCTTTTTTTTGAAACTGAGTCTCACTCTGTCACACAGGCTGGAGTGCAGTGGTGCGATCTTGGCTCACTGCAGCCTCCACCTCCAGAGTTCAAGCGATTCTCGTGCCTCAGCCACCCAAGTAGCTGGGATTACAGGCGTGTGCCACCATGCCCAACTAATTTTTGTATTTTTAGTAGAGATGGAGTTTCATCATGTTGACTAGGCTGGTCTTGAACTACTGGTCTCAAGTGATCCACCTACCTCGGCCTCCCAAAGTGCTGGGATTACAGGCAAGAGCCACTGCGTCTGGCCTATGAACTTTTTATAAATATAGATTATGTGGATATAACCAGAAAATAAAAGATGAAGCAATTTCCATTTTTAAGGAAAAGATACGGTGATCAAGGGATCCAAGACAAGCGATTAAGGGAAATCCTCTAGGGTGAGGTTTGGGTAAGAAAGCACCCACATCCTTAGCTCAAGCTTTGTTTCTGCTATTCTCATAAAACAAAGTGTTCTGTTTCTAAAATTGTCCTCAATTTGTTTATATAATGTTGATTTGATGTGATTTGCAGATTAGATGTATAGATTTGTATTCAAACAACATCTAAAAAGTCAATGAAGGTAAAAAGAAGCTGTAAAAATTAATCAGGCATCATGTCCAAAAGTTTACAGTCAGTGCACAGGGACTAATTAACGTTGAATGCTTTGGCCAGAGCCAAGACAACTATTTATGTAGGGCTAACAGACATCTACTAAAGGCAGAGAGCCCTGGGAGAGGAGAGATGAAGTCTGCAAGGCAGGACATCAAAGAGCTTCCAGCACTGTGACTATGAGAGTTGAAAAAGAACACATTGAATAGGGGAAATAGAAAGTTCACCTCACCATGTGACAGCGCAGAACTCACCTGTCCTCTTCAGTCTTCAGCTCTCCAATTTAGAGAGACGGTTTTCACTCTCAATTTTCTTCTTGAGTAGATATTCTCCTAAACCTTGATTCATTTAAATGGCATAATATTTTGAGTAAATATTTAACCTAAAAGAGGTGTTGTCATTTTCATTAACAGTTTGGAAGATATGAAATATATTAAATATGATGCAATTATGATACAGAGCACAAAGTTCTATGTGGGTGTGTTATGGATTGAATTATGTTTCTGCAAAATTCATATATTGAAGTCTTAACCCCTAATATCTCAGAGTGTGGACTTTTCCTTTTCTTTTTTTTTTCTTTTTAGACAGAGTTTTGCTCTTGTCGCCTGTGCTGGAGGGCAGTGGAGCAATCTTGGTTCACTGCAACTTCCACCTCCCAAGTTCAAGCAATTCTCCTGCCTTAGCAATCCAGTAGCTGGGATTACAGGCACCCGCCACCACGCCCGGCTAATTTTTGTATTTTTATTTTTAAAAAATTTTTTGAGATGGAGTTTTGCTCTTGTTGCCCAGGCTGGAGCGAAGTGGCATGATCTCGGCTCACTGCAACCTCTGCCTACTAGGTTCAAGTGATTCTCTTGCCCCACCCTCCCTGTAGCTGGGATTACAGGCACCCACCACCACACCCAGCTAATTTTTGTATTTTTAGTAGAGATGGGATTTCACCATGTTGGCCAGGCTGGTCTCGAACTCTTGACCTCAGGTAATCCACCCACCTCGGCCTCCCAGAGTGCTGGGATTACAGGCGTGAGCCACCATGCCCTGCCAGAATGTGGCCTTATTTGGAAACATAGTCGATAGGGATGTAATTAGTTAAGAAGAGGTCATACTAGAATAGCGTGAGTCCTAATTAAATATGACTGGTATCCTTATAAAAAGGGGAAATCTGGACAGAGAGACAGACATGCATAGAAGGAAGACACAGAGAGAAGATCCACATGAGTGTTGCCATGCATGAAGATCCACAGAGAGAAGGTGATCACCTGCAGGCCAAGGAGAGAGGTCTGGAGCAGATCCTCCCCTCATTGCCCTCAGGAGGAGCCAACCCTGCTGGCACCTTGATTTTGAACTTCTAGCCTCCAGAACTGTGACATAATATATTATTGTCATTAAGCCACTCAGTTTGCAACACTTTGCTTCAGTAAACTAACACAGAATGCAATATATTCTAATGATATTTGTGTGTTTAATTCTACCAAGAAGTATTGAAGGTGACTTATCATGTTTTCCTCATTTATGGGCGACATCCCCAAAGCTCATAAGTAAAGGGCTTGACCAAGGTCAAGTAGAGCCACAAATTGTCTCCATGTTCTCTTTCTAAATCTGGGTTCCCCAGAAACAATTCTCCACCTAAATCCTTAGAAGGATGTCACAAATGGTAAAGTCATTTATTCCTAGCAAACCAAACCTTTGCTGAGGATGCAGACTTTGTTACCCATTAATAGCAGAAAGGATGCTAGATCAATTATTAAAAGTACCAGCCGGGCGCAGTGGCTCAAGCCTGTAATCCCAGCACTTTGGGAGGCTGAGGTGGGTGGATCACGAGGTCAAGAGATTGAGACCATGACCATACTGGCCAACATGGTGAAACCCCGTCTCTATGAAAAATACAAAAATTAGCTGGGCATGGTGGTGTGCACCTGTAGTCTCAGCTACTTGGGAGGCTGAGGCAGGAGAATCACTTGAACCCGGGAGGCAGAGGTTGCAGTGAGCCAAGATTGAGCCACTGCACTCCAGCCTGGCAACACAGCAAGACTCTGTCCAAAAAAAAAAAAAAAAGTACCATGAAAAATTTAAGGAGGAATTTGTGCTTGCTGAGTTTTCTCCAAAAGAAGAAAATCATCATTTAACATGAAAAGCCGTAAGCATCCCTGAGTAGTGGCAGGTATCAGTGGATTGATACTCAGGGTGGCAGGAGGGGAAAAGACATAATAGCAAAATACACAAAATAAATAACCAGGCAGGGGAGGCAACTGACCTCAGTATTGAGACCATGTTATTCCCCCTGTTAGCTTCCTTCAAAGTTCTTAAAATCCTTCTTATGGCCCTTAGGATCAAATCACACTCCAGCCCTGACCTCCAAGGCCTGCCCTCCAGCTCGTCTCATCTCATTCTTTCTCTCATCACATGCATGCTGCCCCCAGCTTCTCACATGACTGGCTCATTCTTCAGGTCTCAATGCAGAGATCATCTCTTTAGGGAGGCCTTCCCTGCCTACCTGATGTAACATGGACCCCCTCCACCATCTTGATTCCATGTTCCACTTTGAATTCTCTGAAGGGCACTTAGGACATTTTTGTTTAACTACTTATTTGGTCATGATCTGTCTTTCCATTCTAGAAAATGAGATCCATGAAAGCGGGGACCTCATCTGTCCTGTGTTCCTCGCAATGCTCAGTGGGGTTCAATAAATGTTGGCTGAATAAATGAATGGGCAATTTTCATTTAAATTAATAAAGAAGTTTGGGCCCGCTGTGGTGGGTGACACCTGTAATCCCAGCACGTTGGGAAGGCTGAGGCTGGAGGATTGCTTGAGGTCAGGAGTTCGAGACCAACCTGGGCAATATGCTGAGACCTCATCTCTTTTGGCAGTTTATGGAATGTTTCATTGAAATTCTGTTGGTGCCAATTATTAATATAATATTAGTGCAGGAGTATGGGGGGAGGTCTTTAACAAAATTAAGCATCCCACACACACTGTGAGAGGCTGAATGGTTTTTCTTTTCTTTCCCTTTTTTCTCTTTCTTTTTCTTTTTTTTTTTTCTTTTTCTTTTTTTTGAGCTGGAATTTTGCTGTGTCACCCTGGATGGAGTGCCGTAGCACAGTCTTGACTCACTGCAACCTCCACCTCCCGGGTTCAAGCTATTCTCCTGCTTCAGCCTCCCAAGCAGCTGGGACTAAAGGCACACACTGCCACACCTGGCTAGTTTTTGTATTTTCAGTAGAGGCGGGGTTTCTCCATGTTGGCCAAGCTGGTGTCAAACTCCGAACCTTAAGCAATCCACCCGCCTCAGCCTCCCAAAGTGCTGGGATTACAGGCGTGGGCTACCATGCCCAGCCTGGCTGAATGGTTTCTTTCTTGACCCTAGAGTAGGAGAGTGTGACTGTATGACGTATAGAAGAATCTCAGTACACCAGGTCCTCACAAAATGTCCTTTCTTTCAACATCGTTTCCTTATAACGTTGATGAGGAAAAAAAATGCTTCCTAGCTGGGGCTGCAGTCTGAAATTTGCATGTTCCCTCCATGTCTGCATAGATGTTCTTCAGGTTCTTCGGTTTCCTCCCACATTCCAAAGATGTGTGCATGTTAGGTTAACTGGCACGACTGAGTGGTCCCAGGGTGAGTAAGCGTGGGTGTGGGAGTGGGTATGGGTGTGGTTGTGAGTGTGCCCTGCAGTGAAATGGTGTCCTGTTCAGGGATGGTACCTGCCTTGTGCCTTGAGTGCCTCAGTCAGGCTCCAGCCTCCTGAGACCCTGAACTGAAATAATTGGGTAAATCATTATCTTACCTGTTTTTATTAATTCTTCTTAAACATAGGTATAGCTTACATTCGTTTCAATGTTTAACATGAGAAGTGTTTTGATCTTTATTTAGAAATTTGGTGATGTTGGCTGGGTGTGGTGGCTCACACCTGTAATCCCAGCACTTTGGGGGGCCGAGGCAGGTGGATCACCTGAGGTCGGGAGTTCGAGACCAGCCTGACCAACATGCAGAAATCCCGTCTCTACTAAAAATACAAAAACAAACAAACAAACAAACAAAATTAGTGAGGCGTGGTGGCACATGACTGTAATCCCAGCTACTTGGGAGGCTGAGGCAGGAGAAGCGCTTGAACCCGGGAGGTGGAGGTTGTGGTAAGCCAAGATTGTGCCATTGCACTCCAGCCTGGGAAACAAGAGCAAAACTCCATCTCAAAAAAAAACAAAAAAAAAGAAATTTGGTGATGTTTTTGTGACCAGAAATATGCCATAAGAACTTAGCTCTTGTTTATATAAATTAGCCTATGGTCAAATTGGTTTCTTTATATGTCATTTAGCCTAAAGTCACCGTTTCCAAGAACTTGTCAATGATGTTAAGTGAGGACTTGCATATGATGATGCAGTTTGGGCTTGAAAACCTGAACAGTCCATAGAGAAGAAATGCTCCTGCATAAGAGTAGCAAATGAAATTTCCTTCCCGGTCCACTGACTTCACCAACTTTGTTCAGTAAGCATGTTAGTTAGATCAGGGTCTCTATTGTCAGTCAGCCTGGGCTTGTACCCCAGCTCTGCCCCTTCTTCACTGTGACCCCTTACACAAATCATAACCTTTCAGAGTCTCACTTTCTTCATCTGTGTGGATGATAATTATTGCATACTAGATCCAGAATTCCTATGTAGCAAGGGCTTAGGAGCAGCAGTGTGGTTGGAAAGAGATGTGAGGAGATTTGTTTAGAGCTGGTTTGGCTCTTTATTTAGATTGTTTATTTTGAGGCCCTGATGGAGATTTGGTGGACTTTGTGTAGACCTTCCAAGATACCTGTTGGTACCACCACTGGGTTGTTGAGTGGATTTAGTAAGATAAGATTTAAAAGCCCTTAGCAGAGTTCCTGGCACATAATAAGGGCTCAACAAATGTTCCCTGCTGCATCGATGCCATGTGGATGCTCAGAAGAGTAACATAAGGTCCCCTTCTAAACAAACAATCAAACTGGGTTTTCCAAAGTGGGCAAGGGAGGGTGGGTGTCTCAACAAGTCCCTGGGGAGTACCAGTGTCCAGAGAAGAGACAAGCTTCGAGTTCAACTAGTAGATCTTTAAGGACTCAAAATGTAATTTCCCCAAATACATTGTCTCTCAATAAAAAAAAAAAAAAGAAGTTTGGAAGTTTATAAGATGTTTCATTCAAAGGAGACTTTGAATAGGAGACTTAAGAGTCTCCCTACTTTTGAATCCTTAGAAAAATTTATATTATGACTGATATAGTTTGGCTCTCTGTCCCCATCCAAATCTGATGTCAAACTGTAATCCCCATGTGTCAGGGAAGGACCTGGTGGAAAGTGATTGCATCATGGGGACAGATTTCCCCCATGCTGTTCTCATGATAGTGAGTGAGTTCTCACGAGATCTGATGGTTTAAAAGTGTGACATCTCCCCCCACCACTTGTCTTCTGCCTCCCTGTGAAGAAAGTGCTTGCTTCCCCATCATGATTGTAAGTTTCCAAAGGCCTCCCAGTCATGCTTCCTGTTAAGCCTGCAGAACTGTGAGTCAATTAAACCTCTTTTCTTCATAAATTACCCAGTCTCAGGTAGTTCTTTATAGCAGTGAGAAAACAGACTTATACACTGCCACACTCTTGCAATTACTTTATTTTTTGCAACAAAGTTCTGTTTGGGGAAGAGTTATTTGTCTGAAACCACCTCGATCAATGTTCATCTGAAAGGCTTATAAAATTGGTAAAAATGGAGATGAAAAATCTAACACAGATTTAGTTATAATTTCTGAGGATGTGACTTCACAATTGTGAGTGTTGGTGTCAGCAAGATTTTTAAAGTTCACTTTAAATTTATTCCTTCTATCTTACTATATGTTGTACCCTTTAATCCACTTCTATTCATCCCCTCCTCTCCCCACAGCTCACCCTTCCCAGTCTCTGTTATCTATATTTTCACTCTTACCTCCATGTGAGCAAATATTTTAGCTCCCACATATGAGCCAGAATGTGTGGTATTTGTCTTTTTGTGCCTGGCTTATTTCACTTAAGATAATGGCTTCCAATTCCATCCATGTTGCTGCAAATGACATGACTTTATTCTTTTTTATGGTCTAATAGTTTCCTATTGTGCGTATATAACACATTTTAAAATCCAGTCATCTGTTGATGGACATTTAGGTTGATTCCATATCTTTGCTATTGCGAATAGCTCTGTGATAAACATGTGAGGACAGGTATCCCGTTGATATATTGATTTCTTTTCTTGTGGGTAGATACCCAGTAGTGGGATTGCTGGATCATATGGAAGTTCTATTTTTAGTTTTTTGAGACACCTCCATACTGTTTTCCATAGTGGCTATTCTAATTTTCATTCCCACCAACAGTGTGTAAGAGTTCTCTTTTTTCCGCATCCTAGCCATCTGTTATTTTTTTGTATAAAAAAGATGACCTTAACGTTTGCAAATGAGTACTTGGTCTTGCAATGACATTTCTTGTAATGGAATCATAAGTGATTCAAGGAGAGCTATAGAAACAATTCAGATGGCAAGGACAAATTAGGTTGGTGGCTTAAAAAGTGGCCCCAGTGACTTGGATGCTAAAGACCCATGTAAAAATGGAATAAAAACATTCTGTAGAATAAGAACACTTTTAAAAAACACTTTTCCTGGCCAGGCGCAGTGGCTCACACCTGTAATCCCAGCACTTTGGGAGGCTGAGGAGGGTGGATCACGAGGTCAGGAGTTTGAGACCAGCCTGACCAACATGGTGAAACCCCATCTCTACTAAAAACACAAAAATTAGCTGGGTGTGGTGGCAGGCACCTGTAATCCCAGCTACTCAGAAGGCTGAGGCAGGAGAATAACTTGAACCCAGGAGGCGGAGGTTGCAGTTAGCTGAGATCGTGCCGTTATACTCCAGCCTGGGTGACAGAGCAAGACTTTGTCTCAAAAAAAAAAGCAGTTTTTCTGAGTTAATATTGGCTGTGGGTTGAAAGTATGTGTCCCCTCCAAATTCATATTTTGAATCTCTAATTCCCAATGTGACTGTATTGGAGTAAGGATGTAATTAAGGTTAAAAGGGGTCTTTAAGGGTGGGGCCCTGATCTCCTGGGATTAGTGTCTTTATAAGAAGAGACACTAAAGAGTTCTCTGTCTCTCGCCTTCTCCTCCCCACCTCTTGAGGACAGAGCAAGAAGATAGCAATTGCCATGCCAGGAAGGGAGCCCTCATTGGGAACTAAATTGGCTGGCACCTTGATCTTGGACTTCCCACACTCCAGAACTGTGAGAAATAAATTTCTGTTGTTAAAGCCACCAAGTCTGCTGTGTTTTGCTGTAGAAGCTTATATTAGTCAGGGTTCTCCAAAAAAATAGAATGTGTGTGTGTGTGTGTGTGTGTGTGTGTGTGTAAAGAGATTTATTGTAATGAATTGGCTTATCCAATTATAAAGGCGGAGAAGTCTCAAGATCAGCAGTCAGTGAGCTGGAGATGTGGGACAGCTGATGGTGTAGCTCCAGTCTGAATTTGAAGGCCTGAGAACCAGGAGAGCCTGCAGTGTTAAGTGGTTTCAGTCTGACTTCAGAGGCAAGAAAAGACCAATGTCCCAACTCAAGCAGTGAGACTAGAGTTCTTTCTTACTTAGCCTTTTTGCTCTATTAAGGCTTTCAATTCATTGAATGAGGCCCATACACATTAGGGAGGGTGTGGTATGATATGTATGTGTACATGCATGGTGTGTGTGTATGTGCATGTGTGTGTGTATAGGTTTTCGTCCATGGTTCCTGGCTCATAATTCCCATAGTTTTATTATAATGTTGGGGTGCTATAGACCTCAGAAATAGGCCCAGAAACCAGACTCTCTCTCTCTGACCTTCTTCTGCCCTCCCTTTACCTGCTCCTTTATCTTTCCAAGGCAAGAATCTCCCCTCACCTTTCTTTTATTTTATTATTATTTTTTTAATTGAGATGGAGTCTCACTCTGTTGCCCAGGCTGGAGTGCGGTGGCATGATCTCAGCTCACTGCAATCTCTGCCTCCCAGGTTCAAGTGATTCTCCTGCTTCAGCCACCTGAGTAGCTGGGATTACAGGTGTGTGCCACCACACCCAGCTAATTTTTGTATTTTTAGCAGAGATGGAATTTCGCCATGTTGGCCAGGCTGGTTTTGAACTCCTGGCTCAGGTGATCTGCCTGCCTCGGCCTCACAAAGTGCTGGGATTACATGCATGATCCACCATACCCAGACATCTTTCTATTAATATCTTAAAGTTGGCCATGTACGCCTGGTGTAGTGCCTCATGCCGGTAACCCCAACACTTTAGAGGCCATGGCAGGTGGATCCCTTGAGCCCAGGAGTTCAAGACCACCCTGAGCGACATGGCAAGACCCCATATCCACCAAAAACAAATACAAAAATCAGCTAGATGTGGCGGTGTGTGCCTGTAGTCCCAGCTACTTGGAAGGCTGAGGAGGGAGGATCGCTTGAGCCCATGAGGCAGAGGTTACAGTGAGCTGAGATCATGCCACTGCACTCCAACCTGGGTGACAGAGTGAGACCCTATCTCAATAAATAAATGAATAAATAAAGTTGGCCATGAAGAAATCCTCTGACTCACCTTGTCTGATAGTAGGTCATAAGACCCCCATTTCAGAAGGGTTTCTGCCATGTACTCCAGAGGAAGGGATGCTGCACAGAGAGGCCAAGAAGAATCTGAATGTGTTTCCCCACTTGGTTTATAGTATTAGATCACACCCTTTTTGTCCAGTCACTTTTCTGCATGTTGGTCAATCATGCCTATGCAATGAAATCTCCATAAAAGGCCCTAGAGAACAGGGTTCGGGGGGCTTCTGGATAGCTGAACATGTGGAGGTTCCTGCAGGGTGGAACACTCAGGGAGAGCATGGAAGGTCCATGCTTTTAGACCCATAGCTCATCCTGTGCGTTGCTTCATCTGTATCATTTATAATATCCTTTACCATCAGCCAGTTAACATAAGTAAGTGTTTCCCTGATTTCTGCCAGCTACTGGAGCAAATTAATAAAGAAGAGTCATGGGAACTTCAACTTGAAGCCAATCAGAAGTTCTGGAGGCCCAGGCTTGTGACTGGCACCTGGAAGATAGGGGAGGCAGTCTTGTGGGACTGAGCTCTCGACCTGTGGGATTTGACACTATCTTCAGGCAGATAGTGTCAGAACTGAACCAGAGGACACCTAGCTGGTATCTGCTGCAGAATCATTTACTCATTTGCTGGTGGGGAAAATCCCATGCACATCAGGTTACAGAAGTCTTCTGGGTTGATTTTTGTTGTGTGAGAGCAAAAGAACAGTTTGAGTTCTTCTGCTATAACAGAGGGCAACTTCCCTTATTCAGTCTGCCAATTCAAATGTTAATCTCCTCCAGAAACACCTGAATAATATAGACACAGTCAGAATAATGTGTGGCCAAATATCTAGGCAACCTGTGGCCCCGTCCAGTTGACACATAAAATCAACTATCACCAGTCCACCTCTTGTCAACTTGGCACCCATACATATCTCTTTAAACCAATAACACATTTATATTATTGATATAATTATAAATTATTCTATATTATTTTATATACATAATTTTAAATATTTATGAGTAATAACATTACTATACTAAATGTAGTCATTTGACTAATCTATACCATAGAAGTTTGTATTTTCTTTTTCTTTTTTTTGAGACGGAGTCTCCCTCTGTCGCCCAGGCTGGAGTACAATGGAGCGATCTTGGCTTACTGCAACCTCCGCCTCCCGGGTTCAAGCAATTCTCCTGCCTCAGCCTCCTGAGTAGCTGGGATTACAGGTGCATGCCACCAGGCCCAGCTAATTTTTTGTATTTTCAGTAGAGACGGAGTTTCACCGTGTTCCCCAGGCTGGTCTCAAACTCCTGGACTCAGGCAATCCACCCACCTCGGCCTCCCAAAGTGCTAGGATTACAGGCATGAGCCACCGTGCCTGGCTGAAGTTTGTATTTTCAAGTGACTGAAAACTTGCTTTTTGGACTTCTCAGTGAGAAAACAAGGGATTGAGTTATATATGGAGTCAGTTTTAATTGGGGGAAATATAGCTTTTCTGTGGGGCAGATATGTCATTTAGCCCTCATGATAGCCTTGAGAGACAGTAATATCTACATTAGAACAACAAATAATAATAATTCTTTGTGTCTCAAATAATTTAAGTCACTTGTCCAAGAATGAAGATTCAAACTCAGATTTTTCTACTCTAAATCTGGTGTACTTTCACCGAAGGAACTTAATACTTGTCAACCACTCATATTAAAAAGCACAACACCATATGCCATAAGCCTTGTTGTAATGCTCTTTCATCTATTTAATTTTCTATGCCATAAGCCTTGTTGTAATGCTCTTTCATCTATTTAATTTTCTATGCCATAAGCCTTGTTGTAATGCTCTTTCATCTATTTAATTTCAGCTATAACTATTTAATTTACCTGTGATTCCCTTTCTCCTACAAATGACTTGCCAGATAGTCATAGTCTCCTCATCAAAAGCCATATACCAGCCAGGCATAGTGGCTCATGTCTGTAATCCTCGCACTTTGGGAGGCTGAGATGGGAGGATCACCTGAGGTCAGCAGTTTGAGACCAGCCTGGCCAAAATGGTGAAACCCCATCTCTACTAAAAATATAAAAATCAGCCGGGTGGGGTGGCTCACACCTGTAATCCCAGCATTTAGGGAGGCTGAGGCAGGTGGATCACGAGGTCAGGAGATCGAGACCATCCTGGCCAACGTGGTGAAACTCTGTCTACTAAAAATACAAAAATTAGCTGGGCACGGGTGGTGGTGGGCGCCTGTAGTCCCAGCTACTCAGGAGGCTGAGGCAGGAGAATCACTTGAACCTGGGAGGTGGAGGTTGCAGTGAGTCGAGATCGCGCCACTGCACTCCAGCCTGGGTGACAGAGAGAGACTCCACCTCAAAAAAAAAAAAAAAAAAACCATATACCAATCCAAGAAATAAGTTTAAAAATTCTCTTCTCTTTTACATGTTTTTAAATCATTTTTATTTTCAATATTTAGATGCAGAGGGTACATGTGCAGGTTTGTTACATGGATATATTGCATGATGATGAGGTTTGGGCTTTGATTGAACCCAGCACCCAGATAGTGAACATAGTACCCAAGAGACAGTTTTTCAATTCTTGCCCCCTTCCTTCTCATCGCCTTTTGGAGTCCCCAGTATCTATTGTTCCCAGCATTATGTCCACGCATACACAATGTTTAGCTCCCACTTGTAAGTGAGAACATGTGGTATTTGGTTTTCTATTCTTATGTTAATTCACTTAAGATAAGAGCCTCCAGCTGCGTTTATGTTGCTGCAAAGGACATGATTTCATTCTTTTTATGGCTGCATAGTATTCCATGATATATATTTACTACATTTTCTTTATCCAATCTACTGTTGATGGGCACTTGGTTTGAGTCCATATCTTGGTTATTATGAACAGTGCTGTGATAAACATGGAAATGCAGGTATCTTTTTGGTAGAATGATTGATTTTCGAATCAGTAATTCCAATACCCAGTAATGGAATTGCTGGTTTGAATGGTAACTCTGTTTTTAATTCTTTGAGAAATCTCCAAACTGCTTTCCACAGGGGCTGAACTAATTTACAACCCCACCAACAGTGTATGAGCATCCCCTTTTCTCTGCAACCTTGCCAACTTCTGTCATTTTCTGACTTTTAAATAATACCCATTCCGACTGGTGCATGATGGTATCTCATTGTGGTTTTGATTTGCATTTTTCTGATTATTAGTGATGTTGAACATTTTTTCATATGCTTGTTGGCCACTTGTATGCCTTCTTTTGAGAAGTATCTGTTCATGTCCTTTGCCTACTTTTTAATGGAGTTGTTTGTGCTTTTCTTATTGATTTGTTTAAGTTCTTTATAGATTCTGGATATTATTCCTTTGTCAGATGCATAGTTTGCAAATATTTTCTCCCATTCAGTAGGTTGTCTGCTTACTCTGTTAATGGTTTCTTTTGCTGTGCAGAAGCTCTTTAGTTTAATTATGTTCCAATTTTCAGTTTTTGTTTTTGTTGCATTTGCTTTACAGAATTGAGGAGGAAGTATTCCTCCCCAATTAATTCTATGCAATCAGTATTGTCTGATACCAAAATCTGGCAAAAACGCACACAAAAAAGAAAACTACAGGCCAATATTTCTGATGAACATAGATGCAAAAATCTTCAACAAAATACTAGCAAACTGAATCTGGCAGTTGAATTAACATCAAAAGTTAATTCACCACAATCAAGTAGGCTCTATTCCTGGGATGGAAGGATGTTTCAACATATGCAAATCAACAAATGTGATTCACCACATAAACAGAATTAAAAACAAAAACCATACGATCATTTTAATGGAGGCAGAAAAAGCATTCTATATAATCCAACATCTGACCAGGTGCGGTAACTCATGCCTATAATCCCAGCACTTTGGAAGGCCAAGGTGGCCAGATCATTTCAGGCTAGGAGTTTGAGAACACCCTGGACAACATGGTGAAACCCCTTCACTGCAAAAAATACAAAAATTAGCTGCGCATGGTGGCATGCGCCTCTGGTCCCAGCTACTCTGGAGACTGAGGTGGGAGGATTGTTTGAACCTGGGAGGTCAAGACTGCAGTGAGCTGTGATCATGCCACTGCACTCCAGCCTGGGTGACAGAGTGAGACCCTGTCTCAAAAAGCAACAAAAACCCAACATCCCTTCATGATATAAACCCTCAACAGACTAGGCATTAAAGGAACATAACTCAAAATAATAAGAGCCATCTATGACAAACCCACAGCAAATATCATGCTGAATAGGCAAAAGCTGGAAGCATTCCCCTCAAGAACTTGAATAAGACAAGGATGCCCACTCTCACCACTCCTATTCAATGTAGTACTGGAATTCCCAGCCAGAGCAATCAGGCAAGAGAAAGAAATAAAAAGGCATCCAAACAGGAAAAGAGGAGGTCACATTATCTCTCTTCGCTGATTATATGATTCCATACCTAGAAAACCCTAAAGATTACACCAAAAGACTCCTAGACCTGATAAACAACTTCAGTAAATTTCCAGGATGCAAAATCAATGTATAAAAACCAGTATCACTTCTAATTTTTTTATTTTTATTTTTTTGAGACAGAGTCTCACTCTGTCACCCAAACTGCAGTGCAGTAGCATGATCATGGCTCACTGCAGCCTTGACCTCCTGGGTCCAAGTGATCCTCTTACTTCAACTTCCCAAGTAGCCGGGACCACAGGTGTGTGCCACCACACCCAGCTAATTTTTGTATTTTTTTTTAAGAGATATAGTATCCCTATGTTGCTCAGGCTGGTCTCAGACTCCTGGACTCATGCTATCCTCCTACCTCAGCCTCCCAAAGTGCTGAAATTACAGATATGAGCCACTGTGCCTAGCCAGAATTTAGTAGCATTTCTATACACCAATAATGCTCAAGCTAAGAACCAAATAAAAAACATGATGCCATTTACAATAACTATACACAAAATAAAATATATCTAAAAAGGAGGTGAAATACCTCTACAAGGAGAACTACAAAACATTGCCGAAAGAAATTATAGATGACACAAACAAATGGAAGAACAGTCCATGCTCATAGATTGGAAGAAACAATATCATTAAAGTGTCCATACTGCCCAAAACAATCTATAGACTCAATGCAATTCCCATGAAATTACCAACATCATTCTTCACAGAATTAGAAAAACTATTACAAAACACATACAGAACCAAAAAAGAGTCTAATAGCCAAAGCCAGAAGCATCACATTATCCGACTTCAAACTATACTACAAGGCTATCATAACCAATACAGCATGGTATTGGTACAAAAATAGACATATAGACCAATAGAGCAGAATAGAGAACCCAGAAATAAAGTCGCACACCTACAACCAATTAATCTTAGACAAAGTTGACAAAAATAAACAATAGGGAAAGGACACTCTATTCTATAAACGTTGCTGCGAAAACTGGTTAACCATATGCAGAATAATGAAACTTGACTACTACCTCTCACCATGTACAAAAATTAACTCAAGATGGATTAGAGACATAACTGTGGCAGAGCATGGTGGCTCACATCTGTAATCTCATCACTTTGAAAGGCTGAAGCAGGTAGATCACTTGAAGCAAGGCATTCCAGACCAACCTGGGCAACATGGCAAAACCCCATCTCTACTAAAAATACAAAAATTAGCCAGGTGTGTTAGTGCATACCTATAGTTCCAGCTATTTGGGAGGCTGAGGCATGAGAACTGCTTGAACCTGGGAGGCGGAGGTTGCAGTGAGCCAAGATGGCACCACTGCACTCCAACCTGGGTGACAGAGCAAGACTCCATCTCAAAAAAAAAAAAAAAACAAAAAACTTAAATGTAAGACCTCATACTATAAAAAAATCCTAAAAGATAACCAGGAAATAATCTCCTAGACACTGGCCTAGGCAAATAATTTATGGCTAAGTTCTCTTCATTATTTTTTATTTATTTACCAACCAAAGTAAGTCTCTGTACTCCACCAAAGTCAAATGAGTTGAATAACTTATTCAGTATGAAGGTAATAAGATAGCAAAATATTTTTATGAGTTGGATTGACATATTCCTTCTGCCACTCAGGGGACATGATAGGATATTCTTGCTCTACAAAAATGTTTTTACATCATCCTGCTATCAAGTAGTCCCTACATAGAAATGTTTCTAAAAATATCTATAATAAATGTTGGGTTGTTTTTGCCTCTGAATAAATTTGCATAGAGAGACCTATAAGAAATATTAATTTCATGTGGGCAAATGCATATAACTGATAGTTTTCCTTGTATTTTATTTTTTTGTATTAATGTGAGGAGAGGTAGAAAATTTTTCTTGTGTCAAATAGACACAATAAAAAATGATAAAGGGGATATCACCACTGATCCCACAGAAATACAAACTACCATCAGAGAATACTACAAACACCTCTATGCAAATAAACTAGAAAATCTAGAAGAAATGGATACATTCCTCGACACATACACTCTCCCAAGACTAAACCACGAAGAAGTTGAATCTCTGAATAGACCAATAACAGGAGCTGAAATTGTGGCAATAATCAATAGTTTACCAACCAAAAAGAGTCCAGGACCAGATGGATTCACAGCCGAATTCTACCAGAGGTACAAGGAGGAACTGATACCATTCCTTCTGAAACTATTCCAATCAATAGAAAAAGAGGGAATCCTCCCTAACTCATTTTATGAGGCCAGCATCATTCTGATACCAAAGCCGGGCAGAGACACAACCAAAAAAGAGAATTTTAGACCAATATCCTTGATGAACATTGATGAAAAAATCCTCAATAAAATACTGGCAAACCGAATCCAGCAGCACATCAAAAAGCTTATCCACCATGATCAAGTGGGCTTCATCCCTGGGATGCAAGGCTGGTTCAATATACACAAATCAATAAATGTAATCCAGCATATAAACAGAGCCAAAGACAAAAACCACATGATTATCTCAATAGATGCAGAAAAGGCCTTTGACAAAATTCAACAACCCTTCATGCTAAAAACTCTCAATAAATTAGGTATTGATGGGACGTATTTCAAAATAATAAGAGCTATCTATGACAAACCCACAGCCAATATCATACTGAATGGGCAAAAACTGGAAGCATTCCCTTTGAAAACTGGCACAACACAGGGATGCCCTCTCTCACCGCTCCTATTCAACATAGTGTTGGAAGTTCTGGCCAGGGCAATCAGGCAGGAGAAGGAAATAAAGGGTATTCAATTAGGAAAAGAGGAAGTCAAATTGTCCCTGTTTGCAGACGACATGATTGTTTATCTAGAAAACCCCATCGTCTCAGCCCAAAACCTCCTTAAGCTGATAAGCAACTTCAGCAAAGTCTCAGGGTACAAAATCAATGTACAAAAATCACAAGCATTCTTATACACCAACAACAGACAAACAGAGAGCCAAATCATGAGTGAACTCCCATTCACAATTGCTTCAAAGAGAATAAAATACCTAGGAATCCAACTTACAAGGGATGTGAAGGACCTCTTCAAGGAGAACTACAGACCACTGCTCAAGGAAATAAAAGAGGATACAAACAAATGGAAGAACATTCCATGCTCATGGGTAGGAAGAATCAATATCGTGAAAATGGCCATACTGCCCAAGGTAATTTACAGATTCAATGCCATCCCCATCAAGCTACCAATGACTTTCTTCACAGAATTGGAAAAAACTACTTTAAAGTTCATATGGAACCAAAAAAGAGCCTGCATCGCCAAGTCAATCCTAAGCCAAAAGAACAAAGCTGGAGGCATCACACTACCTGACTTCAAATTATACTACAAGGCTACAGTAACCAAAACAGCATGGTACTTGTACCAAAACAGAGATATAGATCAATGGAACAGAACAGAGCCCTCAGAAATAATGCCGCATACCTACAACTATCTGATCTTTGACAAACCTGAGAAAAACAAGCAATGGGGAAAGGATTCCCTATTTAATAAATGGTGCTGGGAAAACTGGCTAGCCATATGTAGAAAGCTGAAACTGGATCCCTTCCTTACACCTTATACAAAAATCAATTCAAGATGGATTAAAGATTTAAACGTTAGACCTAAAACCATAAAAACCCTAGAAGAAAACCTAGGCATTACCATTCAGGACATAGGCATGGGCAAGGACTTCATGTCCGAAACACCAAAAGCAATGGCAACAAAAGACAAAATTGACAAATGGGATCTAATTAAACTAAAGAGCTTCTGCACAGCAAAAGAAACTACCATCAGAGTGAACAGGCAACCTACAACATGGGAGAAAATTTTCGCAACCTACTCATCTGACAAAGGGCTAATATCCAGAATCTACAATGAACTCAAACAAATTTACAAGAAAAAAACAAACAACCCCATCAAAAAGTGGGCGAAGGACATGAACAGACACTTCTCAAAAGAAGACATTTATGCAGCCAAAAAACACATGAAAAAATGCTCATCATCACTGGCCATCAGAGAAATGCAAATCAAAACCACTATGAGATATCATCTCACACCAGTTAGAATGGCAATGATTAAAAAGTCAGGAAACAACAGGTGCTGGAGAGGATGTGGAGAAATAGGAACACTTTTACACTGTTGGTGGGACTGTAAACTAGTTCAACCATTGTGGAAGTCAGTGTGGCGATTCCTCAGGGATCTAGAACTAGAAATACCATTTGACCCAGCCATCCCATTACTGGGTATATACCCAAATGACTATAAATCATGCTGCTATAAAGACACATGCACACATATGTTTATTGCGGCATTATTCACAATAGCAAAGACTTGGAACCAACCCAAATGTCCAACAATGATAGACTGGATTAAGAAAATGCGGCACATATACACCATGGAATACTATGCAGCCATAAAAAATGATGAGTTCATGTCCTTTGTAGGGACATGGATGAAATTGGAAACCATCATTCTCAGTAAACTATCGCAAGAACAAAAAACCAAACACCGCATATTCTCACTCATAGGTGGGAATTGAACAATGAGATCACATGGACACATGAAGGGGAATATCACACTCTGGGGACTGTGGTGGGGTGGGGGGAGGGGGGAGGGATAGCATTGGGAGATATACCTAAGGCTAGATGACGAGTTAGTGGGTGCAGCGCACCAGCATGGCACATGTATACATATGTAACTAACCTGCACAATGTGCACATGTACCCTAAAACTTAAGTATAATTAAAAAAAAAAAAAGAAAATTTTTCTTGTATTTTAAAATGTCTTACATATTTTAAGTATAGCAAAATAAAGTCTAAGAAATTTTTTACACAGTCTAAGAAACACCAAATGTCTCTAACGCTGATTATCTAACTTCTTTGTATTAGGTTAAGTTGATTTCCCAGTGACTTATCAAAAAATGTTACACAAAATTAACAAATCATATCACTGTCTTTGAAGGAAATTGTCACCTTACAAAAAAAGCAATGAAGCCGGGTGCGGTGGCTCACGCCTGTATTCCATGCACTTTGGGAGGCTGAGGCAGGCGAATCACAAGGTCAGGAGTTCGAGACCAGCCTGGCCAACGTGGTGAAACCTCGTCTCTACTAAAAATACAAAAATTAGCAGGGTGCAGTGGCGGGCACCTGTAATCCCACCTACTGAGGAGGCTGAGGCAGGAGAATTGCTTGAACTTGGGAGGCAGGGTTGCAGTGAGCCAAGATCGCACCACTGCACTCCAGCCTGGGTGACAGAGTGAAACTCTGCCTTGAAAAAGGAAAAAAAAAAAAAAAGCAATAAACAAAATAATCAATGCAATAGATAGGTACATGCATACAGATATAAATAATAGATTGATATAGTACCTCAAAAGACTATAAAGCAGCAGACAATAAACTCACAAAAAGCATATTGGATAAAGATAAGGAAAAAAACAGAAACCAAATATAGACAAAAAAGTGAAAATTAAATCAGAAGTCATAGAGTGCTTAAATAAATGAATAAATTAATAAGATTATTACTGAATGTCTATTATGTAATGTTTTGAAGTTCCTGGCTACCAAAACAAGAAGAAAGAAGGAGAAAGAAGTAGAATTAGATAGAATCAGTGCTTCTGAAACTTTTCCCATAGACTTCAAAGAGAATGACTCCTGGGGTGCATAGACTGAAACAATCCGCCAGAAGTGAGAAATCATTTTGCAATTTAGCATAAGAATTCATTAAAATACTGCAGTCTATCTTCAACATATTGGAATTAATTTTAAAATAATAATTTTTATTGTCCCTAATCTAGAGTGTATTAGTCTGTTTTCATGCTGCTGATAAAGACAAACCTGAGACTGGGAAGAAAAAGAGATTTAATTGGACTTACAGTTCCGCATGGCTGGGGAGGCCTCATAATCATGGCAGGAAGTGAAAAGCACCTCTTACATGGCAGCAGCAGGAAAAAATGAGAAAGATGCAAAAGCAGAAACCCCTGATAAAACTATCAGATTTCATGAGACTTATTCACTACCATGAGAACAGTATGGGGGAAACCACTCCCATGATCCAGCCATCTCCCACTGGGTCCCTCCCACAACAGGTGAGAATTATGAGAATACAATTCAAGATGAGATTTGGGTATGGACTCAGAGCCAAACAATATCATTCCACCCCTTGTCCCTCCAAATCTCATGTCCTCACATTTCAAAACCAATCATGCCTTCCCAACAGTCCCCAAAGTCTTAACTCATTTCAGCATTTACCCCAAAGTCCACAGTCCAAAGTCTCATCTGAGACAAGGCAAGTCCTTTCCACCTATGAGCCTGTAAAATCAAAAGTAAGCTAGTTACTACCTAGATGCAATGGGGGGGGGGGGGTACAGGTATGGGTAAATACACCCATTCTAAATGGGAGAAATTGGCCCAAACAAAGGGGCTAAAGGCCCCATGCCAGTCTGAACCCCAGCAGGGCAGTGAAATTGTAAAGCTCCAAAATAATCTCCTTTGACTCCATGTCTCACATCCAGGTCACGCTGATGCAAGAGGTGGGTTCCCATGGTCTTGGGCAGCTATGCCACTATGGTTTGCAGGGTAGAGCCTCCCTCCAGGCTGCTTTCATGGGCTGGCATTGAATGTCTGCAGCTTTTCCAGCTTCACGGTGCAAACTACAAGTGGATCTACCATTCTGAGGTCCAGAGGACAGGGGCCTTCTTCTCACAGCTCCGCTAGGTAGTGCCCCAGTAGGGACTCTGTGGGGCTCTGACCCCACGTTTCCCTTCTGCACTGCCCTAGCAGAGGTTCTCCATGAGAGTCCTGCCCCTGCAGCAAACTTCTGCCTGGACATCCATACATTTCCATACATCTTCTGAAATCTAGGTGCAGGTTCCCAAACCTCAATTCATGACTTCTGTGCACCTGTAGGCTCAACACCACATGGAAACTGCCAAGGCTTGGGGCTTGCACCCTCTGAAGCCACAGCCCAAGCTCTATGTTGGCTCTTTTCAGCCATCACTGGAATAGCTGGGACACAGGGCACCAAGTCCCTAGATAGCGCACAGAATGGGGACTTTGGGCCCTGCCCACAAAACCATTTTTTCCTCGTAGACCTCTGGGCCTGTGATGGGAGAGGCTGCCACACAGGTCTCTGACAAGCCCTGGAGACATTTTCCCCGTTGTCTTGGTGATTAACATTCAGCTCCTTGTTAATAATGCAAATATCTGCAGCTGGCTTGAATTTCTCCACAGAAAATGGGATTTTCTTTTCTATTGCAAAGTCAGGCTGCAAATTTTCCAAACTTTTATGCTGTTTCCTTTTTAAAACTGAATGCCTTTAACAACACCCAAGTCACCTCTAATGCTTCGCTGCTTAGAAGTTTATTCCTTTATTCCACCAGATACACTAAATTATCTCCCTGAAGTTCATAGTTCCACAGATCTCTAGGGCAGGGGCAAAATGCCACTAGTCTCTTTGGTAAAACATAGTAAGAGTCACCTTTACTCCAGTTCCCAACAAGTTCCTCATCTCCATCTGAGACCACCTCAGCCTGAATTTCATTGTCCCTATCATTATCAGTATTTTTGTCAAAGCCATTCAACAACTCTCTAGAAGGTTCCAAATTTTCCCACATTTTCCTGTCTTCTTCTGAGCCTTCCAAACTGTTCCAACCTCTGCCTGTTACCCAGTTCCAAAGTCACTTCCACATTTTGGGGTATCTTTTCAGCAGCATCCCTCTCCTGGTACCAATTTACTGTATTAGTCTGTTTTCACACTACTGATAAACACATACCTGAGACTGGGAAGAAAAAGAGGTTTAACTGGACTTAGAGTTCCACATGGCTGGGGAGGCCTCAGAATCACGGCAAAAGGTGAAAGTCACTGCTTACACCGTGGTGGCAAGAGAAAATAAGGAAGATGCAAAAGCAGAAACCCCTGGTAAAACCATCAGATCTCATGAGACTTATTCACTACCACAAGAACAGTATGGGGGAAACCACCCCTATGATTCAAATTATCTCCCACTGGGTCCCTCCCACAACACGTGGTAATTATGGGAGTACAATTCAAGATGAGATTTGGGTGGGGACACAGAACCAAACCATTCCATGGAGTAAAATTTGTTCTCCAAAATAAAGTACCATGTTAATTCTGTAGCTTAACACCATGTTCCCAAAATATGATACATTTCTTCTTACCCCTGGGAAGTAAATATAATTTTAGAAGTCTAAGTTTACAAATTTCTCATCTTATTAATTTTTAAAAATCAGGCTGTGTTTAATGGCTCACGCCTGTAATCCCAACACTTTGGGGGGCTGAGACAGGCAGATCACCTGAGGTCAGGAGTTTGATACCAGTCTGGCCAACATGGTGAAACCCCATCTCCACTGAAAATATTTTTAAAAATTAGCCGGATGTGGTTGTGCACACCTGTAATCCCAGCTACTCAGGAGGCTGAGGCAGGAGAATTGCTTGAACCCAGGAAGCAGAAGTTGCAGCAAGCCAAGATCTTGCCACTGCACTCCAGCCTGGGGGACAGTGTGAGACTGTCTCAAAAAAAGAAAATTTTTAAAAATCATATAACAGACTTTTTAAAGTAGAATCTTTAAATTTAAATATAATATATGGGCAGGGATATCCCCCCAGGAGATAGTGTAAAAAGGGAAATAGGTTTTAGTCTTTATAAACTATAAAGACTGTCTTGAATTAGCTCGGTCTCTGACTGCATAAGGTGATCTACTCCTAATCTGTCCTTTAATTGAGATTAAAGCTAAGATAAATCCTTTCTGGAGGAAATAGTATCATTCACAGCCTATAATTTTTCATCTGCAATATCTAACATTCTCTTAAAAATTAATAAAATTGGCCAGGCACAGTGGCTCACGCCTATAATCCCAGCACTTTGGGAGGCTGAGGTGGGTGGATCACTTATCAGGAGTTCGAGACCAGCCTGGCCAACATGGTGAAACCCTGTCTCTACCAAAAATATAAAAAATTACCACATGTGGTGGTGCACACCTGTAATCCCAGCAACTCAGGAGGCTGAGGCAGGAGAATTGCGTGAACCCAGGAGGTGGAGGTTGCAGTGAGCCAAGATCATACCACTGCACTCTAGCCTGGGTGACAGAGTGAGACTCCATCTCAAAAAAAAAAAAAAAAATTAATAAAATCAAGAAATGAGACCAAGAAGAGAAAGACAATAGAAACAGACCCATTGGCTGGGCACAGTGGCTCACACCTGTAACCCCAGCAGTTTGGGAGGCCGAGGCAGGCAGATCACCTGAGGTCAGGAGTTCAAGACCAACCTCACCAACATGGATAGAAACCCCGTCTCTATTAAAAATACAAAATTAGCCAGGCGTGGTGGCACGTGGCTGTAATCCCAGCTACTTGGGAGGCTGAGACAGGAGAATCGCTTGAACCCGGGAGGCAGAGGTTGTGGTGAGCTGCAATCGTGCCATTGCACTCCAGCCTGGGCAACAAGAGCAAAACTCCGTCTCAAAACAAAAAAAAAAAAAAGAAAAAGAAACAGACTCACTGCTTATACAACAGAGGTATAATAACTGCCTTGGCCAAGAAGAGAAAACTTCAATCTATGTATTCACAGAAGGGGAAACTTAAGAGCAAAGTTGATTTTCCAAACTAAGAAGTCTGGAATTTGAGGGCACCAAGAATCATGGAAAACAGAGGTCAATGTAGGGTTGAAAATAGGGTCCTTGGTTGTAAATTTTTAAGTGGAGCAAATACATCCCTAAGTCCACTATCCCAAAAGGTAACTATTTCATCTCCTAGGAGATCAGTTTTATTATGTAGATAACTTGAATCAGAATGGCTCCAGTTTAGGTTGGAGGGCAAAGTGAAGTATGAACCTGAAAACATGAAGATTAGTGAACATCTGCTTATTGAATGGTAGGAGCCTCAGATTCTTATTCAATCTGCTCTGAAAACCTCAGGAACCAAGCATATGCCCCTCCAGTCAAGAGACTGGAATATTCTTCTAAGAAAGATTTTTCTCCATGTGATGATATTTGGGTTCCCTCCAAAATATCCTGCTCCCAACTATATCATCTTAAAATGGACCCCATAGTCAGCAAGTTCTATCCGTAAATGCCTTTCAGTGCCTCACACTTACACATTAGTAAAGAGACAAGAATCAATAGACAGTTGAAGAAAGTAACAAACATAAAAGAGAGGGGAAAGCAAGTAGGAAAAACATGAAGTAAAGGAGGGGCTTGGAAAGAAAGATTATACTGGAAATAGAAGAAAACTTAAAGCTACATATGTAATTAATAACTTACAGATATAAAGGATAATGCTTTCATAGAATAAAAACAAGATATAATGAAAATGAAACAACCAGAAAACAAGATAAAACACTTGGAAGCTAAAAATATAATAGCTAAAATAAACTTTAAATGAGGAATTGGAAGAAGAAGTTGAAAAAAGTCTCCCAGAAAGTAGAAGAAATACAAAAAGAGAATAACAATGATAAGACTTCTACAGTCAATTCATTAGGTCTACCAATTAGAAGTTCCAAAATGAGAAGGGAGAGAAACCCCTGGGACACAAGTTTACCTATATAACAAACCTGCACATGTACCCCTGCACCTGAAATACAGGTTTAAAAAATAATTGCCATGTTGTCCTCCAAAGGTTGTACTAATGTATACTCCCATTAACAGTGACAGAGAGGAGGCAGTTATTTTGCATATGATTTTTGCTAATAACATTGAATAAACTTAGCAAAGGCTTTTTGGCAAATGATAATGTTATGGAGATCTGACATTGCTGCAGGTGGAGAACCTACAGGAATGCATTCCTTAGATAGTCCTTAGTCAGTGAGTAGGGTGGAATAGTAGAAATAATTAGATGGACCTGAATTCAAATTGACAATGAAACCTGAGTTCAAATTGACTCGTTAGCTGTATGAATTTAGAAAAGATATTAAAATTCTTCCAGCACCAGTTGCTCCATTTATAAAATGGAGCTGTTAACACCCACCCTGATCATGGTGTAGCTTGCCTGAAAGAGACAGAGAGAGTCAGTTAGCAAACATGCTAGTAGTCTACTAAGCTCTGACTACCTGACCACTGCTCTTATTTATAATTGATCAACTGAGTGTCATAAGTAACTTGATTCAGTTAATGGTTTATGTTGGGTTCTCCTTCACCCTCAGAAGCAGACACTGAGACAAGAATGTGAATGTTAGTTTTTAAGAGGTGGTCCAGGAAGCATCAGTAGGAGAGTAGGGAAGTAAGATGGAGAAGAGAAGAAAGTCAATTGAAGGCAAGTTATCCAGCAGGTTACTGGAACTCGGTCCTACTGGGTAATTCTGGGGAAACCGTGTAGAACATGTCTCAGAATTATCCCAACTAAGGGTGAAGAAACAGAGGCATGTGTCTACCACTCCCAGTTGTCATTGATTAAGAACAACCCCCAAGGGGACATTAAAACCTGAGTACTTCCAAGGTACCCCTCAAGTCCTCAAAGTGAGCTCTGGCAGCCAGAAAGTGCTCCTGGGCAAAGAGGCAGCATCAATTATCTTCTATAATTGTAACTGGTTGATTGCATTATTTTGAGCTCTTCAAACTTAATTTTAGTGAAATTAAATCATAAAACCGGAATATGATAAGAGCTTCCTGGAAGAAGGAAACCATATAAAGAAAGCCTCTATATTGAGAAAGTTAGAAATTGCACACTTTAATTTTTTTAGACTAGCTTCAGTTACAGAAATGTAAGTTACAATTTTACTTGCTATTTGGAGAATTTAAATACCGTGCTGAAATTGCCCTCTCAGAAAGATAAGGAAAAGTTGTTTAGGAGCTATTTAAATTCCTATGACCACAGAAGTACTAAGAACAAACAGTATTTTTGGAGATTAGCCAGGTGGGGCAAAGGTCTTTAGAATTAAACTATACATGCTGTGATCCTTGTTGTTACGGTTTAAAAAATCTAATAAACGTTTGTCATTTTTTTGGCTGCCCAGCATCTGAACTCCTTCCTATGTTTGGGGAATTCTTGACCTTGTGTCTTGGTAGGAAGAAGAAACAGTCTCCCAGTATAAGAGTTGAGAGTTCCAGATAATCAATTTTCTAGTTTTCTTCACAGCCAAACATGGGCTCCTGACTTAGCCTCAGCCAATCAGAAGCCCCTTCCTCTAGAATTTGAATGGGTGATAGGGATATCGAGAAGAAGCAGGGAAACCTCAGCCAATCAGAAGCCCCCTCCCCAAGAATTTGAATGGGAGGTTAGGGATGTCAAGAGACAGGGATGATGGAGAACCATCTCTGAACACAATGGCAGTTGCAGCCAGAGAGCTTCTGGGCGCAGCCACGACACTGTGGATGATATGCTAGTTCTGTTCAGTGATGTCTGAGTGACATAAACTAGAGGCAACTAGGGGTTGGTAACAGGGACAATGATGTCTTCTCTTGAATAGATCTTTGGTGTGGTTCAGGGCTTTGTCTGACTGCATGTTCTCTAGCCTTCTCAGAGATTCCGTAAGCCATCTAATACCATTCAGCAAGTTCCCTTTGCACCTAAGTGAGGCAAAGCTGATTTCAGTTAGTTACAAACAGGAAAGTTTACTGCTTCAAAATTCAGCACCCAGGAAGAAGGGTGTTGTCAGTAGCAAATGCCAAAATGTAGAACTGGCAGTCCCAAACCCCTGAACGCATATGAACATATTGCTATACAGCACCAAGAAAAACATCTTTCTAATGTCCATCTCAGAGAGTGCCATAGAAAACCATAAACAGGAAAATTATCCCAAAAGGCAGAAGCAGGGCCAGGGCCCATGGAGGATATGATAAAGAGTATTCCCTGAAGAGAGTGGAAATAGGGCCAGCCTGAGGGGATGACTAAAGAACGTCCGCTCCCAGGCAGGAATCTCACCACTCGTGTGATGTTGGATAAGACATGTGTTTTACTTATTTACTTACAAAACATGTGTTTTATTTACTTACTTACTTGCTTGCTTATTTATAATTTCAACTTCTATTGAGATTCAGGGCTGGGCACAGTGGCTCACACCTGTAATCCCAGCACGTTGGGAGGCCAAGGAGGGCAGATCACCTGAGCTCAGGAGTTTGAAGCTAGCTTGGCCAACATGGCAAAACTCTGTCTCTACAAAAAATACAATAATTAGCCAGACTGCACTCCAGCCTGGGCAATAGAACAAGACTCTGTCTCAATAAATAAGTAAATAATAAATAAATAAAAGATTCAGGGAGTACATTACATGTGCAGGTTTGTTACAAGGGTATATTGTGTGATGAAGAGGTTTTGGGAATTAATGATCCTGTCAACCAGGTAGTGAGCATAATTCCCAATAAGTAGTTTTTCAACCCTTACCCCCTTCCCTGCCTCCCACTCTAGTAGTCCCCAGTGGCTACTGTTGCCATCTTTATGTCCATGAGTAGCTATTGTTTAACTCCCACTTAGAAGTAGAACATGCGGTATTTGCTTTTCTGTTTCTGTGTTAATTAGTATAGTGGCCTCCAGCTGCATCTATGTTGCTGCAAAGGACATGATTTTGTTTCTTTTTTGTGGCTGCATACTATTCCATGGTGTATATGACCCACATTTTCTTGGATAAGATACGTGTTAATATGCGTTATAGACAAGTGGGAGTTGTTTTCTGCTCCTCCCCTTTCCAGATCAGACTTTATATTGTTATATAGTCTATTGCAGGACTGCTGTGCTGCTGGAAGAGCAAATTCAGTCATGGATCAGAGGAGACAACTGAACGTTACACTGCAATCCTGGGCTTGGAGGTAGTGACCCCATGAGACTTAGGGTTGCCATTCCTTAGAGTATTTGAATAATTTCCACAAAGACATGAACATCTTTTAAGTGTTTTCAGAAAACGTGGGCAAAGAGGTGCACTAGAGCAAAAGTTGTTGGTTTCCTACTCAATATCCACTACTCCCTTTCTCCTTCCAAGAAAAACTCATTTTATTCAGGTGTTTGTCCTCTCCTACAGTGACCTCTCTCCTCCAGAGAGAAATCCTATTTGGTTTGAATCAGTCACAGCTGTCCCCTTCTTGCCAGTGATTGACTCAGTGCTGAGCATGAGACCCAGGTCTGGCCACCAAGACATGAGGAGATGTGTTCTGGGGGGCTCTAGGTGGTTTCCTTATGGCCACAAAGGAGACCCTGGAAGAAATGACCCTTTCTGCCCCTGAACATTGCTGTGTTGAGATGTATCTGGAACTGTAGTGTGAAGATAAGGCCAGTGGCAAGAAGAAGAGACCAAGGACTCAACTAAAACTGAAGGCAGAGCAAGAATGTATCACGGTTGTAGCCCACTCTTCCTTTGGACGTCTTGGTCAGCGGCATAATAAATTTTATTGTTTAAACCAGTTCATGTCAGAATTTTTTTGTTACGTCATGCTCACAGTATCCTAACCAATCTTCTTGCTTTTACTGAGTTAATGAGAAGAAACAAAGTATTCCAAGAAATAGCATTCTGACTGCAAAGCTTGTAAATGTGATCTTTCACCACATGACTTGCTAGAATTTAACTGCTTGTGTAAAACATGCTGGTTATATAAAAACTTATTGTTCGCTTACATCATAAGGTGTTTATTGGCCAGGCATGGTGGCTCATGCCTGTAATCCCAATGCTTTTGGAGGCCAAGGTGGGAGGATCACTTGAGGCCAGAAGTTCAAGACCGATAGGGGCAACGTATAGAGACCTAGTCTCTACAAAACAAAATTAAAATTTAGCCAGATATGGCGGTGTACAACTGTAATTCCAGCTACTTGAGAAGCTGAGGTGAAAAGATTGCTTGAGCCCAGGAATTCGAGGCTGCAGTGAGCTGTGATCTTGCCACTGCACCCCAGCCTGGGTAACAGAGCGAGACCCTGTCTCTTAAACACACACACACACACACACACACACACACACACACACGACAAACAAAAAATGTTTATTATAAGAAATTTGGTTTGCTTACTTGAGCTGCATGTGGACTCATCAGGCTTTCATTGATTAATTCATCACTACAGATCCCAGATGGGTTTACTTGTCAAAGAGAATCTTCACTAGTTCCTACAGCTGTAGAGAATAAAGCTACCTCTGACAGCTAATCCAAACATTTTGCAACGCTTTGTTCTTGCACAAATTGCAAATATCTCTTATTTGAACCACATCTACTTCTCTGGCACCAATTATTGGCTCAAGATCACCATGAATATGTTACATAACATATTCATGTGGTACTCTATTTTTGGGTTTTTAATCATGTGGTCCACGGCTGAGAAACCTGGATGCTACAGATTCATCTTCCACTTTCAGCTCTTTATTCATGACTGGAGTAAGTTGGGACTGCCCCTGACAGAAAATTTATTTTTGTATTTTTGAGACAGAGTCTTGCTCTGTCACCCAGGCTAGAGTGCAGTGGCATGAGCCCCAATCACTGCAACCTCCACCTCCTGGGTTCGAGTGATTCTCGTGCCTCAGCCTCTCAAGTAGCTAGGATTATAGGCAAGCATCAACACACCCAGCTAATTTTTGTATTTTTAGTAGAGACGGAGTTTTGCCGTGTTGGCCAGGCTGGTCTTGGCCTCCCAAAGTGCTAAGATTACAACTGTGAGCCCCTGTGCCTGGCCAGAAAATTATTGAAGTACTCTATTTCACACAACCACAGCAAAGCACACCCAATCCCTACCTGCAGTCCTCTTTCTCTCTTGAATCTATCCATGCCCTTAAAATCCATCCAGGCCTAAATTAGAGAGGCAGCCATCCACCAAACTCAAAACACTTTTTCTTCATATTGCAAGGGCAAATCTAAGGTATCTTGAGCTTAGATTTGTGGTCAAGAAACGTTAAGAAATACAGTTCTTAATAATGTCTTAATAGGGGATCTCAGTGCCCACTGAAACCTGGAGTTGTAACAGACTCCTGGATCCATATTTTCACACCTTAAGAGGGTCCCCCAACCCACATGTACATCAACTGGACACCTGACTGTGTCTTAACAAATCCTCAAAGTGACCAGGTGTCTGAACAAGCACTAACACTGCCCACTTGTTCAATTGGTCCAAATTCCTATAATTTATTCTGGACATCTAGAAGGAATTTGGGACACCTGAAACAATAGAGACCAGCTGTTTAATTTAACATCACTCTTCCAGCAAGTCCATGTCTTCGCCAGGCTGAAGCTTTCCCGGTCTCATTGTTCAAGAGTTTCTAAAGAGCTCAATCTCTGGCTTGGCATGGTGGCTCACACCTGTAATCTCAGCACACACCTGTAATCTCAGCACTTTGGGAGGCCGAGGCGGGTGGATCACTTGAGGTCAGGAGTTCGAGACCAGCCTGGCCAACATGGCAAAAGCCCATCTCTAGTAAAATACGAAAATTAGCCAGGTGTGGTGGCGGGTGCCTGTAGTCCCAGCTACTCAGGAGGCTGAGTCAGGAGAATTGCTTGAACCTAGGAGGTGGAGGTTGCAGTGAGCCAAGATCACGCCACTGCACTCCAGCCTGGGTGACAGAGTGAGACTCTTTCTCAAAAAAAAAAAATTAAAAAATTAAAAAAAAAAAAAGAGCTCAATCTCATCTCCATCTCCTTCCCACAGGTCTGTAGGTGGGGCTGAAAATTCACACCCTTTAATCACCGGCTCTTTCTGGGACACACCCCATCCTTAGGCTATCTAGAGGCCCCACCCTAAGTCATCTCATTAGCATAAATTTCATGTGGTAAAAGGGGACTTGTTAAAAATAGTAAAAGATACTCCCTTGCTAGGGCATGGTGGCTCATGCCTGTAATCTCAGCACTTTGGGAGGCTGAAACCAGAGGATTGCTTGAGACCAGGGGTTCAAAGCCAGTCTAGGCAACATAGGAAGACCTGTGTCTACTAAAAAAATAAACAACGAGCTGGGCGTGGTAGCACATGCCGGTAGTCTCAAGTATTCAAGAGGCTGAGGTGGGAGGATTGCTTGAACCTGGGAGACAAAGGCAGGCTGCAGTGAGCCGTGATCAGGCCATGGCACTCCAGCCTGGGTGACAGAGCAAGACCTTCCTAAAAATCAAATAAAATAAAAAAGATACTCCTATCACTCAGGGAAATTTGAAGGGTTTTAGGAGCTGCATGCCAAGAAAGAAGAACAAAGACCAATTTTTAAAAATATAAGGCCGGGCGCAGTGGTTCATGCTTGTAATCCCAGTACCTTGGTAGACTGAGGTGGGAGGATAACTTGAGGTCAGGAGTTGAAGACCAGCCTAGCCAACATGGCGAAACCCTGTAGCTACTAAAAAGACAAAAATTAGCTGGCCATGGTGGTGTGTGCCTGTAATCCCAGCTACTCAAGAGGCTGAGGCAGGAGAATTGTTTGAACCTGGGAGGCAGAGATTTGGGTGAGCTCAGATGGTGCCACTGCACTCCAGCCTGGTGACAAAGTGAGACCCTGTCTCTAAATAAATAAATACACCAATAAAAAATAAATAAAAATATAATACCACAACCTATGATACATAAAGAGAGTGCATTAGTAATTTATTTTTTTTTAAAGGCCGGGCGCAGTGGCTCACGCCTGTAATCCCAGCACTTTTGGAGGCCAAGGCAGGCAGATCACGCGGTCAGGAGATTGAGACCATCCTGACTAACACAGTGAAACCCAGTCTCTACCAAAAATACAAAAAAATTAGCCGACTGTGGTGGTATGTGCCTGTAGTCCCAGCTACTCAGGAGGCTGAGGCAGGAGAATCGCTTGAACCCGGGAGGTAGAGATTGAAGTGAGCCCAGATCATGCCACTGTACTCCAGCCTGAACGATGGAGCAAGACTCCATCTCAAAAACAAAACAAAACAAAACAAAAAAAAACAGCAATAAAAGCCCAGAACTAAATGGCTTCACCACTGAATTCTACCAAATATTTAAAAGATTTTTTTTTTGAAAGGGAGTCTTAACACTACATACTATATGAATTCACTTATGTGATAGTGAAGAAGGTGGGTATAGATTGGAAAACAACGTGAGGGAACATTAGAAGGTGCTAGGAATATTCTGTATTTTGGTCTGGATGTTGGTTATATGGGTGTATACATCAATCACAATATACAGTAAATATTAGTGCACTTTATATTTATTATACCCCTTGAAAAAAATTAGAAGCTAAGTCTAAACCAGGCTGTTATCCATCTGATGCTAGCCAGCAGGAGCCTTAGAATGATTTCAACTTAGATATACTCTACCTTTAAAAACCTAGAATTAGGGGATTTGAATCTTGGAAATCATAGGAAATTGTTTACATGAAAGTAGCAGGCCGGGCACGGTGGCTCATGCCTATAATCCCAGCACTTTGGGAGGTCGAGGCAGGCAGATGGCTTCAGCTCAGCAGTTCGAGACCAGCCTGGGCAACATAGTGAAACCCCATCTCTATAAAAAATACAAAAGTTAGCCAGATCTGGTGGTGGGCATCTGTAATCCAGCTACTCGAGAGGCTGAGTCTAGAGGATCATTTGAACCTGGGAAGTAGAGGCTGCAGTGAGTCAAGATTGTGCCACTGCATTCCATCCTGGGCAACAGAGCAAGACACTGTCTCAAAAAGAAAAGAAAAAAAAAAGCCAGGCGTGTCTCATGCCTGTAATCCCAACACTTTGGGAGGCCGAGGTGGGTGGATCACTTGAGGTCGGGAGTTCAAGACCAGCCTAGCCACCATGGCGAAACGTCATCTCTACTGAAAATACAAAAATTAGCCAGGCATGGTGGCATGCATCTATAATTCTAGCTGCTTGGGAGGCTGAGGTACAAGAACTGCTTGAAGCTGGAAGGTGGAGATTGAAGTGAGCCAAGATCACGCCACTGCACTACAGCCTGGGTGATGGAGTGAGACTCTGTCTCAAAAAGAAAAAAAAAGAAGCAGTCAAAATTAAAATTAAAAAAAGACAAATGCAAGACTCCAGTCAAAATTAAAATGTAAAAAAACATGAAAGTAGCATATGCCTCAAGGCATTCTTAGTGGATTTTTATTATTTAATTCAATTTAATTTAATTTTTTTTTGAGATGGAGTCTCGCTCTGTCACCCAGGCTGGAGTGCAATGGCGCAATCTCGGCTCAGTGCAAGCTCCGCCTCCTGGGTTCATGCCATTCTCCTGCCTCAGCCTCCCGAGTAGCTGGGAGTACAGGTGCCCGCCACCACGCCCGGCTAATTTTTTGTATTTTTAGTAGAGACGGGGTTTCACCGTGTTAGCCAGGATGGTCTCGATCTCCTGACCTCGTGATCCACCCACCTCTGCCTCCCAAAGTGCTGGGATTACAGGCGTGAGCCACTGCGCCCAGCCAAATGAAAATAAAAGGAACACATACTTTATAGGATTGCTGTGAATAGAAAATGGAAAGTACTTAGCAAAATGCCTGCCATATAAAAGTGCCAAGTAAATGTTAGCCATTGTTACTGCTAAGAAAGTGGCTCAGAGAGGAACTTACCTGTCACCCTTCTCCCTGGTGTGCTAACTTCACCCCCTGCACAGCTCTTTGATGTTGGCTTTGGCAGAAGAGGGTGAGAGGACCCAGAAGAGACAGGGAAGTGGCAAGAGGGCCCAGAGAGAAGACTAGAAGACCTTAGCAATAAGGAAGGAGAAAATGGGGCGAGGCGGGTGGTGGGAAGCAGATGAGCATATAACTAATGACATTCACTGAATTCATTGAAAGGATCTTTTCTTTTTTTAATTTCTTTTTTATTTAAAAAGCTTTTTCACTTCATACTGGATACCCCTGATGTGGCATAATCTACCTTGCACAGGAAAAGCAGGAGAAGAATAGGAAGGAAGAATAGAGGGTGGGAGAGAGGAAGGACACGTATTGAAGCTGTCTTTCAGTTTATTATAATTAATGCCATCCTCCACTTAATGCATTTGGCTTTTTCCTTAATTTAGTAAGGAAGATGACTTTGAGTAGGGCTGCTCCATAGAGTATTTTTTATACAGAACAGATGGCTGAGATGAGGAAAAAAAAATATCCTTGGCACTTATGCCTATGAATAGGAAGAACTGAAGGGAGAAAAAAGGATAAATCAACCAGAAGGCCCACCTGCTTCAGGACCAGAGCTCAGAGGAGCATCCAGTGATTTAAAAGAAGTGCTATCACTGATCATCAGGGAAATGCAAATCAAAACCACAATGAGGTAGCACCTCACACCTGTTAAGATGGTTTTTATCAGACTAAATGTTGGTAAGACTGTGGAGAAATTAGAACTCTTGTACATCGTTGGTGGGAATGTAAAATGGCATGGCCACTATGGAAAACAACATGGAGGTTCCTCAAAAATTTAAAAATAGTACTACCATGAGATCCAACAATCCCACTCCAAAAGACTTTAATCCAAAAGAATTGTAATCAGAATATTGAAATGATATCGGCATTCCCACATTTGTTGCAGCATCATTCACAATAGCCAAGATATGGAAACAACCCAAATGTCCATCAACAGATGAATAGATAAAGAAAATGTGGTGTGGTGTGGTGTGTGTCTGTGTGTGCGTGTGTGTACATGTGTGTGTATAGTACTATTCACTGTGAAAAAGAAGCTAATTCTCCAATTTGTGACAACATGGAGGAACCTGGAAGACATTATGCTAAATGAAATAAGCTAGTCACAGAAGGACAAATATTGCATGATTTCACTTATATGAGATATCTAAAATAGTCATACTCAGAAGGAGACACTAGAACAGAGATTGCTAGGGGCAGGGGGAAGGAGGAGAGGGAGAGCTGTTGCTCAAGGTATATAAAGTTTCAGTGATGCTAAGACGAAAATGTTCTAGAGATCTGCTGTACAACATAGGGCCTGATATGGTTTGCCTGTGTCCCCACCCAAATCTCACCTTGAATTGTAATAATCTTCACGTGTCAAGGGCGGGGCCAGGTGGAGGTAATTGAATCATGGGGATGGTTTCCCCCATACTGTTCTCATGGTAGTGAATCAGTCTCACGAGATCTGGTGGTTTTAAAAAAGGGAGTTCCCTTGCACACTCTCTTTTCTGCCGCCATGTAAGACATGACTTCCGCCATGATTGTGAAGCCTCCCCAGCCATGTGGAACTGTGAGTCAATTAAACCTCTTTCCTTTATAAACTACCCAGTCTCGAGTATGTCTTTATTAGCAGCATGAGACTAATATAGTGCCTGTAGTTCACAATATGGTATTGTATTCCTAAAAATCTGTTAAGAGGGTAGATCTCATGTTAAGAGTTCTTTCTAGGCCGGGCATGGTGGCTCATGCCTGTAATCTCAGCACTTTGGGAGGCCAAGGCAGGCGTATCACCTGAGGTCAGGAGTTCGAGACCAGCCTGACCAACATGGCAAAACCTCATCTTTACTAAAAATACAAAAATTAGCTGGCCATGATGGTGGGCGCCTGTAATCCCAACTACTCAGTAGGCTGAGGCAGGAGAATCACTTGAATCCAGGAGGCAGAGGTTGCAGTCAGTCAAGATCACGCATTGCACCCTAGCCTGGGCAACAGAGTGAGACTGTCTCAAAAAAAAAAAAAAAAAAAAAAAGATTTCTTATTACTGGGACACCCCTGACCTACCTACCTTCCCTGACCCACCCTCCACACACAAAGGGACACAGGGAAACTTTTGGAGGTGGTGGATATGTTTATTTCCTTGATAGTGGTGATGGTATCATGGGTGTACACATATATCAAACTTATGAAATTGGATACACTAAATGTGCAGTTTTTATTGTATATCAATTATACTTCAATAAAGCTCTTAAAAAATAAATAAAATCAGGTCTACAAAAATAATAAAATAAAGGAAGCACTGACAGGAAGCACATGGAAGCAGAAGTTTAATGCATAATACCTGGGCCAAGAAAACTAGTAATGGGAAGCTGCCCACGGGATGCACAGTGAGTAGGTCAAGTTTGCTTCTCAGACCTCCAGCTCAGTGGAGAAGAGTTTAACTGAGCCATTCAACCAGATGAAAGTGACAAAATGGAGGATGGAGTGCCATACACTAGAGATTGAGGGGCCATGAATAAAACTAGGAAGTCTTCCTTCCTTGTCCTTAGCAGGTGGGTGCACATGCCATGGCAGGGAAGAATGACCCTGTTTGTAATAGGACATCATTTTTCATAATAGAGGAAGAGGGTTTTAATCTCTGAGCACTGGTATGAGCATGTCTTTATAAGGAGGAACCTGCTTACAGAAATGGGCTTTGGTCAGCGCTTTTTGCACTGAAGGCAGAGCCCAGGCTTCTGCCTGAGAGAAAGCAACTCTGTATAATCTAGGGAAGAGAGTTAGAACTGACTGGGAGCTTTGGGGAAGAATTGTCAAGATGAACCCCTCAAGCTGGCATTGGTTATAGGAGGAACTATGGGGAGAACTAAATGTTGATGGAATTGTATTAAGTTGTTGGCTGAATGATTTGTGTGATACACCCTTTTTACCCTTTCTCCTTTCTTTTTTTTATTATTTTTTTTCAAGTTCCCATTGTCCAGGGGTCATTTCCCCTTTCAATCTTTGGTAAAACTTATGTTTCTTTTTAACTTCACTGTTGTTGCTATTTTAAATAGAGATGGGGTCTCACTATGTTGTCTGGGCTGGTCTCAAACTCTTGGTCTCAAGTGATCCTCCTGCCTTGGCCTCCCAAAGTGCTATGATTATGGGTGTGAGCCATCACACCCAGCCAAAATTTATGTTTCTTACTAATGCTTTATAAGGCATTTTCTTTGTGGGGGCATGGGTGTAAATCTCAGTCCTGCTTTGAGATGAGCATGGATTGAAATAGACTACACTTGGAGACGGCCAATATCAAGTCCACCTTCCCTCAGTCACTCTGGATTGATCATGTCTTTTCCTCAGAGTCCCTGGGGAAGGTAGGGCACACAAGAGAGGGACATGAAGGAAAAGAGGACACTGGACATTCTACAGCTCCCAGAGATCAGGCCCAGGGAGCTCTTGGCCTGGACTGAAGATGGCCCATGTAGTCTGGAAAGTTTTCCTGCCTTGTGGTAATACAAATGACATATGCAGTCACCTGCCAAGCATGAAGAAAGAAAGCATTTATTTCCAGGGTTCTTTGTGAAATGTGGAGAATAAGCCATAGCTTTCAAGCTAGACTGCTTATATCCTGGTCCCTTCCTCAGTTTACTATTTGCTGGTATCTAGCCTTTATAAAGTCTTTTTATTTTCCTTCTCTAACTGTTCTAGCCTGTCTCCACTGGGCTAGTTCAAGGGAAGAGACCATGTGCCAGATAGATACCAGGGCAACAGCACCTCCCTATGGCTTCGTGGCAGGATAGCAAGAAATATTAGCACCTGGATCTACCTAAGAAAAACGTCAACCACGAAGGGGATTTGTAGGAGGTGTAAGCTTTAGATTTTTATTATCATTAAGGAAAGTGGCATTTTCCTTAGGCTGTCATCTGTTGAATGCCACATGGTTACAGATCATGAGTGGAAGTGCAGAGAAAATACAGACTCAAGATACCCACTAAAGTTTTTTTCTTTTTTATTGTAAATTGACTATTTATAATTGTATAGATTTATGGGTTCTGTAAAGAGAGAGTTGTGTGGGGAAAAAATTTATGGGGTACAAAATGATGTTATGATTTGTGAACGCCATATGAAATAATTCAGTCAAGCTAGTTAACATACCCATCACCTCAAATACTTAACTTTCTTTGAGGTAAGAACATTTGAAGTTTACTTAGCAATTTGAAATGTACAGCACTCTACTATTAACTATATTCACCATGCTGTGCAATAGAATGCACAAAAAGAGAAAACATATTCTCCCTGTTTGAAATTGTATACCCTTTGCTCATCACCTCCCCATCTCCCCCTCCTCCAGCTTCTGTCACCACAATTCTACTCTCCACTTCTATAAGTTCATTGTTTTAACTCCACATATAAATGAGAACATGTGGTATTTGTCTTTCTAGCCCTGACTTATTTCACTTAGCATAATGTTCTCCAATTTCATCAATGTTGTCACAAATTTCAGGATTTCCTTCCTTTTTTTTTTTGAGATGGAGTCTCACTCTGTCGCCCAGGCTGGAGTGCAGTAGTGCCATCTCAGCTCACTGAAACCTCTGCCTCCAAGGTTCAAGCCATTCTCCTGCCTCAGCCTCCCAAGTAGCTGAGATTACAGGCATGCATCATCACACCCAGCTAATTGTTGTATTTTTAGTAGAGATGGGGTTTCACCATGTTGGCCAGGCTGGTTTCAAACTCCTGACTTCAAGTGATCTGCCTGCCTTGATCTCCTAAAGTGTTGGAATTACAGGTGTGAGCCATTGCACCTGGCCAGAATGTCCTTCTTTTTAAAGGCTGAATAGTATTCCATCATGTATATGCAATACATTTTTTTAATCCATTCATCTGTTGATAGACAGAGATTGATTCCCTAACTTGGCTATTGTGCGTAGTGTTGCAATGAACATAGGAATGCAGATATCCCTTCCACAAACTGATTTCGAGTCTTTTGCATTAATACACTGAAGTGGGATTTCTAGATCATATAATTCTATTTTTAGTTTTTTTTCGGGGGGGGGTGGAATTTCCATACCATTTTCCATAATGGCTACACCAATTTACATTTCCACCAACAGTGTACAAGTGTTTCCTTTGCTCTACATCCTTACCAACACTTATCTTTTGTGTCTTCATTTGAAAACATTGTTTTGAAATAAAGTACAGGATGATTAAAAACATAATAATAAACATTTTAAGACGTTGTGACAGGTGAGAGATTATATCTTATTGTGGTTTTAATTTGCATTTCTCTAATGATTACAAGAAGAAAGAAAGAAAGAGAGAGAGAGAAAGA
Organism: Homo sapiens; assembly: GCF_000001405.40. Lineage (NCBI taxonomy): Eukaryota > Metazoa > Chordata > Mammalia > Primates > Hominidae > Homo > Homo sapiens. Next base: position 101,488,919 of record NC_000012.12, on the reverse strand, counting down.
AAGAAAAGAAAGAAAGAAAACATAGGGGAAACATATAAGACATTGGTGTGGGTAGTGATATTTTGGATTTGATCCCGAAAGCATGGACAACAAAATTAAATATAGACAAATGGTATCACATCAAACTAAAAAGCTTCTTAGTTCATGACGTGTAGCTAAAACAAACAAACTAAAAAGCTTCTGCACAGCAAAGGAAATAATCACCAGAGTAAAGAGACAGCCTATGGAATGGGAGAAAACATTTGCAAGCCAGACATCTGACAAGGGTTTAATATCCAATACATATAAGGAACTCAAACAACTCAATAGCAACAAAACAAACAAACAAAAAAGCAATTAAGACCTGCTTTCTGCTGACAAAGTCTTCTTCCTTACCCCTCCCTAATAAGAAGGAAGAAAAAAGGCAATTAAAAAAATGGGTAACTCCTCCTTAGTACAGTGGTAAAACTTAAACATTAAAAAAGTTTTGGGGCCAGCTCGGTGGCTCACACCTGTAATCCTAGCACTTCTGAAGGCCAAGGTGGGCAGATCACCTGAGCCCAGGAGTTAGAGACCAGCCTGGGCAACATGGCAAAACAGTCTCTACAAAAAAAAAAAAAAAAAATTAGCTGGGCTTCATCCATGTTTGTGTCACTGCACCTGAGCATAGGTGACAGAGTGAGACCCTGTCTCAAAAAAAAAAAAAAAAAAAAAGCTTTAAGTTGTAAAAATGGGTAAGATCAAAAGAGAAGGAAATAAAAAAATGTGTAAGGAAGCTGAACAGACATTTCTAGTGATGTTTTTAAAGCTATGAACCCATTTTGGCACAAAGGCTTTATCATATGCAGTCATTTACAAAATTTTTTTGTAAAGCCATCATATAAAAGTGTGAATTTTCTCACCTGAGTACATGACAAGAAAATGCTGAAATCAATATATAAATCAAATCATCTGTACTGGCACTGTTAATCTAGAAGAAGGTGGTTGCATAGAGAATAGCAAGAATTTAAACCAGCTTATTGAAGTGTGAAAAGAAAAAAAGAGAGAGCTTCAGAGGTAGGCTTTGCCTCTTAAAAAAATTAAAAATAGCCGGGCGCGGTGACTCACGCCTGTAATCCCAGCACTTTGGGAGGCCGAGGCGGGCGGATCATGAGGTCAGGAGATCGAGACCATCCTGGTTAACACAGTGAAACCCCGTCTCTACTAAAAATACAAAAAAATCAGCCGGGCGTGGTGGCGGGCACCTGTACTCCCAGCTACTCGGGAGGCTGAGGCAGGAGAATGGCATGAACCCAGGAGGCGGAGCTTGCACTGAGCCGAGATTGCGCCACAGCACTCCAGCCTGGGCGACAGAGCGAGACTCCGTCTCAAAAAAAAAAAAAAAAAAAAAAATTAAAAATATAAGTCACTGTCAGTGTTGTGCTTGGGAGTTAGCAGCCAAAAACAAACAAACAAACAAAAAAAGAAGTCATCGTCTGTGAAAAGAAAAGAAAAAAAGAAAAAAGAAAAAGACTTTGCATCCATTGAAGTATGCAGCAAAAGAAAACAATTTTTAAAATAAAATAAAATGGGTATAGTTGGGAGCTTAGCAATGGTCATACAGAATGGAGTAATGGACACTGGAGGCTCTGAAAGGTGGGAGGATGCCAGGGGGATGAGGGATGAAATCCTACCTATTGGGTACAGTGTTCACTATTCTGGTGATGAGGATGCATATTTCACCACTATGCAATATATCAAAGCAACAAAACTGCACTTGTACTCCTAAATCCATAAAAATAAAAAATTATCTTGGCTGAGACATCTTTAAAAAATAATAAAATAAAAAAATAAAAATTTTAATAGAGAGAGAACAGTAAGAGCAGAGCAAGGACCTTAGTCTATACTTTCAAATGGGCTTGATCATTTGAAACAATAAAGTTGTTCATTGAATCTTCACAAAGTATTATAAAAAAGTTGTTCATTGGCAGAATTTCCCAACAAGTTAGTATAGATTACATACTCTTTGATAAAAGCAACAATAAAGTTAATTTTTTTTCCTCTTTAGTATTTGCTTTAAGAGAAAAATCCTAAATTTCTTCAGAGGAGGAAAAAAAGAGAGGGAGGGAGAAATCATTAAAACTTGTAGAGATTTCCGATGCCAGTAAACCATGAAATATGAAAGTATATTTAGCAATCATGGTGATTTAGCTCATGGTAATTGGCATATGTATAATTATAATTTGCATTCCAGTTATTTAAACTGAGATATTCTTGATCAGGTTGAACACACTGTGAATAGAAGATCTCTTTCCCCAGGAAATAGGATGGAGAGAGTCTTTGGAGAATGGCCTCACTGAACTGGTAAGTCAGCTTCCTCCGGATTTTGGTAATTTCCCCACTTCTTCCGTAATTTCTGAGTGCCCTGGCCATTTTCTGGTAAGTCATGGTCTTCCTGTTGCCTTTTCTTTTCCCCCAAAGCTCGGCAAGTTTTTCTTTGTTTTTTGATACAAACTGAAAGATGCCTTTGGTTTTATCTACCCACTGAATACAAGATGCCATCTCCGGATTATACAGGGATTCGTGAAGGTATTCAAACAGTCGGAGCTTCTTCCTGCCTAAAATGAAGGGAAACAAGGTCAAACTCCACCGTGGCTGTAAACCGAGAACATCCTCAGAAAGGGTTTGTTGAGCAACTACTGAATTAAAAGCTGCATCGAGACTGGTTTTTCTCCCACTCACTGCCCTTACGAATGCATGATGGCATCATTTTATGGGATTCGAAGGTAGAGGATCTATTTGGCCTATTGAAGTTTCAACTGGATCTTTCTTTGTTGGAGAAGTTGTTAAGAATGTTGCCTGGCCGGGCGTGATGGCTCACGCCTGTAGTCCCAGCACTTTGGGAGGCCGAGGAGGGCGGATCACTTGAGGTCAGGAGTTCACCAGCCTGGCCAATATGGTGAAATCCCGTCTCTACTAAAAATACAAAAATTAGCCAGGCAGGGTGGCACGCGCCTGTAATCCCAGCTACTCGGGAGGCTGAGGCAGTCCCCTGAGGATTCTCCCTCGAACCCAGGAGAATCATTTGAGGTGGAGGCTGCAGTGAGCCGAGATCGCGCCACTGCACTCCAGCCTGGGCAACAGAGCGAGAATCTGTCTCAAAAAACAAAACAAAACAAACTTTCCACAGAACAACATTGAGCAAAATGGACCACAAGTTTAGCAGTTTCGAAGAGAAGCCTCAAAAAGCCATTTCCAGAAAACAAGTCATTTTAAGGGGCTTTATTCAAATGAGTTAAGGGATGTAAATGCACTTTGTAAAATGCAAAATAGAATGCAAATGTAAGGTAATATTAAGGAAATTAATACCGAAGACCTAGGTAAAAGTGCTAACTCTGGGTTTGCACAATTACTTGAAAAATAAAAAAGGAGAAAAACTCATATGGAAATGCCAAAAATGTTTTTATATCACTTTAACATTATTCATTTAACAATGCAATGGGCACTGTGATATTTCTCATTGTTGTGGAATAAATAGTGCCACTAGAATCTTAGGAACACAGCCATTTATATTTCAAAATAACTAGGCAGGAAATTTTGAGAGAATCTGTGTGGGTTTTGTTCAGTTGATAGGATTTCTTTTGCATAACAGCTCATGAGAACAAAAGTGACAGCCCATTTTGTGACTTCTGAGTTAGTCTGTAAATACTGTGCTCTGCCAGATCTGTCAGTAGCTAAAAAATTTGCAGCCAAATTCCATTTTCCCTTGAGGAGGTATACTAGTGGATTCCCAAACTGCTTTAAACAGTCTCTGGGGAATAATACTCTTGCATGATGCATTTATCACTCATCCAAAGACCTCAAACATTTTTACAAAGATTATCTTTTGTATTATATTATCTTGAGTTTATGAATTGAGAAATGAAAGGGACTTACCAAAAAACACATCATGAATTAAAGTCACAGCTTAAACAAAACTCCTCTGTCTCTCATTCAGTGATCAAATTGGTCTTAATGGATCATCATCTTTTAAAGTTTTCCGTATTTTTTTATGTTTAAATTTTATTTTATTTTATTTTATTTATTAATTTTTGGAGATGGAGTCTCGCTCTGTCGCCCAGGCTGGAGTGTAGTGGCGCAATCTTGGCTCACTGCAACCTCTGCCTCCCGGGTTCAAGCGATTCTCCTGCCTCAGCCTCCTGACCTCGAGTGATCTGCCTGCCTCAGTCTCCCGAAGTGCTGGGATTACAGGCATGAGCCACCATGCCTGGCCTATAATTTTTTTTTAACCATGCCTGGCCTATAATTATTTTTTAAAGTGAATCAGGTAGCCTCCTTGAACCAGAATAGGTTCGGAGAGACTCCCTCAACTATATATTTATCTATCTATTTATTTTCTTTATTTTATTTATTATTATTATTTTTTGAGTTGGAGTCTCACTCTGTCACCCAGGCTGGAGTGCAGTGGCTTGATCTTGGCTCACTGCAACCTCCACCTCCTGGACTCAAGTGATCCTCCCACCTCAGCCTCCCCAGTAGCTGGGATTACAGGCACCCACCACCATGCCCGGCTAAATTTTTTTTATTTTTTGTAGAGACGGAGCTTCACCATGTTGGCCAGGTTCGTCTCGAACTCCTGACCCCAGGTGATCCGTCTACCTTGGCCTCCCAAAGTGCTAGGATTACAGGCATGAGCCACCATGCCCAGAATTTACTTAAGATATATTATTTACTGGAAAAAGTGCAAGAGTACAATCCCATGTGTAATTTCAAAGGATATGCATATACTTGTATATGTGAAAATTTTTTTAAAAAAAGCTTTCTAGAAATATGTAAAATACACTGGAACTTTTACTTTCACTTTGTACTTTGGTTTGAGTCTTTTACCATGAGTATATAATACTTCTATTTTGAAAAATAAAAAGAGCTAGACTCTGTTTCAAAAAAATTAAAAAATAAATAAATGAATAAATAAAAATAAAAATAAATAAATAAAATGTATTGGTGAGGGAGTCTCTCTGAACCTATTTTGGTTCGGGGGGGCTGCCTGAATCACATTTAAAAAAATTATATGGCCAGGCATGGTAGCTCACACCTGTAATCCCAGCACTTTGGAAGACTGGATCACCTGAGGCCAGGGTTTCGAGACCAGCCTGGCCAACATGACAAAACCCCGTCTCTACTAAAAATACAAAAAACGGGCCAGGCGTGGTGGTGAGTGCCTGTAATCCCAGCTACTCAGGAGGCTGAGGCAGGAGAATTGCTTGAGTCGGGGAGGCAGAAGCTGCAGTGAGCTGAGATGATGCCACTGCATCCTAACCTGGGCAACAATTAAAAAAAAGAAAAAAAAGATGATAGTGGAGCTGAAAAATTCCTATCACCTAGTATCTACTGTATATATGTTTTATCATTATTTTAGATTGTACTCCTTCTACTTAATTTTCTTTTAAATTTAACTGTAAAACAATCAATAAATAATAAAATAAAAATTAAAAAATAGAAAGCTAACTGTGAATCAGCCTCAGGCAGGTTCTTCAACAGGTATTCCAGAAGGCGCTGTTATCATAGGAGATGACAGCTCTATGTGTTATTGTCCCTGAAGACCTTCCAGTGGGACAAGATGTGGAGGTGGAAGACAGTGATAGTGACGATCCTGTCACTGTTACTCCTAGGCTAATGTGTGTGTTTGTGTCTCTGTTTTTAACAACATAAGCTCAAAAAGTAAAAAATAAAAATAAAAAAATTTAAAAATAGGAGGCTGGGTGTGGTGGCTCACACCTGTAATCCCAGCACTTTGGATGGCTTGAGTCCAGGAGTTTCAGACCCAGCCTGGACAACAGAGTGAGACTCTGTCTCAGAAAAAAAAAAAAAAAAACACAGGAAGTCTCACCCAAGATGAATGGCTTGGACTGTTTCAAGAAGTCAGAGTTAAATTACTCTCAAATGTGATAAAAGAATATTTTGCAAATTCAATTCCAAACTCAGTTATAAAATCCCTTTAAAGCAGCTATGAGGAAGATCTGGTTCTTTTACCTGTATAACGAATGATGGATCAACGTACCTTTTCCCCCCTTTTGCTGGAGAAGAGTGGGTTGTACCAGCTGGTTTTCAGTTATGTTCTGCAGAGATTGATGAATATTTCCTTCAAAATAGAAGTCCGCAGCACTGTTCTATATAAATAATGAAGCAGGATGTTAAGTGAGACTTTCCCTGTTGCCCCCTATTATAGGCTGAAGTCAAAAGTTAGGGGAAAAAGAGGCTAAGCGTCTCCCAGATTGCAAAAGGAATTACCCCCAACTGCAGCCAGATAGCTCCCAGGGCAGCACTAGCATCAAACCCACATAAGGAGAGGACCAGGGGACAGAGGGTAATCCTTGGCTTTGTGAGGAGTGTCATGTCCTACCCTCCCTACAAGAAAGAAGGGATTGCTTAAAGTCTGTGGTACCATCAGAAAGGGAAGATGGGCTTCCATTCCTGTGTTGGATGCCCATGTAGGCAAGGGGAGATAAGAAAAGAAAGATGTCAGTAGGCAGCTGGGAAGATAAAATAAAATAAGTAATGAAAACAATAAAAATTTTACAAGACAAGAAAGGGCCGAGCACGGTGGCTCATGCCTGTAATCTCAACAGTTTGGGAAGCCAAGGCAGGGGAATCACTTGAGCCCAGGAGTTCAAGACCAGCCTGGGCAACTTAGAGAGACCCCACCTCTACAATTTTTTTTTTTTTTTTGAGACAGAGTTTCACTCTTGTTGCCTAGGCTGGAGTGCAATGGCGCGATCTTGGCTCAACGCAACCTCCGCCTCCCAGTTTCAAGCGATTCTCCTGCCTCAGCCTCCCTAGTAGCTGGGCGTGCCACCATGCCCGGCTAATTTTGTATTTTTAGTAGAGATGGGGTTTCTCCATGTTGGCCAGGCTGGTCTTGAACTCCCGACCTCAGGCGATCCACCTGCCTCGGCCTCCCAAAGTGCTGGGATTACAGGCATGAGACACCGTGCCTGGCCTTTTTGTACGCCAGGCATGGTGGCTCATGCCTGTAATCCCAGCACTTTGGGAGGCCGAGGCGGGCGGATCGCCTGAAGTCAAGAGTTCGAGACCAGCCTGGCCAACGTGGTGAAACCCCGTCTCTACTAAAAGTACAAAAAAATTGGCTGGGTGCACAGTGGCTCACACTTGTAATTCCAACACTTTGGGAGGCCGAGGTGGGTGGATCACCTGAGGTCAGGTGTTTGAGATCAGCCTGGCCAACATGGTAAAACCCTGTCTCTACTAAAAATACAAAAATTAGCTGGGCATGGTGGCAGGCGCCTGTGATCCCAGCTAGCTACTAGGGAGGCTGAGGCAGGAGAATCGCTTGAACCTGGGAGGCGGAGGATGCAGTGAGCCGAGATCACACTATTGCACTCCAGCCTGGGTGACAACAGTGAAACTCTATCTCAAAAAAAAAAAAAAAATTAGCTGTGGGTGGTGGTGGGCACCTGTAATCCCACCTACTTGGGAGGCCGAGGCAGGAGAATCGCTTGAACCCAGGAGGCAGAGGTTGCAGTGAGCCGAGATGGTGCCATTGCACTACGGCCTGGGCAACAGAACAAAAAAATTTATATTTAAAAATTACCCAGGCCTGGTGGCACATGTCTATAGTCCCAGCTACTTGGGAAGCTGAGGCAGGAGGATCCCTTGACCCCAGGAATTTGAAGCTTCAGTGAGCTATAATCGCACCACTGCACTCCAACCTAGGTGAGAGAAAAATACCCTGTCTTAAAAAAAAAAGATGACAGCCAAGGGAAGGCAGAATAAAGAAAGGGGACAGGAAGAAGCAGCCCAAGCTTCTACCATTTACATATGGCAAGAAGAATATGTGGGTTTCCAAGGGTTAAACACCGGAAGGGGCTGGGCTTGAGCTGTCTTTCCACACCCCAATCAAGAAGGCTGACCAGCAGGCAAGGAGTCCCCAGGGATAAGAGGCTGTGAGGCACATGCTAGAAAATGGGAGCTGAAGTAGAAAGAAGAAGGGTTGCCAGATTTAGCAAACAAAATATTGGGCATCTTGCATTTTACCTGGCAACCCTAAGTGGAGGTGGAAGAGGTTAAGCTGGAACCAAAGCACCCTCTATTTAAAATTTTTATTTACAAAATTTTTTTTTGAGACAGGGTCTTGCTCTGTTGCCCAGGTTGGTCTCGAACTCTTGGGCTCAAGTGATCCTTCCTCCTCAGCCTCCCAAAACTTTGGGATTACAGGCGTGAGCCACTGAGCCCAGCCCAAAGCACTCTCTTAAAATAAAATGTCTTGTGAAGAGGCCCCAAGGGAACAATTTATAGAAACAGAAAAAGGACATTTGACATGGTGTGATTGAAGGTAGTGACTGAAGAAAAATAAAAACCAATTCACATTTATACCTCATCCCATGAAGACCGCTTGATAAAATGGATGCATGAAGAAGACAACTAAAAGAATACATGAATGGGGAGATGGCAGGGTGTTTCCCTTTGCAGATGCTGCTATTAATAAAATATCAATGAATTGGTCCAATACATGCAGATAACACTGAGTTTGAGAAGGAAAACAGAGCAGTCTAATACAAGACTGTAGGTAAAACCAGTGCAGGGGCAGTTTGGATCTTTGCCCTGTGGCTTTTAGGGGAAACTTTTTGCAATTTCCCAGATGGACTAAGGAGAAGCAACTGATATTAACATCCTGAAAACACCTCCTTTTTACGAAGTCATCCAAACCAGTCTGAGGCTAAGTAGAGAGCAATGATGAAGGGTTATTTCCTTCCTAACAGCATGTGATCATCCATGTTGACTGTCAAGTTCAGACTACAGCTGATGGCCCTTAAAAAGCATTTTCAGGTAGAGCACAGTGGCTCACGCCTGTAATCCTTCCCTTTGGGAGGCTGAGGCTGGTGGATCACCTGAAGTCAGGAGTTTGAGACCAGCCTGGCCAATATGTGGAAATCCTGTCTCCACTAAAAATACAGAAGTTAACTGGGCATTGTGGTGCACGCCTGTAACCCCAGCTACTTGGGAGGCTGAGGCAGGAGAATCACTTGAACCTGGGAGGCAGAGGTTGCAGTGAGCTGAGATTGAGCTACTGAACCCCAGCCTGGGTGACAGAGCCAGACTCCATCTCAAAAAAAAAAAAAAAAGAAAGAAAAAACCATTTTCATAGTCAATGCTGTCTTTAAGCTGGGTTTCAGACAGTGTATGTGAAATGGAAGGCTGGCAAGAATAGGATATTTGCCTGTTATTAAGGGATGGTCTGATACTTACAATTACCGTTCTCCAATTATAGACAGGCTCCTCTGTAGGCAACACTCCATAGCAGCTGGAATTTCCTTTGACATGAGGACGATGGTTGATTAAAGCCAGGTAATTTCTGTAATCTAATTTTAAATCAGAGAAAGAAACTAAAAAAGTCAAAGTTTGTATTTGTGCATATAAATATGTGTGTATATATATGCACTTATAGATGCAATTGCTCTCATCTATGTTTTCTTGCCACTTTGCACTTCTCCTGTGGTGTTTATCTCATTATGCTGCTATTATGGATACTGTTATACATATCCCATTTGGAGAACATGCTCCTTGCAGGCTGAAACCGCATGATTTCTTTCTTTCTTTCTTTCTTTCTTTCTTTCTTTCTTTCTTTCTTTCTTTTTTCTTTCTTTCTTTCTTTCTTTTTCTTTCTTTCTTTCTTTCTTTCCTTCCTTCTTTCTTTCTTTTTCTTTCTTTCTTTCTTTCCTTCTTTCTTTCTTTCTTTCTTTCTTTCTTTCTTTCTTTCTTTCTTTCTTTTTCTTTCTTTCTTTCTTTTCTTTCTTTTTTTTTTTTAAGACAGGGTCTTGCTCTGTTACCCAGGCTGGAGTGCGGCCACGTTATTTCGGTTCACTGCAGCCTGTGCCTCCTGGCCTCAAGTGATCCTCCCACCTCAGCCTCCCAAGTAGCTGGGACTCCAGGCACACGCCACCACACTTGGCTAATTTTTGTATTTTTTGTAGAGACAGGGTTTTGCCATGTTGCCCAGGCTGGTCTTGAACTCCTGGGCTCAAGTGATCCACCCACCTTGGCTTCCCAAAGTGCTGGAATCACAGGTGTGAGCCACCATGCCCTGCCCACATGATTTCTCTTATCTTGGAACACCCTGTAATACCCTATATAAACTTAATACATAACATATTTGCATTCTATTTAGACTATATAGTCCATAGGATAATGGGTGAGGAAGGATAAAAATACTTATTCTTCCAAGTAGAATATATCTTGTTGTGTGGGTGGAAGGTCTATAAGATTCATTGGAACAATTTAAAAGCCTTTCGTGAATAGTTAAAATGAACTGTCTATTAGATAAATAAATGTCAACCAGATATTTCTAATAGCAGATAATTATATATCTTTGTATTTCTGTGTGGAATGTCATCCTCTATATTCTCTGCATTTTTATATGTGAGACTTTAGTTTTATTTAGGCTAGATACTCCTGGACATATTTTGCCTTTGCTAGAATTAATCCTGGATGCTTCAGGTAAAAATGATCTCGTTTTTGAGTCCAGGAGTTCCAGACCAGCCTGGGCAACATAGTGAGACCCTGTCTCTACAAAAAAATAAACAAATAAAAATTAAATTAAAGATAAAAAAGGTCACCGGGCACAGTGGCTCATGCCTGTAATCCCAGCGCTTTGGGAGGCCGAGATGGGCGGATCACGAGGTCAGGAGATCGAGAACATCCTGGCTAACACGGTGAAACCCCGTCTCTACTAAAAATACAAAAAATTAGATGGGCATGGTGGCGGGCGCCTGTAGTCCCAGCTACTCGGGAGGCTGAGGCAGGAGAATGGCGTGAACCCGGGAGGAGGAGCTTGCAGTGAGCCGAGATCGCGCCACTGCACGCCAGCCTGGGCGACAGAGTGAGACTTCGTCTCAAAAAAAAAAAAAAAAGAAAAAAGAAAAAAGAAAAAAAAGGTCTTCTCTGTTCTGATCATTATCCTGGAATACAGTGGCGCCATCTCGGCTTACTAAAGCTTCTGCCTCTCAGGTTCAGCAATTCTTAAGCCTCAGCCCCCAGAGTAGCTGGGATTACAGTCGCGCCACCATGCCTAGCTAATTTTTGTATTTTTAGTAGAGACAGGGTTTCGCCATATTGGCCAGGCAGGTCTTGAATTCCTGGTCTTAAGTGATCTGCCCACCTTGGCCTCCCAAAGTGCTGGGATTACAGATGTGAGCCACAGCACCTGGTCAGCTGATCATTATTCTTATATGTGTATGTGACCAACAAGCCATTTGATGTACCAGCAGAAGAGGGTAAATGACTCATCTTTACCTGGCGAGTACTGAAGATCTCCAGTTGAATGTTGCCTCAGAACCTCAAAAGCATCTTCAAATGCTTGACCCAGCTTGTCTTGTTCAACACACGTCTGTTGGAACAATGATAGAATTCTGGAGTTTTCGAATTACCAATTAAACTTAATCTCCCTGATTTAAAATAGTATTTAGTCTAAAGGAGGGTTTCTCAATCTTGACACTATGGGCATTTGGTGTTGGCTGTCTCTGTTGTCAGGGGGGCTGCCTGTGCATTGTACGATGTTTAGCAGCTTCCCTGACCCCTACCCACTGGTTGCCAGTAGTACCTTCACAGTTGTGACCGTCAAAAATGTTTCCGACATCACCAAATGTACCCTGAGGCACAAAATCAATCACAGTTGAAACACACTCCATTATAGTATACTATTTAGAGAATGGTATTCATTCTATAGTACAGTATTTAACATTATTGCAAAATTTTAGCAAGGAGTTGTAGAGCAGAGGAGAGTGATTTAGAAAAAAAGGGCCAAGGAAATATCTTCAATGAAACAGAACCTATGAATTGTTGTTTAAAAATGAAATGCTCTTATGTCTCCAAGACCTAAAATTGAATTGCTTTGCAAACTATTTCATATCCTTATTAACATGATCGATATATTTTATTTTTAAAATGGAGGGAGAGTAAAGAAAAAAGTTTTTTAATTATTATGCTGTAGAGCTCCTCTGTGGACAGAGTAAAGAAAATATTAAAATGTCAGCTTACCATATTTCATTAATAAATTGACAATTCTGTTCCTTAGCAATTGTTGCTTGAAGAAAATAAAATAAAATAAGTTGACAATCCTGAAAAAGTTTAATATTTAAAAAGCAAAATTAAATGCAGTCTCTAATTTGATTCTGAATAAGATCTTGCTCAAAAATATTTTCTGAAAATACCTTACATAAACCAAGAGTACCTCCTGAATTCTCTTTGATGAGTACAAATTTTTTTCTACGAAATTTTCTACAAACATTTCTTTTTGCTTTTCCATGATTACAAAATGCTTTAAATATTAAAATAGCTATATATTTAATTATCTGAGCTGCTTGATTGATAAGAGAAAGTGGAAATAACTCAAAAGTATATATAAGTATTTCAAAATTATTTTAAATATTCTAAAATTCTGAAAATCAAAATCCTTTTTACCTTAGCATAGCTTTATAAAAATAGGGCTTTTTTAAAAAACCTTTCTTTGGTGTTATATTGCCTTCTGAGAATCTGGCAAAAGCCATCCTTTTCCTCCCATGAAAATTGGACTTATATTGCAAATAAAATTTAGCCTGTGAAGACTATCCTTGGACTTGCTTGAATCCTAGGCTAAGAAAACTCGTCTATAATTTTGTTATTTACTTTCTTATCTCTAAGTAATTCTGATTTTGCTTTAGAGAAACAATTATCACACCGACCCACAATTAAATGCTTTTAACTCTACGTTCTATAGACCAACACAGGGAACAAACAAACAAAAACCAACCCACATAATAAAAAGAACTGTGGTGGGTCCAAAATTGCTTATCATTCCATTAAGTAAACCCAGCAGTTCTTTTTATGCAAGTATTTATCTTCTTAGTATTTACCCGCAAACACAATGTGTTTACTCTTTAGTGTTTAACTTTGAATAATAAAATGAGATGATGTAATCTAATGCCAATATTATATATATCCATCATATATCAACATAACATATTAAATATCAAAATTCTGCTTGGCTCTTTGAAATCATTACATCATGTCAGTTAAAAGAAAATAGAAGAAAATCCAGAAATCACTCTTCGGCTCATGGTCTTTAGTGAATATTATCAGTAGCACATATTTTTTAAAAGCCATGTCAGTGATTTTCAATTAACTGCTTTGACTCAAAAGTGCAGAAGCACTGAATGTTGTATTTTGAATTAAATATTTAAAAATGAACATGTTCTCTTTGACTAAAATGCTCCACAAGACTATCGCAGCTATTACAAGTAGCAAATCTAAAAGGAAGAAAAAGCTTGAAAACATTATTGATTACTATGATTGCTTAATATTTCTTGCATCTGAACACGCAGACAGTGAGAAACACTCATTAGGCCAAAGGAAAAAATGAACAGTGATTAGAAGATATTTAGAAAAACATAAGCTGAGAACTTACCGGGAAGACACTTCAACCCTTTATAGAGATGTTTCATTAATATCAGAACGGTAAATTCAACGGTAGGCTATCATGAAAATAAAAAATTATTTTCCAGTGCAATGGCTCTGATGAAAAAAAATAGTAATATTTTTTTTAAAAATTAGAATTGTTAAGACATAACCATCAAGAACATACTGGCAGAGTTGCATTAAATAGCTGTTTTTAAGGAAGTTCTTCAAAAGGGGATTTTTTTTAAAAGATACAGTGCCTTCACAATTTCTATTTCATGATATGATTAGTAGACACCAGGGGCTATTATTTTGAAGAGGCACATAGTAGTTTGCATCCCATCAGCCAAAAAGCAAAAAAGCATTAGAACAAGCCCCATGAATCCCCCGCCCAACTTAGGTTGCAGCTCTTCAGATTGCATAGCCCCACCGGAAACTTCTAACCCAGGCAACTCAGGCCCACCCTTCTTTTTTTAATTCATATTACTTCTCTCCCAATTCTGGACTCTATACTCTCTTTCTTGCCTGGACTGTCAACAGCCTTCACTCTGGACTCTCCAAATCGGTCTTTCCTCCTAAACTACTTTACTTACACTGCCATTCACTGATCGCCTTAGAGAGCTTAAAGGCTTAGGGCCCTTGTCCTGACATTCAAGGCTCTTGAGCCTTAGCCTTATATCTTGCCACTCAGTTGAGTGGGGATAATAGAATCCATGCTCTTGCTTTCCTCCACACCTAAATTCAGTAGCGGCTCCAAAATGGTTAGGAAAACCTTATGGGGGGCCATGTGGTTGGACATACCTGAGGCTGCTGCATTCCTAATGCAGGTCCCGTTCTCTTACTTGGCTTCAAGGTTTATTTGGGGTGGCTCTGTTGGAAATTATGAGACGCTCCCTCCACCTAAAATACTTTCCTCCCAGTTCATCCCCCTGCAGATTCGCCCATTTTATGTTACCTGTCCATCAGTGTCCAAAGCAGCATCCACTTGTACACGGTGGAAATAACCTTCCTGTCCCCTGAAACACATGTCTGCCTCTCACTTGGCTAACCTGAAACCTGCCATTTTAATAGCTGTCACATTTTGGCCAGGGGGAAAACCGCCTAAGAATTTTTTGTAAACCTTGTGGGTGGGGAGAGTGAAGAGGGTCTGTGATTTCAAAGCTGCCAGTAACTTCAGTTTTGCATTGTTGGAGCCTAACCTCACCTTTGATAGGGGACTATTGTTTTGGACCAATTACTTTTTTGAGCCAATTTGTTATGCAAATGTTAACACACAGTCCTTCTTCTGATATGCAGATCTTATAATAACAGGTATAAAACGGTAATCACTAATGTTGATTTGTTTTTAATCTGTACTAGTCTACACCCTTTTCAAGCCACCTTATTTGGTTCATTCGTTCAACATATTACTGAGCTCTTCACTCTTCTGGGCACTGCCCCATGTCCAGGAGCTACAGCCCTGAACAAATCCTTATGAGAAGAAATGATTTTTAAAAAATAAACACATTGGTAAAGTATTAGATAAGAAGTGTCAAAAACAACAATACAAAAGAGAAAGATTATGAAGACAGTGTGCGAATAGCCAGGAAAAATCTCTGAGGAGGAAAGCGGTGTGAGCTGAAACCCAAGAAGAAGACTTAAGAGTGAGCAGGCGGGCAGGGTGTCTGGTGCCTATATCCCCGCTAAGCAGCTACACAGGAGGATGGCTTGAGGCCAGGAGTTTGAGACCAGCCTGGACAGCACAGTGAAACCCCCAAGAAAAATGGAGTGCCTCCCCACCCTGCCTCAGAAAAATGAAGGAGTGAGCAAAACAAAAAGCAGAGATGCAAATATTTGGAGGAGCACCTCCTGGCAGAGGAAGCAGCAGGTGCAAAGAGCCTGGGATGGAAATGAGTTTGGCATTCAAGACACAGAAAAAAAGCGGGAGGAGGAGAGGAGGCTGCAGGAAAATGCACCTGGGGGCTAAGAGGCAAAGTTGGAGAAGAAAGAGGCAGGATCCAGATCAACATACACATCAAGCCCTAAAATAATCACAAGTCATGTATGGCAGTCGTTATCTGTGTACCCCCATGTCACAGATGAGGAATCTAAACTGAAGTTCAAAGATGTTTTGTGATTTTCCCTAAGGTTCAACTTCTAGTGAGGTGGGCTGGGCCAGATCCAAATTTGGGTTAATTCCACTTCATGTGCACGCTCTCAGCCCTGGAGACCTGTGTGTGCAGTTGAGGCTGCCTTCGACCAGGTGCTCAGTCCCAACGGCAAACTCCACAGCACCCAGCCCATGCTTGTCACATATTAATACTACAGGTGTGGTGAGTATTTGAAATGAATGTAAACACAGTGAACTTTTTTTTTTTTTTGAGACAGAGTCTCCCTCAGTCCCCTAGGCTGGAGTGCAATCGCATGATCTTGGCTCACTGCAACTTCCACCTCCTGGGTTCAAGCGATTCTCCTGCCTCAGCCTGCCGAGTAACTGGGATTACAGGCCACCACCACATCCAGCTAATTTTTGTATTTTTAGTAGAGACGGGGTTTCACCATATTGGCCAGGCTGTAATCCCAGCTACTCAGGCTGGTTAATTTTTGTATTTTTAGTAGAGATGGGGTTTCACCATGTTGGCCAGGCTGGTCTTGAACTCCTGACCTCAGGTGATCCACCCGCCTTGGCCTCCCAAAGTGCTGGGATTACAGGCCTGAGCCACTACACCCAGCCTGAACTTTCTTTTTTTTTAATTTTTAATTTTTATTTTTATTTCCAAGATGGAGTCTCTGTCACCCAGGCTGGAGTTCAGTGACGTGATCTCGGCTCACTGCAACCTCTGCCTGCCGGGTTCAAGTGATTCTCCTGCCTCAGCCTCCTGAGTAGCTGGGATTACAGGCCCACGCCATCGCACAGGGTTAATTTTTGCATTTTTAGTAGAGATGGGGTTTCACCATGTTGGCCAGGCTGGTCTCAAACTCGTGACCTCAGGTGATATGCCTGCCTCGGCCTCCCAAATTGCTGGGATTACAGGCATGAACCACCACGCCTGGACTATTTTTTTTTTAATGTAAATAAATTAAAACCCTGATATTTCTAGGTGGGATCTCATCCAAGTACTAAACTGGCCCTACACGCCTTGGTGTCTAAAATCGGAAGAGGTCAGGCCTGTTCAAGGTGTTATGGCCATAAAAAAGTGATTTTTTTTTTTTTTTTTTTTGAGAGTGAGCCTTGCTCTATCGCCCAGGCTGGAGTGCAGTGGCACCATATCAGCTTAATGCAACCTCCACCTCCTGGGTTTAAGCAATTCTCATGCCTCAGCCTCCCAAGTAGCTGTGATTACAGGCGCCTGCCACCATGCCTGGCTAATTTTTCTATTTTTAGTAGAGATGGGGTTTCACCATGTTGGCCAGGCTGATCTCAAACTCCTTACTTAGCTCAAGTGATCTTCCAGCCTCGGCCTCCTAAAGTGCTACGATTACAGGCATGATTCACCGTGACCGGCCAACAAGTAAACTTTCTAAGCTAGCATTTCCCCAACTATTGTCTCTAGAGTTTGATTATGCAGGATATTAATAAATGAACCTGGCAAAAGTGTTGAGTGGAAGCTAGGGTTGCTGCCTAGAACTTCCTTAGTGAAGTCAATGAGTGTGTTGATTTTTTTTTTTTTTTTTTTTTTGAGGTAGGGTCTCACTCTGTCACTCAGGCTGGAGTGCAGTGGTGCAATCATAGCTCACTAAAGCCTCAACCTCTTAGGCTCAAGTGATCCTCCTGCCTCAACCTCCCAAGTAGCTGGGACTGCAGGCAGGCACCACCATGCCGAGCTAATTTTTACATTTTTTGTAGAGATGGGGTCTCACCATGTTGCCCAGGTTGGTCTCGAACTCCTGGGCTTAAGCCATCCTCCTGCCTCGGCCTCCCAAAGTACTGGGAATACAGGTGTGAGACACTGCATACGGCCTGTTGGAGATATATGTATATATATACAACCCTACGTTACAGATGCAAAAACAGAAATGCAGCTTTAGGGTTCTCTGTAGGGCTAAGATGTGAAGTTGTTTTGGCATCTTGAAAAGTTAATGCAATAGACTTTTAGCATTTTAGAAGTCAAAACTCCTATCTCTTGAGAATCTGATGAAAGCTGGCAGTTATTTTCCCAGGAAAATGCCATCAGCACACATTTTCAGGCAAACCCTCCCAGTAGGGCCAGTGAACTCCAATTTGGGAGCCCCTGCAGTATTTATTTAATATATGGACACCAATGTTTCCCTCAACTCCAGAAATGAGCTGAGTAACAAGCTAAGGGCTCTGAAGAGAGGATCCCTGATTGACAGATTCACTTTTGCAGAAGTTCATTGTCCTCAGTGGCAATGGAGATTATTTTAGAAAATCTTAAGCAACACATGTGCTGGCGTACAAATCATATGGTGACACGCTTCAGGTGGAAGACTGTGTTTTCTGAGAATAGGGAACTGCAGAACCCAAAAAGGGAGATCAAGTTCAAGCTCTTATCATTCCTCACAAATTCTTCTTCAATAATTCAGTTGTTGAAGTGACTAAAGAATTTGGTCTTAATCTTGGCAAGATCTTTGGAAACTCCAATAAGCAAATAATAAAGATTGTTAGCAGACTGGGGAGAAGGTGCTAGAAAACTCCTCATGTTTGGCTGGGTGCGGTGGCTCACACCTATAATCTCATTACTTTGGGTGGCTAAAGTGAGAGGATCGCTTGAGGCCAGGAGTTCAAGACCAGCCTGGTCAACATAGTGAGACCCCCATCTCAATTATTTTTTTAAAAAAAGAAAGGAAGCCTGGGCACGCTGGCTCATGCCTGTAATCAATCCCAGCACTTTGGGAGGCCAAGGCGGGAGTTCGAGACCAGCCTGACCAACATGGAGAAACCCCGTCTCTACTAAAAATACAAAATTGGTAGGGCGTGGTGGCGGGTGCCTGTAATCCCAGCTACTCAGGAGGCTGAGGCAGGAGAATTGCTTGAACCCAGGAGGTGGAGGTTGCGGTGAGCCTAGATCACGCCATTGCACTCCAGCCTGGGCTACAAGAGCGAGACTCCGTTTCAAAAAACAAAAACAAAAAGCAAAACAAAGAGCGAAACTCCATCTCAAAAAAAAAAAGGAAAAAGAAAAACAATTCCTCACATTTGAGTAGGAGGAGTCATAGAACCAGAGATTATGAGACAAATAGTTAACCCTCACCCTCATTTTAATAATAATTACTTGCAATAGATATTCTATGAAATTTACTGAGACTTGTTTCGTGGCCCAACATGGAGTCCATTTTGACTGAATTTGCACTTGGAAGAATGTATACTTTGCAGCTATAAAATGCAGTGGCTGATAAATATCAATTATATCTAGTTGGCTGATAATATTGTTCAAATCTTTTATATTTTGAGGGGCTTCTTTTGTCTTCATGGTCTATAAATTAGTGTAAGGGAAATCTCCAATTATAGTTGTGAGTGTGTCTATTTCTCTTCTTTAGTTCTGTCTATTTTTGCTTCACGTATTTTGAAATTTTCTCATTAGCTGCATACTCATAATTAATTGCTATGTGTTCTTGATAAATTGAGTCTTTTGTCATTATAAAATTTCTGTCTTTTTTTTTTCTGGTAATCCTCCCTGTCTTGAAGTCTTCTTTGATATTAACCACCTCAGTTTTCTTCTCCTTAGTGTATATACCATTTATATTTTTACTTGCAACCTGTCCCGCTTGTCTGTGTCTCTCTATTTAAAGTATGTCGCTTTAAGCAGCTTATAGTTGGGGATGGCTTATTAATCTAGTTTGACAATCTCTGCCTTTTTAGTGTTTAGTCCAATGTAGTAACTCCTGATATAGCTCGGTTTAAGTCTACCATTTTGCTATTTGTTTTCTATTGATCCCACTTATTTTCTGTTCCTTTGCTCTTGCTTGCTTACTTTCTTTTGTATTGAATATTTTTATTATTTCACTTTATTTCCTCTATCATCTCATTATAATGTGATTATATATTTTTCTTTGTGTGGGGGGGGTTTTAAATATTTTTAATTTTTGTTTTTATTTTTGTGGAGACAGGAGTCTTGCTATGTTGCCGAGGCTGGTCTCAAACTCCTGGGCTAATCTTCCTGAATCAGCCTCCCAAAGTGTTGGAATTACAGGTATGAGCCACTGCGCCTGGCCTGTTTATATGATACACTTTTGTAGATTTTTTTTTGTGGTTGCTGTGGGGATTACAATATGTATTTTTAATTTATCACAGTCTACTTTGGGTTAATATTATACCACTTTATGTATAATGGAAGAAGGATAATTCCCTTTACGTCACCTCCCATTCTTTGTGCTACTGTTGTCGTCTATTCACATGTGATAACTCCCACATGTTATCACAGTTGACTATTTAAGCCTCACAGTAATGTTGTCAGGTGGTATTATTGTCCCTGAGTTCTATCTGTGACTCTGTATCTGCTAGCTGTGTAAACCTGAACAAATAACTTAATCTCTCAGTTTCTTCTTCTGTAAATTGTGGATAATAATTTTACTTATAAGTAAGGTTAGTGTGTAAATTTATCCCAGGGAATCTATGTAATGTGCTTGGGGCAGTCCTGGTTTTAATACATGCTCAGCCTGGTGTGGTGGCTCATGCCTATAATCCCAGCACTTTGGGAGGCCAAGGTGGGCCGATCACCTGAGGTCAGGAGTTTGAGACCAGCCTGGCCAACATAGTGAAACCCCGTCTCTACTAAAAATACTAAAATTAGCCTGACGTGGTGGCACATGCCTGTAATCCCAGCTACTAGGGAGGCTGAGGCAGGAGAATCAGTTGAGGCGGAGGTTGCAGTGAGCCAAGATTGCGCCATTGCACTATAGCCTGGGTGACAAGAGCAAGACTCCATATCAAAATAAATAAATAAATAAACATTTTAGAAGGCTAGGTCTTTCTTTCTTTCTTTCTTTCTTTCCTTCTTTCTCTTTCTTTCTTTCTCTCTTTTTCTTTCTTTCTTTCTTTCTTTTTTTGAGACAGAGTCTTGCTCTGTCTCCCAGACTGGAGTGTAGTGGCATGATCTTGATTCACTGCAAGCTCCACCTCCCGGGTTCACACCATTCTCCTGCCTCAGCCTCCTGAGTAGCTGCGACTACAGGCGCCCGTCACCATGCCTGGCTAATTTTTTTGTATTTTTAGTAGTGACAGGGTTTCACCCTGTTAGCCAGGATGTTCTCGATCTCCTGACCTCGTGATCCGCCCACCTTAGCCTCCCAAAGTGCTGGGATTACAGGCGTGAGCCACCACGCCCAGCCTTTGCTTTCTTAATTACCCTCATTTTACAGATGAAGAAACAGGCTCAGGGAGGCTAAGTAGCATATTCAAGGTCACGCAGTTAGGAAGAGATAGAGGTGGAGGTTTTCAAACCAGTTCTAACTAGAGGTTTTTAACCATTCTGCCTATCTTTCTTTCCTTATATGGAGTGAGGATCAGAAGAAGAAGAATGTGATAGCAATGGCCTTATGTCCTATGGCTCTTGAGAGCTATTTATTTATTTATTTATTTATTTATTTATTTATTTATTTATTTTTGAGACAGAGTCTTGCTCTGTCACACAGGCCGGAGTGCAGTGGCGTGATCTTGGCTCACTGCAACCTCCGCCTCCCGGGTTCAAGCAATTCTCCTGCCTCAGCCTCCCGAGTAGCTGGGATTACAGGCGTGTGCCACCACGCCAGGCTAATTTTAGTATTTTTAGTAGAGACGAGGTTTCACCATGTTGGCCAGGCTGGTCTTTAACTTCTGACCTCAGGTGATCCGGCCGCCATGGCATCCCAAAGTGCTAGGATTACAGGCGTGAGCCACCGCACCTGGCCTTGAGAGCTTTTATGGTGCTTGAGAACAGGAGTAAACACTCACCATGACAGCTGTTACATCACCAGAAGTGCTCTGCTTTTACCATGTCTGGGACCTGCGGCCTCGCTGGTAAGTGGCAGAACCAGGGCTCAAACCCAGTTCTTCCCTTGCCATGTCTGGTACCTCTTCCTGATCATCAGGTTGCACAACTATTCCCCATAGGCTCTATGTATTGACCATAATTACTTTAATGGCTCCTGCCAGTGTTTATACCAACAGAGGAAACTTCTCTGACACAAGACTAGTAGGGAACAGCATAGCTGCACAGAAAAAGATGAGACTACAGACCCATTCTCATCGTCCCCATTGGGTGCCAGCAAGGTAGTGACTTTTTAAGTCTTGTGTTCTGAACCATGACTGATTGTGAAAGGGCACTTTCTAGTCTTTCTGAAGCAGCTAAACTCTGAGGACCTACTGGTGTATCTTACTGCATTCTAATTCTAGGCACAGAGAGGTGGGCTAAATCACAGCCAAATTCTTTTGTTGTTGTTGTTGTTGTTGTTGTTTTAAAATTAGCCCTGAATCGCAGTGGCTCATGCCTATAATCACAGAACTTTGGGAAGCCGAGGTGGGCAAATCACCTGAGGTCAGGAGTTCGAGAACAGCCTGGCCAACATGGTGAAACCCCGCCACTACTAAAAATACAAAAATTAGCTGGGTATGGTGGTGCATGACTGTAACCCAGCTACTTGGGAGGCTGAGGCAGAAGAATTGCTTGGACCCCGGCAGTGGGGGTTGCAAGTGAGCCAAGATCGCAACACTGCACTCCAGCCTGGGTGACAAAGTGAGATTCCATCTCAAAAAATAATAATAATAAAATAAAATTGCCTTGAAGACTAAAGGCCTCAAAAAATTTGGTTAAGACTCAGAATTGTTTCTCTTCACATAAATCTTTAGGAAAAGGTGAAAAATTGATATAATCTGAAGAGATACCAGAGTATACCAGACTTTTTTTTTTTTTTTTGGACGGAGCCTCTCTCTGTTGCCAGACTGGAGTGCAGTGGCGCAATCTTGGCTCACTGCAACCTCTGCCTCCCGGGTTCAAGCAATTCTCCTGCCTCAGCCTCCCGAGTAGCTGGGACTACAGGCACATGCCACCACGCTCAGCTAATTTTTGTATTTTTACTAGAGACGGGGTTTCACCTTGTTGGCCACGATGGTCTGGATCTCTTGTACTCGTGATCCTCCTGCCTCAGCCTCCCAAAGTGCTAGGACTATAGACATGAGCCACTGCGCCCAGCCTCATTTTTTTTTTTTTTTTTTTTGAGACAGGGTCTCACTCTACCAGGCTGAAGTGCAGTGGTGCAATCATGGCTCACTGCAGCCTCGACCTCCCTGGCTCAAGCGATCCTGCCGTCTCAGCCCCACTAGTAGGTGGGACTGCAGGTGCGCACCACCACGCCCGGCTAATTTGTGTATTTTTTGTAGAGATGGGGTTTCACCATGTTGCCCAGGCTGGTCTACCAAATTCTTTATACATTTTTATCCTAAGCCTGAAGAACACATATGCCTCTGCTTCATCACTTTTGGCCTCAGAAGTTTCTAAACCTAAGCCATTTACCAGCCTGGGAAAGGGAAGAGGAAAATGACTCCTCCCTTCATCTCTTAGTGGGTTTGTAATGCTTATTTTCACTTTCTAGTTTACTAAGAAGACAGACTTGCAATTGATTCTGCTTTAAATTTAGGTCCTTTTGGTAAGGAATTTTTTTTTTTCTAGCAGTTTGTAAGTGGCAATTCTCCCTGTTTTAACAAAATTAATTAGCAGGGCAATAATGTCCTTTTTACAGGGAAGAGGCATCCTGTTCTTACAGAAGTTAGCTGGTTAACTGGGAGTAGAGAAGAAGGGTTGGGGAGTCCTGTAAACTCAAAGAAGTTTAGGAAACAGGCACATTAATGGGATCCCAAGTTTCAGCTACGTGCTTATAACTGGCTATAAGTTTCTGGTTCCAGTTGTCATCAGTGAGAATTCACTGCTGGTAGGAGTCTAAATTGGGACAACCATTTAAGAAAATAGTCATTAGCAAAGCTTAGTTCACAAATCCTTTTCAGGCATATATATAAGAGAAATTCTTGTATACAAGCATCAGGACATATGTGGAAAGAAGATGGTTTTAGCAGCCATGTTTATAAGGGGAAAGAACTACAAACTATATATCTTTCTATAGATATGTAAGTATAGATAGATAAACATATATAGGTCTGATAGATATATACTCACATACATAGTGACAAGAGAATGAGTGAATTGTGGTATGTTCACATAATAGAATATAGAAATGTGAAAATGAATAAACTATAACTAAGTGCAATTACTTGGAAGAATCTTGAACACATAATATTCAGTGAAAAAGGAAAACCTAGAAAACCACTTAAAATATGATTTCTATAGAGTTCAAAAATAAACAACTACACAATATATTATTTGTCTACATCTATCTATCATCTATCTATCTATCTATCTATCTATCTATCTATCTATCTATCTATCATCATCAATCGTGTGTGTGTGTGTGTGAGTAAAGCAAGGGAATAATAAGCACAAAATTTAGGGCAATGGATACTTTTAGGAATGGGAAGGCAGGGAAATAGATGATCTAGGTGTGGCGCATAATTTATCACAACAATTTTTTTTAGCTGGGCATTGTGGCTCACGCATGTAGTCCCAGCACTTTGGAAGACTGAGGCGGGTAGATCACCTGAGGTCAGGAGTTAGAGACCAGCCTGGCCAACATGGCGAAGCCCGTCTCCACTAAAAATACAAAAATTAGCCGAATGTGGTGGTGCATGCCTGTAGTCCCAGCTACTTGGGAGGCTGAGGCAGGAGAATCACTTGAACCCGGGAGGTGGAGGTTGCAGTGAGCCAAAATCATGCCACCTCACTCTAGCATCAGTGACAAAGCAAGACTCTGTCTAAAAAAAAAAAAAAAATTTTCTTTTTTGTTTTTGGGCCAGGAGATGGGCTCATGGGTGTTTATTTCACTGAAGTATCACATATATGCTTTTGTATGTTTCAAAAAACATAACATCATAAACAACTAAAATAATGACAGACAAAAAAATAATAACAATGAAAATAATAATAAACAATGACAGACAAAAGGAACAAGGGATAAGAGAAGGTCAACTAACAAAGCAAGTGAAGTTTCAAAAAAAATTCTAAGGAAACAATTTTGCTGCTGCTGCTTCTTTCTTTTTTTTTCTTTTTTTTTTTTTAAGACAAGGTCTTGCTCTGTCACCCAGCCTGGAGTGCAGTGACACAATTTTGCTTTTAACAGTGAAAACATTCATCATTCAGTATTGTAAAATTAGTTTTCATTATGTGAAAACTCTTGCCTGATTTAAGTATAATAGTTCAATTTATGACAGAAATAAATTATGAAAGTTTGGAGAACAGGCTGGGCATGGTGGCTCAAGCCTCTAATCCCAGCACTTTGGGAGGCCAAAGCAGGAGAATAGCTTGAGCCCAGGAGTTCGAGACCAGCCCGGGCAACATAGCTTGGGCATGGTGGCATGTGTTTGTGGTCTCAGCTATTTGAGAGGCTGAGGTGGGAGGATCACTTGCACCCAGAAGGTCCAGTCTGCAGTGAGCTATGATCATGCCACTACACCCCAGCCTGGGTGACAGAGCGAGACCCTGTCTCAAAAAAAAAAAAAAAAAAAGAAAAGTTTTGGAAACTCATTCTGCTCCCTTCAATTGCAAGAGACTTTTTCTTGTTTAAAGTCCTATACTCGGCTGGGCGCGGTGGCTCACGCTTGTAATCCTAACACTTTGGGAGGCTGAGGTGGGCAGATCACCTGAGGTCAGGAGTTTGAGACCAGCCTGGCCAACAGGTAAAACCCCGTCTCTACTAAAAATACAAAAATTAGCCAGGTGTGGTGGTGTGCACCTGTAATCCCAGCTACTTGGGAGGCTGAGGCACTAGAATCACTTGAACCCAGGATTTGGAGGTTGCAGTGAGCCAAGATCACACCACTGCACTCCAGCCTGGGTGACGGAGCGAGACTCTGTCTCAAAAAATATAATAAAATAAAATAAAAAATAAAAAAATAAAGTCCTGTACTCAAATGGGAATAATTTTGCCATCAGATAACACTATAGTTAACATATGGACTGTCTCGATTCATGTTTCTTGGTGTGCCAGTGTGGGTAAATATGAAAGAAGAAACACTTGATTAAGACAGGGTCTCACTATGTTGCCAAGGCTGGTCTCGAACTCCTGGGCTCAAGTGATTTTCCCACCTCAGCCTCCGAAGTGAGGAGGAGGAAGCAATCCATTTCTGAACAAAGTCATCGCTATTGCGAAGATGGATGCAGGGTGTGATAGGCCGTGAATTTTAGAGTATTTCAGAAATGTTCAAGGAGACCAGCACCCTTATGAGATGCAGAGACAGACCAAAAGTGGGCCAGACAGACAAGATCCAGAACAACACTTTACAATGAGCTCTAAAATATTACCATAAATGTAAGGATATTGGCGAAATCTATTTACCAGAATTCCTCTTGAGGACTGGATTATATGGGTTGGAAAAAATGTTTGATAAACCATGGAGGAGCTGAGGGATCTGCTCTTGTCTCCATGATAGTCCCTGAGATGCCTTCCTTTAATCGTCTCATGAATATCTACTGAGCACCAATAGTTGCTGCTCTAGATGCTGGGATACATCAATGAACAAAGCAGACAGAGATTCCTGTCTTTGTATCATTTCTACAATAAGCATGGGTCTGATGCATGAATTAGAATCCATAGTAGAAAATGAATAGTTTGTGAAAGAATAAAAAGCCAAGCAGGGTAAGGAGAATCTAGAATGCGAGAGGGTCCCCCTTTATATAGAGTGATCCAGCCATGCCATATTAAGACAGTAGCATTTGGGCAAAGACTTGAAGGAGGTGAAGAAG
The DNA here is from genome assembly GCF_000001405.40 of Homo sapiens. Classification (NCBI taxonomy): domain Eukaryota; kingdom Metazoa; phylum Chordata; class Mammalia; order Primates; family Hominidae; genus Homo; species Homo sapiens. Next base: position 101,462,748 of record NC_000012.12, on the reverse strand, counting down.
TTAATCGTGTGAACATCTGTGGGAAGATGACTCAGGCAAGGGAACAGCAAGTGAAATAGCAGCTCCTCACGCCTGTAATCCCAGCACTTTGGAAGGCCAACACAGCAGGATCACATGAGCTCAGGAGTTCAAAACTAGCCTGGGCAATATGGCAAAACCCCATCTCTACAACAAATACAAAAATTAGCCGGCCTTGGTGTCACATGCCTGTGATCCCAGCTACCTGGGAGGCTGAGGTGGGAGGATTGCTTGAGCTCAAGAGGTCGAGGCTGCAGTGACAGAGCCTGGGTGACAGAGCAAGATCCTGTTCCCCCGCAAAAAAAGAGGGCCCGGCTCAGTGGCTCACGCCTGTAATACCAGCACTTTGCGAAGTCAAGATGGGCATATCACTTGAGGTCAGGAGGCTGAGGCAGGAGAATCGCTTGAATCCGGGAGGTGAAGTTTGCATTGAGCCGAGATCATGCTACTGCACTCCAGCCTGGGTGATGGAATGAGACTCTGTCTCAAAAAAAAAAAAAAAAAAAAAAAAAAAAGAGAGAGAGACAGCTAGCAGCTCATAGGCTTCGAGAACATGAGAGCTGAGGGTTTGAGTGCCTTTCTGGAGGGAGGGTCCCAGTTCATTGGAGGACTATATTGGTTGCTTGGGGGCACTGATGAAAGTGATCTTTTGGCTGGGTACAGTGGCTCATGCCTGTAATCCCAGCACTCTGGGGGGCCGAGATGGGCAGATCACGTGAGGTCAGGAGTTCAAGACCAGCCTGGCCAACATGGTGGAACCCTGTCTCCACTAAAACTACAAAAATTAGCCAGGCATGGTGGCGTACGCCTGTAATCCCAGCTATTTGGGAGGCTGAGGCAGGAGAATTGCTTGAACCAGAGAGGCAGAGATTGCAGTGAGCCGAGATCGCACCATTGCACTTCAGCCCGGGCAAAAAGAGCGAAACCCTGTCTCAAGAAAAAAAAAAGGAACAAAAAAAAGAAAAAGAAAGAAAGAGGCTGGGCGCAGTGGCTTACGCCTATAATCCCAGCACTTTGGGAGGCCGAGGCAGGCGAATCACGAGGTCAAGAGATCAAGACCATCCTGGCCAACATGGTGAAACCCTGTCTCTACTAAAAATACAAAAAAATTAGCTGGGTGTGGTGGTGCATGCCTGTAGTCCCAGCTACTCTGGAAGCTGAAGCAGGAGAATCGCTTGAACCCGGGAGGCGGAGGTTGCGGTGAGCTGAGATCGCGCCACTGCACTTCAGCCTGGTGACAGAGTGAGACTCCATCTCAAAAAAAAAAAAAAAAGAAAGAAAGAAAGAAAGAAAGTATCTTTTTTTCATCCTTCTTGTAGTCGGATGCACTCCTAAATGCTTTAAACATCAAGTTGATATTTAAGGAATGTGCGTTTGAGAGTGTACCAAATTAGAAACTAGATGCCTATTTGTTTCCATCTCTTCTGATGCATTAAATAGGGTGTGGAGAAAAGGGGACCACTGTACACTATTGGTGGGGATGTAAGTTGGTGCAGACACTATGGAAAACGGTACAGAGGTTCCAATTAAAAATAGAATTACCACATGATCCGGCAATCCCACCTCGGGGTACATACCCAAAGGAAAGAAAACCAGTATGTTGCAGAGGTATCTGCACTCCCATTTTCATTGCAGCATTATTCACAATAACCAAGATATGGAAACAAATAAAGTGTTTTTTATGGATGAATGGCTTAAGAAATTATGTTGTGTGTGTCAGCTGGGTTGTGGTGGCTCACGCCTGTAATCCCAGCACTTTGGGAGGCTGAGGCGGGAGGATCACCTGAGGTCGGGAGTTCGAGACCAGCCTAACTAACATGGAGAAACCCCGTCTCTACTAAAAATACAAAAATTAGCTGGGTGTGGTGGCCGGCGCCTGTAGTCCCAGCTACACGGGAAGCTGAAGCAGGAGAATCGCTTGAACCTGGGAGGTTCTACAACCTCTGCCTCTCAGGTTCAGGTGATTCTCCTGCCTCAGCCTCCCAAGTAGCTGAGATTACAGGTACGCACCATCATGCCTGGCTAATTTATTTATTTATTTTGAGACAGAGTCTCACTCTGTTGCCCAGGCTGGAGTGCCGTGGTGCGATCTCAGCTCACTGCAACCTCTGCCTCCCGGGTTCAAGCAATTCTCCTGCCTCAGCCTCCTAAGTAGCTGGGATTACAGGCCACTGCACCCAGCTGAAAAGAACTTCTTTAGAGAAGAACACACAAAACAAATACTAATCAAATAAAAATTCAAACATTTCACCTTAATCTTAATGTGAAGAACTTCTGTATCAGGCAGAGTTTCTGCTGCTGCTTCTTCTTTTCTTTTTTTGGAGACAGACTCTCGCTCTGTTGCCCAGGCTGGAGTGCAATGACACAATCTTGGCTCACTGCAACCTCTGCCTCACCAGTTCAAGCAATTCTCCTGCCTGAGCCTCCCAAGTAGCTGGGATTACAGGCACCCACTACCACACCCAGCTAATTTTTTTATTTTAATAGAGACAGGGTTTCACCATGTTGGCCAGGCTGGTCTTGAACTTCTGACCTCAGGTGATCCACCCACCTCGACTTCCCAAAGTGCTGGGATTACAGGCCTGAGCCACCGCCCCTGGCCCAGGCCAAGTTTCAATTGCAAACAGATGACAAACTCAGGCCAAGATGATTCAACTAGAGTTTGTTTACAAAGGGATTAACTATAACAGGAGGAACAGAGTGTTGGGGAACTATCAAGAAAACAATGCAGGAAGCCTGGGTTAGCCGTAGAGGAGCTCCCTCCACCAACAGGAGGGACAGGGAGGTCAACAGAACCTGAAAGAGAAGGAGAATCCTCCAAGACAGGGCTCCTTTGGCCAGGAAATGCAGCACCTCATGCAACCTCGCAGGGAAAGAGCTAGGAAGAAAAAAACCCTGACCTCATTCTGTTCCCTCCAACTTCCTGCTGGGGTTCCTCTTTCTGGCCAAACTCAAGTAGAAAGTAGGGAATATAAAGCCCACTGATGAGTTTCATATAGGAAGGCATTCAGGGGCAGAGAGGAGGTGGAAATCAACCTAGAGGGGCAAGCATGACTCATAATAATTAAAAAGCATCTTAAAGAAAATGAAAAGAGCCACCACTTACTCAATTTTATGGAATGAAGTATTGCCAATTTAAATTTTAAAAATAACATTTTAAAAAAAAATTTAAAGAAAATGAGGCCGGGCAAGGTGGCTCATGCCTATAATCTCAGCACTTTGGGAAGCCGAGGAGGGTGGATCACCTGAGGTCAGGAGTTCAAGACCACCCTAGCCAACATGGTGAAACCCTGTCTTTACCAAAAATACAAAAAATTAGCTGGGCATGGTGGCAGGCACCTGTAATCTCAGCTACTCAAGAGGCTGAGGCAGAAGAATCACTTGAACCCAGGAGGCGGAGGTTGTAGTGAGCCGAGATCACACCATTGCATTTCAGCCTGGGAGACAAGAGTGAAACCACGTTTCAAAAAAAAAAAAAAAAGAAAATGAAAAGACAAGCAACTGGAGAAGATAACCAACTGAAACTCAGACACCAGTGGGGCAGAAGTGTAAATTGGCACAATCATTTTGGAACATAGTTTAGTATTATCTGGCAATTTGAACATTCACAAATATTTATACCATTTTTATGCATATATTCAAGAGAAACTCTGGCTAATGTGTACCAAGGGACATGGACAATCATGTGCAAACCAGTGTTGTTCATTATAGCAAAAAGGAGACGATAATTCAAATGCCCATTGACAGGACAAGGGTAGAGTATATTTACATAACTGAATAGTATGCACCAATGAAATGGAATCTCAGCAACACAATGTTGAGTAAAACATCAAGTCTCAGAAGATTACAAACAGCATGTTGTATCCCTTCTACCCACGGTACTTCTAGGATTTTCTTTTTTCTTTTTTTTTTTTACAGATCCACTCACAAATAATATATACAGGGATATGTATAAAAGTATTCATTTCAGACCAGGTGCAATGGCTCACGCCTGTAATTCCAACACTTTGGGAGGCCGAGGCAGGCAGATCACTTGAGGTCAGGAGTTTGAGACCAGCCTGACCAATATGGTGAAATCCCATCTCTACTAAAAATACAAAAATTAGCCAGGCGTGGTGGCACGTGCCTGTAACCCCAGCTATTGGGGACGCCGAGGCAGGAGGATTGCTTAAACTCAGGAGGTGAAGGTTGCAGTGAGCTGAGATCTCACCACTGCACTCCAGCCTGGGAAACAGAGTGAGACTGTCTCAAAATAATAATAATAATAATAAAGTATTCATTGGATGGGCACGGTGGCTCATGCCTGTAATCCCAGAACTTTGGGAGGCCAAAGTGGGTGGATCACCTGAGGTCAGGAGTTCAAGACCAGCCTGGCCAATACAGTGAAACCCCTTTTCTACTAAAAATACAAAAATTAGCTGGGCGTGGTGGTGCGTGCCTATAATCATAGCTACTCGGGAGACTGAGGCAGGAGAATCACTTGAACCTGGGAGGCAGAGGTTGCAGTGAGATGAGATCGTGCCACTGCACTTCAGCCTGGGCAACAGAGAGAGACTCCATCTCAAAAAAAAGTAAAAAATAAAAATGTATTCATTTCAGCAAAAGATGGGAAACAAATCATGTCCATCAATAAAGAATTATGAAGCAAACCATGGTAATCCACCTGATAGGAATGCTGTGTAGCCATTAGAATGAATTATTTTATTTATATCAATATGGAACCCTAAGGTATATTATATTATGAAATAAAAAATGTGAGGAGCCATACCATGTGTAGCCTAATTTAATTTATATTTTAAAGGATATATTGGGCCAGGTGGGGTGGCTCACACCTGTAATCCCAGCACTTTGAGAGGCCAGTGAGGGAGGATCGCTAGAGGACTAGAGCCCAAGAATTCAAGACCAGCCTGGGCAACATGGTGGGACCTTGTCTCTCTCTCTAAAAAAAAAAAAAAAAAAAAATACGTTAAATATTATATGTGCTTATCTATACATGGTATACATGGAATAGCCTGCAAGGATACATAAGAAATTACTAAAAATGGGTGTCTCTAGGCAAGAATAGAGATTGGATACTACAGGTAGGAGACTTATTTTTCACTATATACCTTTTGGTACTCTGAATTTTTTAATCATCTAGTTTTAAAAAATATAAAGCTGGTGCAGTGGCTCACGCCTGTAATCCCAGCACTTTGGGCGGCCAAGGTGGGCAGATGACCTGAGGTCAGGAGTTTGAGACCAGCCTTGCCAACATGGAGAAACCCCATCTCTAATAAAAATACAAAAAATTAACTGGGTATGGTGGCTTGCACCTGTTGTCCCAGCTACTTGGGAGGCCGAGGCAGGAGAATCACTTGAATCTGGGAGGCAGAGGTTGTAGTGAGCCAAGATTGCACCACTGCACTCCAGCCTGGGTGACAGTGCAAGACCCCATCTCAAAATACAAATAAATAAATAAATAAACAACTAAATAAATAAAAATATAAAACCTTTTAAAAGTTAAAGGCTAAATTTTCTCATGTAACACAGGTTTAATATATATGTTTCTCCTTTGGAAGAAATTTTTCACAATTAGGAATAAAATGTACTTTGAAAACACTTAGGAATATTCCATTAATACATAGCCTCAACAGAATAAAGAAACCCTCTTAGGTGTTGACAAAATGAAAAACAAAACCTTCAGTATGCATTTAAACACTGGCTGGGCATGGCCTAAAACTTATATATATATATATATTTTTTTTTTTTTTTAGAGATGGAGTCTTGCTCTGTTGCCCAGGCTGGAGTGCAGTGGGGTGATCTCGGCTCACTGCAAGCTCCGCCTCCTGGGTTCATGCCATTCTCCTGCCTCAGCCTCCTGAGTAGCTGGGACTACAGGCGCCCACCACCACGCCCAGCTAATTTTTGTATTTTTAGTAGAGACGGGGTTTCACCGTGTTAGCCAGGATGGTCTCAATCTCCTGACCTCATGATCTGCCCGCCTCAGCCTCCCAAAGTGCTGGGATTACAGGCGTGAGCCACCACACCCGGCCTAAAACTTACATTTTAAGCAGGATTACCTCTTGCCCCATATCCATTGTTCAGGTTCCAGAAAAGTTTAGCTCTTTTTAAAAAGCAAGTTAAACTGGGTGTGGTGGCTTGCATTTGTAAACCCAGCTACCTGGGAGGCTGAGATGGGAAGACTGCCTGAGCCCAGGAGTTTGAGGCTGCAGTGAGCCATGATCATACCAATGCACTCCAGCCTGGGCAACAGAGTGAGGCTCTGTGTACACTTCTATTTAACATTGTATTGGTGGTCCTAACCAATGTAATAAGGCAAGAAAAAGGAATGAGCATTCAGATTGGAAAGGAAGAAGTAAAACTGTCTTTATTTGAATATGATATGATTGGTTATGATTACAATCCTAAGAAATTCACAAAAAGGTTGCAGAATATGAGGGTATTTCTATATACCAATATTATAATCCCAGCTACTCAGGAGGCTGAGGCAGGAGAATTGCTTGAACTCAGGAGGTGGAGGTTGCAATGTGCCGTCCCACTACTGCACTTCAGTGTGGGTGATGGGATGAGACTCTGTCTCAAAAAAAAAAAAAAAAAAGAAAGTCTTGAAAAACTGAACTTCATTAAAATTTAACTTTGTCTCTTCAAAGGACGCTGTGAAGAAAATTAAAACCCAAGCCACAAACTGAAAGAACATACATCAAGCCCTCAAATAACACATCCTTTCCGTCCACCTTCTTTTGTCCTTTGGCTCTAACTTTGATGAGAAAACAAATGGATTCCTGGCCTGGGCCACTTCCTGTATGGGGTTGGTACTTCCTCTGTGGGGTTGGCACTTCCTGTGTGGGGTTGGCACCTTCTCTCCGTAGTCTGTATGGGTTTGCTTTGGTACTCCAGTTTCCTCTCACATCCCAAATATGGGTACGTTAGGTTCATTGGGCTGTCTACATGGTCCCAGTCTGAGTGAGTGTAGATGTGGTTGTGGGTATGCACCCACCCTGAGATGGGATGGTGTCCTTTCAGGGCTGTTTCCAACCTGAGCCCTGAGCTGTTGGAGAGGCTCTGGCCACCTTCAACCCGGAACTGGAATAAGCAGATTGGGAAAGGAATGAAGAAATTTATACAAATTATAGTAAAATAAAAGTTTGTAAAGTATAGGATAATTATACAAATGCATGACAATAAGTGATGTGACACAAGAGCGCTCAGAGAGCCGCCATTTTCATCAGTGTTTGCTTTGGGTGAGGGGAGGCACTTTCAACAATTTTTGCTTTGCAAACATTTATTCCTTAATTTAACCCATGGCCACTGTGACTGCCTTCATCACTGATTCCCCCAAAATTAGGTAAATAATTATCTTACTTGTTTTTATTTATCTTTCTTAAATGAATACATAGCTTCCATTTATTTGTTTAATATTAAAAGTGTTGGCCAGGCACGGTGGCTCACGCTTGTAATCCCAGCATTTTGGGAGGTTGAGGCGGGCGGATCACCTGAGGTCGGGAGTTTGAGACCAGCCTGACCTACATACCTACATGGAGAAACCCCATCTCCACTAAAAATACAAAATTAGCCAGGTGTGGTGGCACATGCCTGTAATCCCAGCTACTTGGGAGGCTGAGGCAGGGGAATCTTGAACCCAGGAGGCAGAGGTTGAGGTGAGCCGAGATCACGCCATCGCACTCCAGCCTGGGCAACAAAGAGCGAAACTCCATCTCCAAAAAAAAAAAGAAAAGAAAAGAAACAGGGTTTTGGTCTTGTTGGATGGGGTGGCTCACGCCTGTAATCCCAGCACTTTGGGAGGATGAGGCAGGCAGATCACTTGAGTTCAGGAGTTCGAAACCAGCCTGGGCAACATGGCAAAATCCCATCTCTACTAAAAATACAAAAACATTAGCTGGGTGTGGTGGTGCACACCTGTAATCCCAGCTACTTGGGAGGCTGAGACACGAGAATCATTTCATCCCAGGAGGTAGAGGTTGCAGTGAGCCAAGATTGTGCCATTGCACTCCAGCCTGGGCAACAGAATGAGACTCTGTTTCAATAAATAAATAAACTAATAGTAGTAGAAAAATTGGTTGGGTGCAGTGGCTCACGCCTGTAATCCCACCAGTTTGGGAGGCTGAAGCGAGTGGATCCCTTGAGGTCAGGAGTTGGAGCCCAGCCTGGTCAACATGGTGAAGGCTCCTCTCTACAAAAAGTACAAAAATTAGCTGGGCATCGTGGCACATGCCTGTAATCCTAGCTACTTGGGAGGCTGAGGCAGGAGGATCGCTTGAACCCAGGAGGTGGAGGTTGCCGTGAGCTGAGATTGCACCACTGCACTCCAGCCTGGACAAAAAAGCTAGACCCTCTCTCAATAATAATAATAATAATAATAATAAAACTCAAATTTTAGCTGGGCATGGGGGCTCACGCCTGTAATCCCAGCACTTTGGGAGGTGGAGGTGGGTGGATCGTCTGAGGTCAGGATTTCCAGACAAGCTTGGCCAACATGGTGAAACCCCATCTCTATTAAAAAAACAAAAAATTAGCCAGGCGTGGTGGCGGGTGCCTGTAATCCCAGCTACTCAGGAGGCTGAGGCAGGAGAATCACTTGAACCTGGGAGGCGGAGGTTGCAGTGAGCCGAAATCATGCCTTTGCACTCCAGTCTGGGAAACAAGAGTGAAACTCCATCTAAACAACAACAAAAAAAGTCCCAGGTTAACCAGGAAGACTTGGTCACCACAGGCGTACTTAGCATAGCCATAACAAGAGGGCTAGCATTTATCAATTATCTAGAATATCTTGGGTGTTTCCCGTTCTAAGCACTTTGGATGTATTAGCTCTTTTTAATCTGCCCGACAGTTTTACCCCCAGGTAATTAGTAGTATCAGTACCATGATGCAATGAAGGAAATCAAGTCACACAGATTCTCAAGGTCAAAATCTAGGAGGTGGTGGAACCAAGCACAGTGACCTTCTAAAGTTCACGCTTTTCTCCATTGTTCTTTCCTTCTGGGCGCACATAATAATAGCCTGCTATTGGAACTGGGTGTGGTGGTGTGTGCCTGTAATCCCGGCAACTCTGGAGGCTGAGGCAGGAGGATGGCTTGAACCCAGGAGTTTGAGGCTGCAGTGAGCTATGATTGTGTCATCACACTTCAGTATGGACAACAGAGCAAGACCCTGCCTCTAAAAAATAAAACAGGATGGGAGTGGTCGCTTATGCCTGTCATTCCAGCACTTTGGGAGGCCGAGGCAGGTGGCTCACTTGAGGCCAGGAGTTCGACACCAGCCTGACCAACATGGCAAAATTCTATCTCTACTAAAAATACAAAAATTAGCCAGGCATGGTGGCGTGAACCTGTAATCCCAGCTACTCTGGAGCCTGAGGCAAGAGAATCGCCTGAACCCAGGAGGCGGAGGTTGCAGTGAGCCAAGATGGCATCACTGCACTCCAGCCTGGGCCACAGAATAAGACCTTGTCTCAAAATAAAATACAACATAAAAAATAATGGAAAAAAGAAAAATAATCAGCTGTGGTTGGTTCTAAGGAACTTAGACTACCCAGGAATGTCAGAACAAAGTCCAACTTGACAACGAAAGCATTCAAAAGTTTACTAATCCTAGTGATTTGAACATAGAACTACCAGTCTCCCAATTCCATGACCTGCCAGGTAAACATTTCTAACGCTTTGAATGAAGTTCTAGGTCCCTAGAACACTTTGCAATGGATCCTTACCTGTTCTGAGATAACTATAGATTAAGTGAGGGTCAATTTCAACTCTGCTCAGCTAATATTTATATTTTATCACTTTTCAAAAATCAGCTATCCTTAATTGAGAACGTACTATGTGTCTAGCATTGTTTTAAGTTTTAAGCATCTCACATATATTAAATCATTTATTCTGTATTGCCTTTTTCTTTCTTTCTTTCTTTTTTTTTTCTTTGAGTGTCTCACTCAGTCACCCAGGCTGGAGTGCAGCAGTGCAATCTTTGCTCACTGCAACCTCTGCCTCCGGGGTTCAAGTGATTCTCCTGCCTCAGCCTCCCAAGTAGCTGGGACTACAGGCATGCACCACCACGCCCGGCTAACTTTTGTATTTTTAGTAGAGATGGGGTTTCACCACATTGGCCAGGCTGGTCTCAAACTCCTGACCTCAGGTGATCCACCTGCCTCTGCTTCCAAAGTGTTAGGATTACAGGCGTGAGCCACAACACGTGGCCGTATTCTATGTTTTCTATATTGGTCTGCAAAAGAAGCATGCCTGTGGCAGGGTGCGGTGGCTCACCTGTAATCCCAGCACTTTGGGAGGCCAAAGGGGGCGGATCACCTGAGGTCAGGAGTTCGAGACCAACCTGGCCAACATGACGAAACCCCATCTCTACTAAAAGTACAACAATTAGCCAGGCATGGTGGCAGGCACTGGTAATCCCAGCCCAGGTGGCTGAGGCAGGAGAATCGCCTGAACCCAGGAAGTGGAGGTTGTGGTGAGCTGAGATCATGCCATTGCACTCCAGCCTGGACAACAAAGTGAGACTCCATCTCAAAAAAAAAAAAAAAAGAAGCATGCCTGCAAAAAAAGAGAAATTTGAAAGTTAGCTTTTTACCTATGGTTTTCTGAAAACTAAAGTAAATAAGTAAATAGGAATTCTTAGACAGAGCAATCAGGCAAGAAAAAAAAATAAAGGGCATCCGAATTGGAAAAGGAAGTCAAACTATCTTTTTGCCAATGATACAATCATATACCTAGAAAATCTTAAAGACTCCTCCAAAAGATGCCTATATTTGATAAATGAATTCAGTAAACTCTCAGGGTACAAAATCAATGTACACGTCAGGTGAAGTGGCTCATACTTGTAATCCCAGCACTTTGGGAGGCTGAGGCAGATGGATTGCCTGAGGTCAGGAGTTCCAGACCAGCTTGGCCAACATGGTGAAACCCCATCTCTACTAAAAAAAACAAATACAAAAATTATCCAGGTATGGTTGTGCATGCCTGTGATCCCAGCTACTCGGGAGGCTGAGGCAGGAGAATTGCTTGAACCTGGGAGGTGGAGGTTGCAGTGAGCTGAGATCGTGCCACTGCACTCCAGCCTGGGCAACAGAGAGAGACTCCATCTCCAAAAAAAAGAAAAAAAAAGAAAAAAGAAAAAAAAAGAAAATCAATGTACACAAATCAGTATCACTGCTATGCATCAACAACAACAAAGCTAAAAATCAAATCAAGAACTCAATCTCTTTAAAAATAGCTGCAAAAGGCAGGATGTGGTTGCTCAAACCTGTAATCCTCACACTTTGGGAGGCTGAGATAGGAGGATCACTTGAGGCCAGGAGTTCAAGACCAGCCTGGTTAACATAGCAAGACTCCATCTCTATAAAAAAAAATAATAAAATAGCTGCAAAAAAAATAAAATAAAATAGCTGCCAAAAAAAAAAAAAAACAACTAGGAATGTACTTAACCAAGGAGGTGAAAGGGCAAGAGTTCGAGACCAGTCTGGTCAACATACCGAGACCCTGTCTCTATAAAAAAAGTAACAATAATAATAGTGGCTCCTGAGCTGCTTGCTAGGACCCGCTCCCACCCTGTGGAGTGTACTTTTCGTTTTCAATAAATCTCTGATTTTGTTGATTCAAAAAAAAAAGTAAAATAGCTGCAAAAAAAAAACAATAAACAAACAAAACAAACACCTAGCAATATACTTAACCAAGGAGGTGAAAGGATCTCTTTTAATCAAGGAGGTAAAAAATCTCTAAAAGGAGAACTACAAAACACTGCTGAAAGAAATCATAGATGATACAAACAGATGGAGATATGTCCTATTCTTATGAATTGAAAGAAGAATCAACATTGTGAAAATAACCATATTTCGCAAAGCAATCCACAGATTCAATGCAATTGTTTTTTTGTTTTTTTGTTTTTTTTGAGATGGAGTTTCACTATTGTTGCCCAGGCTGGAGTGCAACGGCACCATATTGGCTCACTGCAACCTCCATCTCCTGGGTTCAAGCGATTCTTCTATCTCAGCCTCCTGAGTAACTGGGATTACAGGCACCCACCATCACTCCCAGCTAATTTTTTTTTTTTTTTTTTTGAGATGGAGTTTTGCTCTGTTTCCCAGGCTGGAGTGCAGTGGCACCATCTTGGCTCACCACAACCTCCGCCTCCCAGGTTCAAGCGATTCTCCTGCCTCAGCCTCCCAAGTAGCTGGGACTACAGGCACATACCACCATGCCCAGCTAATTTTTTATTTTTATTTTTAGTAGAGACGAGGTTTCACTATGTGGCCAGGCTGGCCTCGAACTCCTGACCTCATGATCCGCCCACTTTGGCCTCCCAGAGTGCTGAGATTACAGGCATGAGCCACCGCATCCAGCCTAATTTGTGTATTTTTAATAGAGATGGGTTTTTATCAAGAAGTGCAATTCTTATTAAAATACAAACATCATTTTTCACAGAATTAGAAAAATCCAAAAATTAATATGGACCCAAAAAAGAGCTCAAGTAGACAAAGCAATCTTAAGCAAAAAGAGCAAATCTGAAGGCATCACATTACCTGAATTCAAAGTATGCTACAAGGCTATAGTTACCAAAACAGCATGGTACTAGTATAAAGGTAGATACATAGATCAAAGGAACAGAATAGAGGATCCAGAGATAAGACCAAATACTTACAACTGCCTAGTGTTCAACAAAACATACAAAAACATAAATTGGGGAAAGAACAATATTCAATAAGTGGTGCTGGTAAAACTGGATAGCCACCTGCTGAAGAGTGAAACTGAATCCCTATCTCCATAGGGATCCATATACAAAAGTCAACTTAAGATGAATTTAAGATTTAAATCTAAAACCTGAAACCATAAAAATTCTAGTCAAAAACCTAGGAAAAACTGTTTGGGACATTGGCCTACATAAAGAATTTATGACTAAGACCCCAAAAGCTAATGCAGCAAAACCAAAAATAAATAAATGGGACAGAAGTAAACTAAAAAGCTTCTTGCACAGCAAAAGAAATAATCATCAGAGTAAACAGACAACCTACAAAGTGATAGAAAATATTTGCAAATTATGCATCCCACGAAGAGGTAATATCCAGAATCTACAAAAAACTCAAACAAATCGTCAAGAAAAAAAAAATTATCTCATCAAAAAGTAGGCAAATGACATGAATAGACACTTCTCAAAGAAAAAGATATTGCAAATGGCCAAAAAAATATGAAAAAATGCTGAATATCACTAATCATCAGGGAAATGCACATTAAAACCACAATGAAATACCATCTTACCCCAGCCAGAATTGAGTTTTGTTTTGTTGTTGTCGTTGTTTTGTTTTGTTTTTTGAGATAAGGTGTCGCTCTATCACCCAGGTTGGAGTGTAGTGCCACAATCTTGGCTCACTGCAACCTCTCCTCCTGGGTTGAAGCAATCCTCCCACCTCAGCCTCTTGAGTAGCTGGGACCATAGGCATTCACCACCATGCCCTGCTAATTTTTTTTTTTTTTTTTTTTGGTATTTTTTGTAGAAATGGGGTTTCGCCATGTTGCCCAGGCTGGTTTTGAACTCCTGGACACAAGCGATCCACACACCTAGGCCTCCCAAAGTGCTGGGATTACAGGCATGAGCCACTGCACCTGGCCCAGAATTGCCGTTATTAAAAAGACAAAAAACAATAGATTTTGATGTGGATGTGGTGAAAAGGGAGTGCTTATACATTGCTTGTGAGAATGTAAATTTGTACAACCTCTATGGAAACAGTATGGAGAGTTCTTTTTTTTTAAATTTTATTAAAGACTTTATTTTTACAAGTTTTAGGTTCACAGAAAAATTGAGAGAAAGGTACAGAGATTTCTCATATACCCCGCCCCCCAATCCCCCCACCCGCCCCGCCACATGCACAGCCTCCCCACTGTCAACATCCCCCACCTGTACATTTGTTACAATTGACAAACCTACATTGACACATCATAATTACCCAGAGTCCATGGTTTACATTAAAGTTCACTCTCAGTGTTGTACATTCTATGGGTTTGGACAAATTTATAATGACATGTAATCTATCTTTATGGTATTACACAGAGTATTTTCACTGCCCGAAAAATCCTCTGTGTTCCACCTATTCATCCCTCCCTCCCCGCCCACAACTCCTGACAACCACTGATCTTTTAATGTCTAGTATGGAGATTTCTTAAAGATCTACCATTTGATCCAGCAATCCCACTACTGGGTATCTACCCAAAGGAAAATAAGTCATTATATCAAAAAGACACCTGCACATGCATGTTTATTGCTGCACAGTTCACAATTGCAAAGATATGCAACCAACCAATTGGTTGATTGGTGCCCATCAACCCATGAGTGGACAAAGAAAATGTGATATATATACACCATGGATACTACTCAGTCATAAAAAGAACCGAATAATGTCTTTTGCAGCAACATGGATGGAGCTGGAGGCCATTATTCTAAGTGAAGTAACTCAGGAATGGAAAACCAAATACTACATATTCTCATTTATAAGTGGGAGCTAAACTATGGGTATGCAAAGGCATACAGATTGATATAATGGACTTTGAAAACTCAGAAGGCGGAGTTGTAGAAGAGGGATGATGGATTTAAAAACTGCATATTGGGTACAATGTATACTACTTGGGTGATACGTAAATCTCAGACTTTACAACTATACAATTCATCAGTGTAACCAGAAACTGCTTGTACCACAAAAGCTATTGAAATAAATGAATATATATATTAAAATATCATTCATGATAGCAACAAAATGAAATACTCAAGGATAAATTTAACAAAATATGTGCAATACCTATATGCTACACATGACTGAGAAAAACCAAAGAACACCTAAACAGTGTTATTTACTGTGTTTATGAAATAAATAAATAAAAATTTAAAATTTTAAAATTCTAAAAATTAGGCCAGGCAAGGTGGCTCACGCCCATAATCCTAGCACTTTGGGAGGCTGAGGCGGGTGGATCACCTGAGATCAGGAGTTTGAGACCAGCGTGGCCAACATGGTGAAACCCCGTCTCTACTAAAAATACAAAATTAGCAGGGCATGGTGGCACATGCCTGTAATCCCAGCTACTTGGGAGGCTGAGGCAGGACAATCTTGAAGTCAGGAGGTGGAGGTTGCAGTGAGCCGAGATCATGCCATTGCACTCAGCCTGGGAAAAAAGACTGAAACTCCATCTCAAAAATAAATAAATAAATAAATAAATACTAAAAGTAAAAATAAATAAATAAAATTCTAACAATTAAAAAAAGAAAGCTTTTCATCCTCTCCTAAAAATGACAATGGCTGGCAGGATTAAAGAAATTCATGGGAAATTGAAAATCTATCTATGCTTCAATTAGTATTTCTCCTGGTATATAAATTATTTTATTTCTTCATCATTATTCTTTGCCTGTGCAATATGCTGAAGTTATAAAGTTATGAAACTTGAAATCAAGTATCTAAAGTTTATGTTATTTATTTATGTACTTATTTTAAAGACAGGGTCTCGCTCTGTGGCCCAGGCTGGAGTGTAGTGGTGTGATCTTGGCTCACTGCAGCCTCGACCTCCCAGGCTCAAATGATCCTCTTGCCTCAGTCCCCTGAGTAGCTGGAACTACAGGTGTGTGCCACCATGCCTGGCTAATTTTTGTATTTTTTGTAGAGATGGGATTTTGCCATGTTTTCCAGGCTGTTCTTGAACTCCTGGGCTCAAGTGATCCTCCCACCTCAGCCTCCCAAAATGTGGGGATTACATGTGTGAGCCACCATGCCCAGCATATTTATTATGTTTATTTATCTTTTTAAGACTAGTCAAGTGCAGTAGTGAAAGGGGGAAAAGAGGAGAATAAGGATTTCAATCTTTGACTGCGAACAATCAATTGAGGTCACTCACTACCTTCGGAATAGCCAGGTTTATGACTTCATGTCTAAATATCTCACTATTTTGATGATATGTATCACTACTGTATCATGATCACATTTGAGGAGTTTGTTATTGTTATAATATTGTTATCTAATATAATGTTCATATTAGAATATCACCAATTACCCCGGATATGTCCTTTATAGCACTTTTGACCCCCTTCTCGCCAGGATCCAATTCAAGACCATACATTGCACTTTATGGTGGTTCCATTTCATCCCTTTAAATCTGGAGGAGTTCCTCAGCCTTTCTTTGTCCTTCACAGCATCAACTCTTTATTTTTATTTATTTTTATTTTTTTGTAGAGATGGGGTTTTGCCATGTTGCCCAGGGTGGTCTGGAACTCCTGATCTCAAGTGGTCCTCTTGCCTCGGCCTCTCAAATTGCTAGGATTACAGGTAACTTTTTTTTTTGTTTCATAAGACAGGGTCTTGCTGTGTTGTTCAGTCTGGTCTTGAACTCTTGGACTGAAGCAATCCTCCTGCTTCAGCCTCCAAAATAGTTAGGACTACAGTTGCATGCCATGGCGCATGGCATCATTGACATTTTGAAGACTGCAGGCTAGTTCTTTCATAGACTGTCCCTCAATTTGGGTTTCCTCATGATTAGGTTCTGATCATGCACTTTGGGCAGAAATGCTACACGAAATGTTTTGTCCTCAGTGGATTATATCAGGAGGCATATATGATCTCAGCTTTCTTCACTATTGGTGATGTTAATGACAGACGCTTCTTGAGCTGGGTAGCTAAATTGATGTTAGCTACAAACAAATGGATTTTTTTTTTTTTTGAGATGGGGTCTCACTCTGTCACTCTGTCACCTAGGTTGGAGTGCAGTGTTGTGATCTCGGCTCACTGCAACCAACCTCCGCCTCCCAGGCTCAAGCCATTCTCCCACCTCAGCCTTCCAAGTAGCTGGGACCACAGACATGCACCACCACACCCAGCTAAGTTTTGTATTTTTTGGTAGAGACGGGGTTTTGCCATGTTGCCCAGGCTGGTCTCAAACTCCTGAGCTCAAGCAGTCCACCTGTCTGGGCCTCCCAAAGTGCTAAGGTTACAGGCGTGAACCACAATACCCAACAACAAATGGATTTTATAATTCTTTCCTATCTTCTATTTGTGTTATTAAAAACCAATCTGGTGTTCTTCAAAAGCCTCCACTGTTGAAACACATAGACGATATTAAGTCAGAGTGGCTAAGGGCACAGGCTAGAGTGCCTGACACATAGTGGTTCAAACCCCTGATCTCATTTATCAGGAGTAACCTTGAACAATTAACTAATTCTGTAGTTTCCTCATTTGGAAACTGATTGTAATGAGAGTCCCTGCAGCTCATTTGCTTGTAATAGTGTTAAATGAAGCAATCAATGTAATAAAGCACCCAGCACGTGGCCTGGCACAAAGTAAGAGCTCAATAAATATTCAAGATTTTTTTTTTTTTAATCCTAGCCACTAGACCACTAGGGGCATGATTGTTATTATTACAAATTTTTTTCTTTTTGTTTTTGTTTTTTTGAGACAGAGTCTCACTCTGTCACCAGGCTAGAGTGCAGTGGCGTGATCTGGGCTCACTGCAACCTCCACCTCCCAGGTTCAAGCAATTCTCCTGCCTCAGCCTCCCGAGTAGCTGGGACTACAGGCATGCGCCACCACGCCCAGCTACTTTTTGTGTTTTTTAGTAGAGACGGGGTTTCACCATGTTGGCCAGGATGATCTCCATCTCTTGACCTCGTGATCCACCCGCCTCAGCCTCCCAAAGTGCTGGGATTACAGGCGTGAGCCACCGCGCCCGGCCTATTATTATAATTAATACACACAAGATCAAGCAGAGACGGTTGTTCTCCCTAAGACTTTGTCAATCTCTTTTGCCACTGGGATAGGGCCATATGATTTGTTCTGGCCAAAAAACTATAGGTGGAAGTGCCATATGCTGCCTCTATCTGGAACTTCCCCTGCTACAGGGACCTTGGAGGATGCATGCTCCACGAGAAGTAGCTACAAGATGGAGATAGGTTGCCTGTCACATATACAATTTCAATGAATAAGAAGTAAATCTTGGCCAGGTGCGGTGGCTCACGCCTGTAATCCCAGCACTTTGAGAGGCTGAGGTGGGCGGATCACGAGGTTAGGAGTTGAGCCTGGCCAACACGGTGAAACCCCGTCTCTACTAAAAATACAAAAATTAGCCGGTCGTGGTGACGCATGCCTATAATCCCACCTACTCAGGAGGCTGAGGCAGAAGAATCGCTCGAACCCGGGAGGTGGAGGTTGCAGCGAGCTGAGATTGTGCCATTACACTCCAGCCTGAGCAACAGAGCGAGACTCTCTCTAAAAAAAAAAAAAAAAAAAAAAAAGGTAAATCTTTTTGTCTCCAGCCACAGACATATCAAGGTTTGTATTTTACTGCAGCAGAATCTAACATATCCTGGACTAATGTAAGTAGCATGTCCATATAAGGTGTGAATGATAGTTTGACAATTATTCCACAGACTAAATATACAAGTTTTTATGGTTGTTTTTCTTTTTTCTTTTTCTTTTTCTTTTTTCCTTTTTTTTTTTTTTTGAGTCGGGGTCTCACTTTATAGTCCAGGCTGTAGTGCAGTGGTGCAATCACAGCTCACTGCAGCCTCAACCTCCTGGGCTCAAATGATCCTCTCACCTCAGCCTCACGAGTAGCTGGGACTATAGGCGAGTGCCACCACACCTGGTTAATTTAAAAAAATAATAAATTGGGGGACCAGACGCAATGGCTTGCACCAGTAATTTCAGCACTTTGGGAGGCCGAGGCGGGCGGATCACTTGAGGTCAGGAGTTTGAGACCAGCCTGGCTAACATCGCAAAAACCCACCTCTACTAAAAATACAAAATTAGCTGGGCATTGTGGTGGGTGCCTGTAATCCCAGCTACTTGGAAGGTTAAGGCAGGAGAATCACTTGAGGAAGCAGAGGTTGCAGTGAGCTGAGACCCTGCGCCACTGCATGCCAGCCTGGGTGACAGAGCAAGACTCCATCTCAAAAAAATAAAATAAAATAAAATAAATAAATAAGGCCGGGCTTGGTGGCTCACACCTGTAATCACTGCACTTTGGAAGGCCGAGGTGGATGGATCACTTGAGGTCAGGAGTTCGAGACCACCCTGGCCAACATGGTGAAACTCCATCTCTAATAAAAATACAAAATTAGCTGGGAGTGGTGGCGCTTGCCTGTAGTCCCAGCTACTTGGGAGGCTGAAGCAGGAGAATCACTTGAACCCAGGAGGTGGAGGTTGCAGTGAGCCAAGATTGTGCCACTGCACTCCAGCCTGGGCAATGAAAGCAAAACTCCATCGCAAAAAATGTAAATAAATAAACAAACTTTTTGTAGAGATGGGGTCTTACTATGTTGCCTAGGCTGATCTTGAACTCCTGGGCTCAAATGATCCTCCCACCTCAGCCTCCCAAAGTGCTGGGATTACAGATGTGAGCCACCATGCCCAGTCTAAGTATACTATTGATTGTATGTTTATTGATAGTTTATCGATAGTTTATTCTGTGTTTCCTGATACTCATTCAACACATATTTACTGAGCACTGACTACATATCTGACACTGTACTGTCAAACAGCAAGGAAAACTAGACAGGGTTTTTGTTGTTGTTGTTGTTGTTTGTTTTTTCGAGACAGAATCTCCCTCTCTAGCCTAGACTGGAGTGCAGTGGTTCGATTCACCTCACTGCAACCTCCACCTCCTGAGTTCAAGCAATTCTCCTGCCTCAGTCCCCTGAGTAGCTGAGACTACAGGGGCGTGCCACCGTGCCTGACTAATTTTTATACTTTTAGTAGAGATGGGATTTCACCATGTTGGCCAGGCTGGTCTCGAACTCCTAATCTCAAGTGATCCACCTGCCTCGGCCTTCCAAAGTGCTGGGATTACTAATGTGAGCCATTGCGCCTGGCCAATACGGGGTTCTTGCATTCAAGAAGGAATAGTCTAGTGGGGGAGACAGGCATTAATGAAATAATGACAAGTGGATGTATCACTGGCATAAAAACGGACACATAGACCGACAGAACACAATAGATAACTCAGATACAAAACCGCAAATTTACAGTCAACTCATTTTTGACAGAGGCACCAAGAAGATACGTTGGGGAAAGGACAGCCTCTTTAATAAATGGTGATGGGAAAACTGCATAGGATAACCCTATGCAGAAGAATGAAGCTAGACCCCTATCTCTCACCATATATAAGAATCAAATCAAAATGGATTAAAGACTTAAATCTAAGACCTGAAACTATGCAACTACTAGAAGAAAACATTGGGAAATGCTTCAGGACATTGGTCTGGGCAAAGACTTTTTGGGTAAGACCTCAAAAGCACAGGCAACAAAAACAAAAATAGACAAATGGGATTACATCAAGCTAAAAAGCTTCTGCACAGCAAAGGAAACAATCAACAAAATGAAAAGAGAGTTTACAGAATGGGAGAAAATATTTAATAGCCAAAATATGTAAGGAACTCAAACAACCAAATAGCAAAAAAAAGGATAATCTGATTTTAAAATGAACAAAAGATCTGAATAGACGTTTCTCAAAAAGAAGACAAATGGCTTACAAGTATATGTGAAAAAATGCTCAACATCATTAATCATCAGACAAATGCAAATCAAAACCAAACTGAGATATTATCTCATTCCAGTTAAAATGGCTATAACCAAAAAGACAAAAAATAATGGATGCTGATGAGGATGTGGAAAAAGGGAAATGCTTGTGCACTGTTGGTGGGATTGTAAATTAATACAACCACTATGCAGAACAGTATGGCAGTTCCTCAAAAAACTAAAAATAGAACTACCATATCATGTAGCAATCCCACTGCTGGGTATATATCCAAAAGAAAGGAAATCACAGTATGGAAGAATTATCTGCACTCCCATGTTTATTGCAGCACCATTTACAATAGCCAAGATGTGGAATCAGCCTGAGTGTCCACCAATGGATAAATAGTTAAAGAAAATATGGTACATATATAATGAAATATTATTCAGCCATACATAAGAGTAAAATCCTGTAAAATGCAGCAACATGGATGGAACTGGAGGTTATTATGTTAAGTGAAATGAGCCAGGCACAGTATGACAAATACCACATGATCTCACTCATATGTGGGAGCTTAAAAAGTGGATCTCATAGAGGTAGAGAGTTGATTGGTGGTTACCAGAGGCTGGCAAGAGAAGTGGGGCAGGGGACAAGGAAGAGAGATTGGTGAATGGGTACAAAAGTACAATTAGAAAGAACAAGATCTTATGTTTGATAGTACAGTAGGGTGACTATAGTTAACAGCAATATATTATATATTTCAAAATAGCTAGAAGAGAAGAATTGGAATGTTTCCAACATAATAAATGTTTGAGGAGATGGATACCCCAATCACTCTGATTTGATCATTACACATTGTATGTATGTATAAAAATATCACATGCACCCCCAAAATATGTACAACTATTATGTATTAATTTTTTGAAAAGTGTTACTGGTGTCATGCTCTAAAGAAAAGAGGGAACCAGGGTGCTATGAGAGCCTGTAGCTGAGAAATGAGATCTACCACCAGCTGGATGATCTTTGGTAACTTAATAGCCTCATTTTTTTCTATATAAGTACATTGGCTTAGATGATCATAAAGCTCCCTTCCAGCTCTAATATTCTATATTTCTTTGTGAAGTCCTTTCTCTTTATGTGTGTAAGCAGTTTTTTAATGGAAAAAAACAATTTAGCAGGAACATTGGCTAGCTGATACGGCAATGTGACTTCTTTTCATACTGCTAATGTGAATTCAATAGTCATGGGTAGCCTCCTTCAATGTTTTTGCTGAAACTTTGAAATATTGCTTACTAATCATCTTCAGAGGAACTTTGTGAGCTATGAGTAAGCAAGTTTCATTGAATAAGAAAAAGGCAGCTTACATTCATTTAGCAAAGATGGCCCTCTCTGTGGTGGCATTTGAAAAGAATGCTAAGAAAGCTGGTAATGGGATAACATCTCCTTCTAACTACCTGAAATCCCATGGTATTCATAACTCTTCAGAAAACTATTGAATGACAATGAATGTGTTTACTTGGAAACAATACCACTTTTTTTTTCCTGTCTAACACTTTTTTTTTTTTTTTTTTTTTGAGATGGAGTCTCGCTCTGTCGCCCAGGCTGGACTGCAGTGGCGCGATCTCGGCTCACTGCAAGCTCTGCCTCCCAGGTTCACGCCATTCTCCTGCCTCAGCCTCCCGAGTAGCTGGGACTACAGGCGGCCGCCACCACGCCCGGCTAATTTTTTTGGATTTTTAGTAGAGACGGGGTTTCACCGTGTTAGCCAGGATGGTCTCGATCTTCTGACTTCGTGATCCACCCGCCTTGGCCTCCCAAAGTGCTGGGATTACAGGCGTGAGCCACCACGCCCGGCCATTCCTATCTAATACTTGAGTGTGAATTTCTTTTTTTCTTTTCTTTTCTTTTCTTTTTTTTGAGACAGTTTTGCTCATGTTGAAGTCACTGGACGCTAAGGAAGGAGTTCAGAAAGACCTGGAGTTTGAGGGACTTGGCCAGAGAATGCAGACAGGTTGGGGTCCAGAAATAGGGATGCCCTAGGAAGACCCTGGCTGCCAGGCCAAGGGGACCCAAAATCAAAGATCAAGCCGGACACAGTGTCATAGAACTCAGGAGTTTGAGACCAGCCTGGGCAACATGGTAAAAACCCGTCTCTATAAAAAATACAAAAATTAACCAGGTGTGTGTGGCTCGTGCTTGTGGTCCCAGCTACTTGGGAGGCTGAGGTAGGAGGATTGCTGGAGCCCAGGAAGTCAAACTGCAGTGAGCTGTGATTGAGCCACTGCACTCCAGCCTGGGTGACAGAACAAGACCTGTTTCAAAGAAAAATTTTTTTTTAATTTAAAGAAAAGTCAAGGAAAAATAACTTTACTGCACAGTGTTTTCAGGGGATAACAATGAGTGCCTGACATGTTCATTACTAAATATGTTCACTACCTATTATGAAGCACTATACCATGCAACAATGGTCTTGCATACTCTAAAGAAAGAAGCATAGTCTAAGTACTTCAAACAAGAGAAGAAAGGAGTGTGAATTTTTTTGAATGACTGAAGGTCTTTGCTACCAGATCCATAACATCTGTGTACCTCAGATAGCTGTTAAAGACAAAAAGAACAAGAAAAAATTAGCATGAACATGAATTCATGTGACATTGATTCCCACGTTGATGCCAGCGAAAAAGTCAATACATAACAGCAAAATAACTTTAAAAAAATGACATGACTAAGCAAAGCTGGTATTAATAAGTCAGTTCTTCTTTTTGTAAAGGACTCGAAACTTGCTAACTTAATAGTAGGAGTTTTCTCATGCCCATAGCACCATTTTCACATCCCGCATTTTGCCAGATTGGCATTTCCTTCCTTATTGTTAAATATTGTCAGTATTTTGAAAGGAGAAAAGAAGTCCATTCGAATGTGTGTAGAATATTCTCAACAATTCTGATAGAACAAGTAGAATTTAAATCAGAAACAATTACATTTTTTTTAATTGAAAGGGCAAGGAACTTTGGTTAATGTTCTGTGTTCTTGGAGGAAAATGTCATATTTATATTAAAAGTAAATATATTTTCTGCATTCATTCAAGTGAAATAATTCACTTTATTTATTTATTTATTTATTTATTTATTTACAGACAGAGTTTCGCTCTTCTTGCCCATACTGGAGTGCAATGGTGCAATCTCAGCTCACTGCAACCTCCACCTCCCAGGTTCAAGCAATTCTCCCACCTCAGCCTCCCAAGCAGCTGGGATTACAGGTGCCCACCATCACGCCTGGCTAACTTTTTGTATTTTTAGTAGAGATGGGGTTTCACTATGTTGGCCAGGCTAGTCCCGAACTCCTGATCTCAGGTCATCCATCCGCCTCAGCCTCCCAAAGTGCTAGGATTACAGGCATGAGCCACCACGCCCGGCCAATTCACTTTATTTCATGTTATTCTTTTCTTTTGCTGGTCAATGAAATTATTATTTTTTTAACTATTCTTATTTCAATAGTTTTTGGGGAACAGGTGGATTTTGGTTACATGGATGAGTTCTCTAGTGGTAATCTCTGAGATTTTGGTGCACCCGTCACCCGAGGAGTGTACACTGTACTCAATGTGTAGCCCCCAAAGTCCATTGTATCATTCTTATGCCTTTGCATCCTCATAGCTTAGCTCCCATATTTCATATTATTCTTGAGTTGTCTCAAATATGATGTACACATATAGTTTGTAAGGAATTCTAAGAAAAGAGAAAAAAATTCTTCACAATTCTATCCATATCTTGTATTACAGAAGGAAATTTGAGGATCCAGTGGTTTTCAAATCTTTTTCTTTTTTAACCAGTGGAACATATTCCTACAACAGACTGTCACATGAAATGTCAACATATAAAACACAGGAAAGCTACCGTAGTGGGGAAGGTAACTGAGACTGTGCCTCGCATCTGGCCCTCCAAAGGCATCATAGAACTGTTTCAAAAATCGCTGATCTATCCCAAGCTGTTGATGCTGCTCAAAAAGGAAAACCAGGTTGCCTAACTTAGGTTAACTGGCTGGTCCCAAAACATAAAGTTGGTTTAAAAGAGAGTCTGGGGCCCAGCACGGTGGCTCACACCTATAATCCCAACACTTTGGGAGGCCAAGGTGGATGATCACTTGCGGTCAGGAATTCGAGACTAGCCTGGCCAAGATGGTGAAACTCATCTCTACTAAAAATACAAAAATTAGCAGGGCATGGTGGCAGGTACCTGTAATCCCAGCTATTCAGGAGGCTGAGGCAGGAGAATCTCTTGTACCTGGTAGGTGAAGGTTGCAGTGAGCTGGGATCATGCCACTGCATTCCAACCTGGCCGACAAAGCAAGACTCCATCTCAAAAAAAAAAAAAGAAAAAGAGAGAGAGAGAGAACCGGGTACTAGAACCTTGGTCTTTGATTCTCAACCCAGTACTCATTAAAAAAAAATTTTTTTTTTTGAGACAGAGTCTCAGTCTGTCACCCAGGCTGCAGTGCAGTGGCACACTCTTGGCTCACTGCAACCTCTGCCTTCCGGGTTCAAGCTATTCTCTTACCTCAGCCTCTGAAGTAGCTGATACTACAGGCATGCACCACCATGCCTGGATAATTTTTGTAGTTTTAGTAGAGATGGGGTTTTACCATGTTGCCCAGGCTGGTCTCAAACTCTTGACCTCAAGTGATCCGTTCGCCTTGGCCTCCCAAAGTGCTGGGATTACAGGTGTCAGCCACCATGCCTGGCCCCAGCATTCATTTTTAAATAAACTTTCTTTGCATCACTATTTTATCACACAGAGTTCAACATATCATAGGATCGTGAAAGAATATATTATGCTGACTCAGTCAATATCAAATAGAGATAATCACTTATATATATATATTTTTTTTAATGATTTTTAAAAAAATTTTTATAGAGATGGGGTTTTGCCATATTGCCCAGGCTGGTCTTGAATTCCTGGGGTCAAGCGATCTGCATGTCTTGGTCTCCCAACGTGCTTGGAATTATAGGTGTGAGCCATCTGGCCTAGCCAAGGTTATCATTATAATACACATTAAAAAATTTATTAAAATAATGTAATGCTGGGCATAGTGGCTCATGCCTGTAATCCTAACACTTTGGGAGGCTTAGGCAGGTGGATCTCTCGAGGTCACGAGTTCGAGACCAGCCTGACCAACATGGTGAAAACCCATCTCTACTAAAAATGCAAAATTAGCTGGGTGTGGTGGTGCACACCTGTAATCCTAGCTATTTGGGAGGCTGAGGCAGGAGAATCACTTGAACTCGGGAGGCAGGAGGTGGAGGTTGCAGGGAGCCAAGATTGTGCCATTGCACTCTAGTCTGGGCAACAAAGAGCAAAATTACGTCTCAAAATACATAAATAAATAAATAAATAAATAAATGTAATAATATAAAGTATTTTAATTGTTTTTTTTTTTTTGAGACAGAGTTTTACTCTTGTTGCCCAGGCACGATTTCAGCTCACTGCAACCTCTGCCTCCCAGGTTCAAGTGATTCTCCTGCTTCAGCCTCCCAAGTAGCTGGGATTACGCTTGGCTAATTTTTGTTATTTTTAGTAGGGATGGGGTTTCCCTATGTTGGTCAGGCTGGTCTTGAACTCCTGAACTCAGGTGATCCACCTGCCTCGGCCTCCCGAAGTGCTGGAATTACAGGCATGAGGCATGAGCCACTGCGCCCAGCCTATTTCAATATATTTTAAGTAAAATTTTATGGTAATACTTGGCCTTAAAATATGTTTTAGTCCTTGGCAAAGCAATGTGGATTCATTTTTATTTGAAAGGTATATTTTGAGTGACACATTGTGCTATGCTGAAATGAGCCAAACAGGTCCAGCAGCTGCTGTACACTGTGCCTATATGCTTATCCTCAGTCTTTGCATGACTGGTTCCTTCTTACCTCCCACACTTCAGGCTTCAGCTGGAATGTCACCTTCTTTGAGCCCTTTCCTGGCCCTTCTATCTAAAACAGCCTCTTCTTCCTAGTTACACTTTATCACCTTACCCTTCCTCTCCTCCAGAGAATTTATTGCTAACTGTATATATCTTACTTACCTACTTGTTTACATGTTGAAAGCTTCAAGTTGTGCCTCTTTTGGGACAAAGCCCCAGGAGAAAGCATGCCTGGGCTCAATGGCCAGGACTCAGTAAATATTTATTTATTTATTTATTTTTATTTATATATATTTTTAAGATGGAGTTTCACTCTTCTTGCCCAGGTTGGAGTGCAATGGTATGATCTCGCCTCACCGCAACCTCCACCTTCCAGGTTCAAGCGATTCTCCGGCCTCAGCCTCCCGGGTAGCTGAGGTTACAGGCATGCGCCACCGCACCTGGCTAATTTTATATTTTTAGTAGAGACGGAGCATCTCCATGTTGGTCAGGCTGGTCTTAAACTCCTGACCTCAGGTGATCCACCTGCCTTGGCCTCCCAAAGTGCTGGGATTACAGGCATGAGCCACCATGCCCAGCCTTATTTATTTATTTTTGAGATGGAGTCTGCTCTGTCACCCAGGCTGGAGTACAGTGGTGCAATCTTGGCTCACTGCAACTTCTGCTTCCCGGGGTTCAAGTGATTCCCCTGCCTCAGCCTCCCCAGTAGCTGAGATTACAGGCGTCCGCCACCATCCCTAGCTAATTTTTGTATTTTTAGTAAAGACAGGGATTTGCCATGTTGGCCAGGCTGGTCTCAAATTCCTGACCCAGGTGATCTGCCCACCTTGGCCTCCCAAAGTGCTGGGATTACAGGCATAAGCCACCGCACCCGGCTAATTTTTGTATGTTTAGTAGAGACAGGGTTTTGCCATGTTGGCCAGGCTAGTCTTGAATTCCTGACCTCAAGTGACCCACCTGCTTTGGCCTCCCAAAGTGCTGGGATGAATATTTATTGAATGAATGAATGATCAAACATGCATAGTGCCCAAGGGCACACAGCTGTACATGATAAACTTATAATTTAATAGGAGTGTGAATACAGGTTGTGCTTGGAATGGTTGTGGATAGACAGGGGTTCTCCAGCCCTGGAGAGGCAGTTTGTGGGAACAGAAGACTAATAACTGTCCCCTGTATGAATACTTCAGCCTCACTTCTTTCCTTAGCTAGTACTTAACCTCACTTTCCTCAGCTGTAAGTGAGAGCAATAACACCAACTTTGGTGTCCATTAATGGAAGTCTCTTTTCTCCATGCCTGCCAATGAGGCTTACAGGAGGTGCGCTGACTCTACAGGAGCACCTCATTGTGTGTATTTAGGGGATGGCAGGGAAGACTGGAATCACTCATCTTGAGCCAATGGTTACCGTTTCATTAAACGGATTGAGACCCTAATGGGACTGTTGGGAGGTTAGCTAGAGAGGGCCCACCAGAGGTCTATTTGCATGAAAGATCAGGAGCCTTCTAAGAAGGTTCTTATTCTAAGGAATCACTTAGTTACTGTAGGACAAAGCCAATTCTGAATGTTGCATGTTGCTACTCGCTCAGATTTGAAGAGTTTATGTATCATGTTGAAACCAGAACTAAGTTTTTTTTTTTCTCTTTTTTTTTTTTTTTTTTTTGGAGACATCTTACTCTGTCTCCCAGGCTCGAGTGCAGTGGCTCGATCTCAGCTCACTGCAACCTCCCCCTCCCGGTTCAAGCAATTCTACAGCCCCCCAGGTAGCTGGGACTACAGCCACGTGCCACCACGCCCGGCTAATTATTGTATCTTTAGAAGACAAGTTTTCACCATGTTGGCCAGGCTGGCCTCAAACTCCTGACCTGAAGTGATCTGCCCGCCTCAGCCTCCCAAAGTGCTGGGATTACAGGCATGAGCCACTGCACCCGGCCGAGTAAGTTCTTTTGACTTGACACAGAAGTTTTTATGAGACGTGATGGGGAAAGGACTACCCTGCACGGCTTGAACCTTTCTGTGTGTTGGCACATCGGAGAGTGCACCTGAATATCTCCCCATTGTAGGCTGAGAGAACACGCACGCATGGGCTTTGCATGGGGGTTAGGAGTCTTACAGTTTTATGCATAGAAAACAGAGCCTGAGAAATGCTATGTATTATTGTTAATAAATTTCTCCCTTTTCAGTTCATCTTCTTCCCAGTATCTCCCCAACAGAATGTTTTACAGCTGTTGAAAAGAACGAAGTAACTCTACATGTATTGATACAGAATATTTGCCAAGATATGTTATTTTTAAGTGTAAAAAGATACAGAACAGTGTAAATATTATGCTGCTATTTATATTAAAGGAAATATGCATGCATCTGTATATGCATATAATACATTTAGAAAGAAACACAAGACCATTAATAGTAATTAGTTTGGCCAGGCGCAGCGGCTCACGCCTGTAATCCCAGCACTTTGGGAGGCCAAGGAGGGTGGATCACCTGAGGTTGGGATTTCGAGGCCAGCCTGACCAACATGGAGAAACCTCGTTTCTACTAAAAAATACAAAATTAGCCGGGTGTCGTGGTGCATGCCTGTAATCCCAGCTACTTGGGAGGCTGAGGCAGGAGAATCGCTTGAACCTGGGAGGTGGAGGTTGCGGTGAGCCGAGATCGCACCATTGCACTCCAGCCTGGGCAATAAGAGCAAAAGTCTATCTCAAAAAAAAAAAAAAAAGTGATTAGTTCTGAGAAGGAGATTCTGGGTGAGGAAGTTAGGGTTGTAGATATATATATATATATATTTAAAATGATGCATTGCAAAAATAAAATTGAAATTGAAAATGACTCAGCCTGGACAACATAGTGAGACTTCAACTCTACCAAAACATTAAAAAAAAAAAAATAGCCAGGCATAGTGGCACATGCCTGTAGTCCCAAGTGGGAGGATTGCTTGAGCCTGGAGGTTGAGGCTGCAGTGAGCCAAGATCACACTACTTCATTCCAGCCTGGGTGACAGAGTAAGACCCTGCCTCAAAGAAAAAAAAAAATACTGGTGAATTACTCTGAAGTTTCTCATAGTATTGATGACGTACTTACTCTTCCCAAATAATAGGAAAAGAAGAACACGCCATTTAGAGAATAATTTGTAAATATTTTCAGTTTTCATATGTGTATGTGTGTATGTGTTATTTCTTTTTATAAGGAAATTTCTTATTTTGGGTAGGCCAGTTTTTTTTTTTCCCAGAGGCAGAGCACAGAAATAGTGCTGAGGAGGTCTGGTTCTGATGTCAGACAGCTTGGACTCTAATTCTAGCTCTGCTGCTTACTAGCTATGCACCTTGGGCAAATTGCTTAACTTACCTAAGCTTCAATTTCATTGCCTTTAAAATATGGAAGAATAATAGTATTTACTTAATGGTGTTGTTTATAAAGATTTATTTATTTATTTATTTATTTTGGAGATGGAGTCTCACTCTCCCAGGCTGGAGTGCAATGGCGCAATCTTGGCTCACTGTACCCACTGCCTCCCAGGTTCAAGCGATTCTCCTGCCTCAGCCTCCTGAGCAGCTGGGATTACAGGCACCACTACCACACCTGGCTAATTTTTTGTATTCTTAGTAGAGACAAGGTCTTACCATGTTGGCCAGGCTGGTCTCGAACTCCTGACTTCAGGTTATCCGCCTGCCTCAGCGTCCCAAAATGCTGGGATTACAGGTGTGAGCCACCGCACTCAGCTATAAAGATTTTTTTTTTTTTTTTTTTTTTTTTTTGAGATGGAGTCTCGCTCCGTCACCCGGGCTGGAGTGCAGTGGCGCGATCTCGGCTCACTGCAAGCTCCTCCTCTCGGGTTCACGCTATTCTCCTGCCTCAGCCTCCCAAGTAGGTGGGACTACAGGCGCCCACCAGCACGCCTGGCTTATTTTTTTGTATTTTTAATAGAGACGGGGTTTCACCGTGTTAGCCAAGATGGTCTCGATCTCCTGACCTCGTGATCCGCCCGCCTTGGCCACCCAAAGTGCTGGGATTACAGGTTTAAGCCACCGCGCCCGGCCAGCTATAAAGATTTAATGAAGTACAATAGTTGCCCCTTATCTGTGGTTTTGCTTTCCTTGATTTCAGTTACCCACGGTCAACCCTGGTTGAGGAAAATAGGTGAATACAGTACAGTAAGACATTTTGAGACAGAGAGATTACATTCACATAACTTTTATTACAGTGTATTGTTATAATTGCTGTTTTATTTTATTATTAGTTATTGTTGTTAATTTATTTCTGTGCCTAATTTATAAGTTTAACTTTATCATAGGTTTGTAGATATAGGATAAAACAGTATATATAGGGTTCAGGATACTATCTGCAGTTCCAGGCACCCACTGGAGTCATGGAACGTATCCCCTGCAGACACGGGGGGACTATGCAATGCGGTTGAAGCAAACAGCATACTGACTGGCCCACAGTAAGCGCTTGATAAATGTTAGAAGGAAGTACATGTAATGAACATTCAGTGCACACACGATAAGAATCTGTGGGATAAAGTAAACATTTGTTTTCCTTTTTGAAAAGTGTGGCTATCTTGTGACAGATACAGATAATAAAACCCATTTAGAGATATTCCATTTGTCTAATCAACAGTCTAGTAATTGCCAGTCACTGGTTGAGGTTTAAGCCTCTCAAGGATGGCAGCCATTGAGAGTTGACCCAGGTGTGGAGATGCAAGCTGCAAATGGCAGGGCTTCACGGCCGTCTGGAAGAGACTTTGTTACCTCCTTCACCTACCTGTGTTTTCTGATGCTCTTAGTATTCTTAGTTTTCCCATGTCTCAATTCACAAGATGGAAAGAACTACGGACTGAAGAAGAGAAGAGTTCAAGTTAATGAGCAGGGTGACCTCAAGGCCACAGCATCCCCAGTTGTAAAACAAGGAGACTGGAACAGATGATCTCCGAGGTTCTTCTGGCTCTAAGCATTCTATAAAAATGCCAGGCCTGAGTCAGCCCTTCTGGTCTCTATGAATTCTGTATTCTGTGTTGCTCTATTCTGAAGAACTGAGATTACAGATGACAGAGAGCTTTGCAAAACCAGAACTAAAGATGACCTCCTTCCATAAATATTTTATCAGAAGCTAGAGAACTACATAAATGAAAAGATAGTTAAAAGTGAATATTAATGTCTGTCTTCTGAGAATCTTCACTTTACTTTGTGAAGAGAAGTTTCCATCAGAGGTATGTAAACTAAATTAAGAATAGAAATTCTTTAAAGAAAACAAACTTAAATGACTAAAATCTGTTAAGAATAAGATTCATTATACTTTATAGCTCCTATTCAAGTGATACATTACTTTATTAGGTGTACTCATTTAGCTTATATTTTCCAGCATTTTCAGAAATATTATATGTTTTGCATAGTAATGATTATAATGCTTTACATTTGTGGAGCTAATACTTTACAAGTTTACCAAGAGATTTTACAGTAAATTTCAATTATAATGACTTACAACCAAAATATTTATCTGATCAAAAATTTGGTAATATGTAATATAGTTACTTACTCTTGTCAAAAATTATAAATTTATATTAGGGTTAAAGTGTATTTTATACAACAAATATTGCAAGGTGGTTAAAACGCAGCTGTTCAATAGAAATGCAAAGTAGGATGGTAGGTTCTGAAATGCTTCTACGTTTTTTCCCACAGTTGTGAGTTAAGCAATATTCAAAGAACTTCCTTATTTTAACTTTAAGATTAAAACAACTTCTCTATATCAATAATAAAGATTCTTTGTCTTTCAACAGGCAGAAAGTCCACTTCATTATTTGGTATGCAGCATGATATTTAGTATAAAGCAGATTGTTTGACCAAGCTGTTGAAATCATGATATAATAACAAATCATACTCTATGGACAAATCTTTTATGCAATATGATGCTAATTTCTCATGCATAATATATTGTGTGTATTTGGCTTTGAAAAGTGAGACAAAAACAGCAGTAGCAAATGCCAGTGTTTCAGAAGCTAAAGAGAAATTTGAAATTTAATATCAACATTTATTTTTAATATCGTTAACTTTTGAATGGATCAAATTATTGCTTAGCTTGGACTGCCTCATTTGAATAGGCTGGGGAAATTCCAAATTGGCAGTTTCCTCTATGTTCTGGAAAACAATTTTATAAAATACTGAAACATTTGATATCTCTCTGGAGCACCAATGCTATAGTAAATTATTCATTCATTCATTCATTTATTCAACAAAACTTGCAACTTACTATACCTGAGCCACTGTGGTAAGCCTCCTAGGAAAGAAAAAAATATATATAACTGGTTACTTGTGTACATAATGATAAGCAACAATTAATAGTTGTAGGTGATTAGTGTAACATTCCAAGTGCCAGCAATGGATACTATAATATAATAAAGATGGGGGGAATTGGGGAACTAGAGTAGTAATGGAAGGCTTTGCCCAGGAGAAAGAGCTTGAAAAGGTGAGTTGGATTTATATGGAGGGAAATGAATAGAGAAAGCATCTCAGGAAAGAGAAGCAATATACAGAACTTTATAGCATCAGTCATGAAAAAGACAATAAATAGACCAGAGAACATAGAACTTCGTAATTACTTCAATAGTTGTCTTAGTCTGTTTTCTGTTGCTTAAAACAGAATAACTGAAAGTGGGTAATTTATAAGAAAAGGAATTTATTCCTTATAGTTATGGAGGCCGAGAAGTCCAAGGTCAAGGGACCATATCTGGTGAGAGCCTTCTTGCTGGTGAGGACTCTCTGCAGACTCCCAAGGCTGTGCAGGATGTCTCATGGTAAGGGGACTGAGTATGCTAGCTCAGGTGTCTCCCTTTTCTTAGAAAGCCACCAGTCCTACTCTCATAATAATCCATTAATTCATGAATCCGTGAATCCAGAAATGGATTAATTCGTCATGAAAGCAGAGCCCTCATGGCCCAGTCACCTCTTAAAGGCCCCACTTCTCAATACTGCCACACTGGGGATTAAATTTCAACATGATCTTTGAAAGGTAGAAAAAGGTACAAATATTCATGCATTAGCATCCCCTGGGAGCTTGTAGAAATGCAGAATCACAGTCTGATTGTGCATGTTCAAGGTCTTTGGTGCTTTTTTTGTTTGTTTTTTTGTTTTGTTTTTTTAGAGATGCAGTCTCGCTCTGTCACCCAGGCTGGAGTGCAGTGGCACCATCTCGGCTCACTGCAAGCTCCACCTCCAGGTTCACGCCATTCTCCTGCCTCAGCCTCCCGAGTAGTTGGGACTACAGGCGCCCGCCACCACGCCCAGCTAATTTTTGTATTTTTAGTAGAGACGGGGTTTCACTCTGTTAGCCAGGATGGTCTCGTTCTCCTGACCTCGTGATCTACCTGCCTCAGCCTCCCAAAGTGCTGGGATTACAGGCTTGAGCCACCTCGCCCGGCCAGGTGCTTTGTATGTAGACATTAAAGTCTGAGGAGTTTCACTCTTGACCAATCCTTCATTTTGCAGAGGAATCTGAACCACAGAGTGGCTGGATGGCTTTCCCAATGGTAATGGCAAACCTCACTATAGAAGCAAAATCTACAGAGTCCTGGAAACAGTGAGTTTCCCCCCGATTCCACAATGTTTGACTGAACTGGAGAGAGGTAGTCAGTTGGATCTGATTATGGAAGTATCTGAATGCTAAGTTAAGAAATTCAAGCCTCATCCTTCATGAATTCAACAAACATTTATTGAACTCCAGTGTGGTAGCACTGGAGATACAGAGAAGAATAAGAAAGACGCTGCCCTTAAAAAGTTAGCCTTCTAAAAAAGTAAGTAACTGCTATTATTTAAATGTTCCTGCCAAAACTCATGTTCAAATGTAATTGCCAGTCGGGCGCGGTGGCTCACGCCTGTAATCCCAACACTTTGGGAGGCCGAGGTGGGCGGATCACGGGGTCAGGATTTCGAAACCAGCCTGGCCAATATGGTGAAACCCTGTCTCTACTAAAAATACAAAAATTAGCTGGGTGTGGTGATGGGCGCCTGTAATCCCAGCTACTTGGGAGGCTGAGTCAGGAGAATTGCTTGAATCTGGGAGGAGGAGGTTGCAGTGAGCTGAG
Organism: Homo sapiens; assembly: GCF_000001405.40. Lineage (NCBI taxonomy): Eukaryota > Metazoa > Chordata > Mammalia > Primates > Hominidae > Homo > Homo sapiens. Next base: position 101,428,264 of record NC_000012.12, on the reverse strand, counting down.
ATCACACCATTGCACTCCAGCCTGGGTGACAGAGTGAAACTCCAACTCAAAAAAAAAGTGTCATTGCCATTATAACAGTATTAAGAGGTGCTGTTAGCTGGGCACAGAGGCTCATGCCTGTAATCCCAGCACTTTGGAAGGCTGAGGCAGGAGGATCACTTGAGGCCGGGAGTTTGAGACCATCCTTGGCAACATAGCAAGACCTTGCCTCAAAACAAAACAAAACAAAAAAGAGGTGCTTTCTCTTTTTTTTTTTTTTTGAGATGGAGTCTTGCTCTGTCACCCAGGCTGGAGTGCAGTGGTGTGATCTCGGCTCACTGCAAGCTCCGCCTCCCAGGTTCACACCATTCTCCTGCCTCAGCCTCCCAAGTAGCTGGGACTACAGGCACCCGCCACCACGCCTGGCTAATTTTTTTGTATTTTTAGTAGAGACGGGGTTTCACTGCATTAGCCAGGATGGTCTCAATCTCCTGACCTCGTGATCCGCCTGCCTCGGCCTCCCAAAGTGCTGGGATTACAGGCGTAAGAGGTGCTTTCTTTAAGAGGTAATTCAGTCACGAGAGCTCTGCCATCATAAATGGATTAATGCTATTATCTCAGGAGTGGGCTCCTGATAAAGGATGAATTCAGTTCTATTTCTCCTCTTGTTCTCATAAGCTTGCTTAACCTTCTGCCATGTTATGATGCAGCACAAAGGCCTCGCCAGAGGCAATGCCAAGCTCTTGGACTTTCCAGTCTCCAGAACTGTGAGAAATTAATTTGTTTTCTTTATAAATTACCCAGCCTGTGGTATTCCATTATAGCAGCAGAAAACTGATTAAGATAGTAACCAACAATTACGAACATCCTTGGCAATGAGTTTTAAAGGTTTCTAATAGAGAAATTAACATGATATATTCTGTGAACATGTATTGAGTACCTAGTACAGGACAGACTTTATTAGATGCAAAGTGGTGGTATTCAAAGGTATTTGAGGGTGAGGAAAAATAGGCTACTGTCCGAGAGTAGGAGATAAAGGATGAATGAACAAGATTTGGTCACTGTGAGGCCAGAGAAAGGCCCTCTGCATTAACCCATAGGTGGCAAGGAGAGGTAGAATTTGGCTCATTGAGCAGAGAAATAAGAAAGTTGGGAGAGTAAATCAGATTTTTAGAGTTGTGTTTGTTTTACTTTTTAGTTAGCAAAAAGGTATGTTTGGTTTTAGACATATGAAGCTTGAGTGAATATCCCATAAAGAACTCTCTAGTAAGTAGTTGGAGATTCAGAACAGAAGCTTGAGAGAAAATCAGGACTGGAGAAAGGGTTCATCAGATGTTTTTGTTCATAAGAATCCATTTTCTTTGGGAGGCTGAGGCAAGAGGATTGCTTGAGCCTTGGAGTTCAAAGCTGCAGTGAGCTATGATAGTGCCATACATCCCAGCATGGGTGACAGAAGGAGACCCTGTCTCTTAAAAAAAAAAAAAAAGAAAGAAAGAAAAAAAGGCCAACAGTTCATTTTAATCACTGGTAAGTCAATAGGACTGATTGGGCAGTTTCAAGTTGTTGATTGGTTAGATATATTTCATTTGCTTTTATTTATTTATTTAGAGACATGGTGTCACTCACTGGTGCAGCCTCAATCTCCCCAGCTCAAGTAATCTTCCTGCCTCATCGTCCCAAAGTGCTGGGACTACAGGCATGCACCACCACGCCTGGCTTTGTTTGCCTTTAAATAAAGTTCCAAAGCCTTTGCTTTCTCAGCTACAACTAACACAGTTATGTTTAATTATAACAATCGTTATGTCACTTTTGGGACTCAGAAAACAATATCTGGCTGAGTATAGTCGCTTATGCTTGTAATCCAGCACTTTAGGAGGCTGAGGCGGGCGATTGCTTGAGGCCAGGAGTTCAAGATCAGCCTGGGTAACACAGCAAGACTCTGTCTCTACAAAAACAAAAACAAAATAGCCAGGCATGGTGGCATGTGCCTGTAATCCTAGCTACTTGAAGGCTGAGGCAGGAGGATCACTTGAGGCCAGGAGTTTGAGACCAGCCTGGCAACATAGTGAGACCCCGTCTCTACAAAAAAAATTTAGAAATTAGCTGGATGTGGTGGTGTAGTAGTTTCAGCTACTTGGGAGGCTGAGGTGGGAGGTTCGTTTGAACCTGGGAGGCTGAGGCTGCAGTGAGCCGAGATCATGCCACTGCACTCCAGCCTGGGTGACAGAGTGAAACCCTGTCTCTTAAAAAAAACACAATACCCCCAAAATGAAGGCCTCAGAAGCAAAACTTTTTGTCTTTCTCCTGATGTTCTTTCAGTCTCATTCTCCCCAAAAACTAGCCATAGAAACCAGAATCCCTCTTCCCAAGGCAGATCATAGAAATCAGAACCCTTTTTCCCCAAAGCCAGCCATAAAACCTAAAAAGATTACTTTTATTTTCCTTCTATCTTTCTGTGTAAAAATTGGCCAAAAAAATTTATCTGAGCTATCTTCTTTGACTATTGATCCTAAGACCCTCCATTCCAGAGAGGGTCCTGCCCCATAACCAGAAAAAAAAAATACCCAGAGAGGCTGAAAAGAATCTAGACACACAGGCATTTCTGGGTGTCCTACTCAGGCTATTAGCATTAGGTCATAACCTTTTTGTCCAATCACATTTCTACACCACTGTTCTAGTTTGTAAACCTAAACATTAAAGGACAATTTTCCCTGTATTTTTGGATCTTCATTCTAAAGGCTTCTGTGTATACATGTTAAATAAATCCGTATGTCTTTTCTGTTTTTGTTTTTCATTTATTTTATTTTATTCTTTAGAGACTGGGTCTTGCTATGTTTCCCAGGCTGGTCTCCAACTCCAGGCCTCAAACAATCCTCCTGCCTGAGCCTTCTGAGTTGCTGGGATTACAGATGTGCACCAACTGTCCCCAGTTGTTGTATGCATTTTCTTCAATTAATCTGCCTTTTTGTGGATTGGTTTTTCAATACCCTTCAGAAGGCCAAAAGGAACCTTTCCTTTGGCCCCTACATCACAAAAGTCACCTAATTTCTTTTTCCTGCCAGTGCAACATTAACAGCAAAAATGCCAGTAACCAAGTTTTTTTTTAACTCCATTTTCCAAGTCCTATTGTAATATGTTTTATCATGCAAGTGTTCACTTTTTAAAATATTTTAGCTAACTTCAACTTCAGAAACAACAGCTGTCCTATAGCCTAAAAAATTTGATCAACTATATAAATAGTTATTACAGTTAATGCATAGCTGGGTAATTTAAGTTCCTCTAAAAATTATGTAACTAATAATTTAATTTTTAATTTTTTGAAACTTTTTTTTTTAATAATAAAGACTGGGTTTCACCATGTTGCCCAGGCTGGTCTTGAATTCCTGGACTCAAGTGACCCGCCTGCCTCAGCCTCTCAAAGTGCTGGAATTACAGGCATGAGCCACCTCCCAGGCTCAAGTGATTCTTTCCACCTTAGCCTCCCAAATAGCTGGGACTACAGATGTGTGCCAACATGCCCGGCTAATTTTTTTTTTAATCCAAAATGTGCTTATTGAGATGGTTTCCCACTCATCTTGATTCAGAGTGCTTTTAGTGCTGCTTTCTCCTAAAGGAACATCCTTCTGTAAGCCTTGCTTTTCCTCTTGTGGGCTAGCAGTGGACAGTAGAGCAGCCAAAACACAAAACTACTGTTTGTGCATGCTAAAGACCATGGTGATTTTATAGCATCCTGGGTATTTCACATCCATGAAGTAGGAATTGGGGCTCTGCACCAGGCGTTTCCTCTTGTGTTTCCTCTTCTTCTCTCCTGAAGAGGGATGAAGGAGATCCTTTGCAAGAGGCATGTTCTCGTGGGTAGGTCATCACTGCCAGAAAGGATTTTTTACTTTTTTTTTTTTTTTGAGACGGAGTTTCGCTCTTGTTGCCCGGGCTGGAGTGCAATGGCACAATCTTGGCTCACCACAACCTCCACCTCCCGGGTTCAAGCAATTCTCCTGCCTCACCCTCCCAAGTAGCTGGGCTTACAGGCATGCGCCACCATACCCAGCTAATTTTGTATTTTTAGTAGAGACAGAGTTTCTCTATGTTGGTCAGGCTGGTCTCGAACTCCTGACCTCAGGTGATCTGCCAGCCTCAGCCTCCCAAAGTGCTGGGATTACAGGCGTGAGCCACTGCACCAGGCAACTTTTTTTTTTTGAGATGGAGTCTCATTCTGTTGCCCAGGCTGGAGTACAGTGGGGCAATGCTGGCTCACTGCAACCTCCACCTCCTGGGTTCAAGTGATTCTTCTGCCTCAGCCTGCCAAGTTGCTGGGATTACTAGGAGCACGCCACCATGCCCAGCTAATTTTTGTATTTTTAGTAGAGACGGGGTTTCACCATATTGGCCAGGCTGGTCTCGAACTTCTGACCTCGTGATCCACCCACCTCAGCCTCCCAAAGTGCTGGGATTACAGGCATGAGCCATTGTGCCTGGCTGATTTTTAAATTTTTTATACAGATGAGGTTTCATCATGTTGCCCATGCTGGTCTCAAATTCTTGGGCTCAAGTGATCCACCCTCTTTAGCCTTACAAAATGCTGGGATTACAGACATGAGCCACTGCTCCCAGGCATCAAAGTTTCTTTATCAAAGGATGAGTTTGGCCCCCTTTTGGCTCTCTCTTGCCCTCTCTTTGCCCTTCCACCATGGGATAACACAGAATAAGGCCCTTGCCAGATGTCAGCTTCTCAGTCTTGGACTTTCCAGCCTCCCAAATCATGAGCCAATACATTTCTGTTTATTATATATAATAAATAAATAAAAACAAAAATACAAATTTAGGTCACAGGCCAGGCGCAGGAGTTCGAGACCAGCCTGGCCAACATGGTGAAACCCCGTCTCTAGTAAAAAAACAAAAATTAGCCAGGCATGGTAACGCGTGCCTATAATCCCAGCTATTCAGGAGGCTGAGGCAGGAAAATCACTTGAATCTGGGAGGTGGAGGTTGCAGTGAGCCGAGATCGTGCCATTGCACTCCAGCCTGGGCAATAGAGTGAGACTCCATCTCAAAAAAAAAAAAAAAAAATTTAGGTCAGAGACCGATCCTTTGAGATTCTGATAGAGGTTCCAGACTGTCTTTCTGAGAAAAGAATGCATGGCCCATGTGTGGTGGCTCACACCTGTAATTCCAGCACTTTGGGTGGCCGAGGCAGGCGGATCATGAGGTCAGGAGTTTGAGACCAGCCTGACGAACATGGTGAAACCCCATCTCTACTAAAAATACAAAAATTAGCCAGGCGTGGTAGCAGGCGTGGTAGCACGCGCCTGTAATCCCAGCTACTTGGGAGACTGAGGCAGGAGAATTGCTTGAACCTGGGAGGCGGAGGTTGCAGTGAGCCGAGATCACGCCATTGCACTCTAGCCCGGGTGACAGAGCGAGAGTCCATCTCAAAAAAAAAAAAAAAAATGCATGTACACACAGAGATAAAATTCTGAAAATAACTTTAATAGGTGTGCAGGCTCCCAGAAGTCTACTGTGAATTAACAGAATGTCAGGTTAAGAACCATTTGTCTCAACAAAATAAGTAAGTTTAACCAAAGAACTGTAATACCTGTTACTGAAAACTCCAAAACATTGAAAAAAATTTATATATGTATTTGTATCTCACTCTGTCGTCCAGGCTGGAGTGTGATGGCACAATCTCAGCTCACTGCAACCTCTGCCTCCTGGGTTCAAGTAATTCTCTTGCCTCAGCCTCCCGAGTAGCTGAGACTACAGACACACACCACCACGCCGGCTAATTTTAGTATTTTTAGTAGAGACGGGGTTTCGCCATGTTGGCCAGGCTGAACTTGAAATCCTGGCCTCAGGTGATCCACCCACCTCGGCCTCCCAAAGTGTTGGGATTACAGGCATGAGCCACCACTCCTGGCCTATATAATATTGTTTTTTATGGTTTTTTTTTTTTTTTTTTTTCAGACAAGGTCTCTCTCTGTTTCCCATGCTGGAGTGCAGTGGTGTGATCACAGCTCACTGCAACCTTGACTTTCTGAACTCAATCGATCCTCTCACCTCAGCCTTCTGAGTAGCTAGGATTACAGGTGTGTGCCACCATGCCCAGCTAATTTTTGTAATTTTTTTTTTTTTTTTTTTGAGAGGGAGTCTCACTCTGTCGCCCAGGCTGGAGTGCCATGGCATGATCTCGGCTCACTACAACCACCTTCTCCCAAGTTCAAGCGATTATCCCACCTCAGCCTCTCAAGTATCTGGGACTACAGGCGCATGCAACCACGCCCGGCTAATTTTTGTATTTTTAGTAGAGATGGGGTTTCACTATGTTGGCCAGGCTGGTCTCGAACTCCTGACTTCGTGATCCGCCTGCCTTGGCCTCCCAAAATGCTGGGATTATAGGCGTGAGCCACCGCGCCCAGCCTAATTTTTTATTTTTTTTAAATAGTTATGAGGTTTTACCATGTTGCCCAGGCTGGTCTCAAACTCCTGGGTTTGGCCTACAAAACCCAGGCATTGGCCTCCCAAAATGCTGGGATTACCGGCACAAACTGCTGTGCCTGGCCCATAAATGTTGTTAAGATGACAGCACTTCCTGTTATGGTTTGAACGTAGGTATCCCTCCAAAATTCATATGTTGGAATTCAACACGGTACCCTCCTCTTGACCTTATCTATGGGGGATATGTTTCAAGACTCCCAGTGGATGCCTGAAACTGCAGATAGTATCAAACTGTATATGACAATGCTCTGGAGCGCCCAGGACTAGATCTCCTCACTGCTGATTACTAAGAGTACTGCATCAGAGTACAAAGCATGGGAGTCAGAAAATGAGTAATATGGAAGGGAGGGTTGGAAAAAGCAAAGGCTTCTTTTTGGCATATCAGAATGGCCAGGATCACTACTCTTGCATTTTGGGGTGATTTTCTTTTCTTTTTTTTTTCTTTTGTGACGGAGTTTCGCTCTTATCGTACAGGCTGGAGTACAATGGTGCAATCTTAGCTCACTACAACCACTGCCTCCTGGGTTCAGGTGATTCTCCTGCCTCTGCCTCCCTAGTAGCTGGGATTACAGGCATGCGCCACCATACGCGGCTTATTTATTTATTTATTTATTTATTTTTGTGAGATAGAGTGTTGCTCTGTTGCTCAGGCTGGAATGCGGGGCACGATCTCGGCTCACTGGAACCTCCGCCTCCGGGGTTCAAGTGATTCTCCTGACTCAGCCTCCTGAGTAAACTGAGATTACAGGCACACACCACCATGCCCAGCTAATTTTTGTATTTTTAGTAGAGTCGGGGTTTCATCAGGTTGACCAGGCTGGTCTTGAACTCCTGACCTCATGATCTGCCACCTCAGCCTCCCAAAGTGCTGGGATTACAGGCATGAGCCACCGCGTCCCGCTAATTTTGTATTTTTAGTAGAGACGGGGTTTCACCACATTGGTCAGGCTGTTCTCAAACTCCTGACCTCAGGTGATCCACCTGAAGTGTTGGGATTACAGGCATGAGCCACCGCGCCCAGCCTGGGGTGATTATTAAGCAAAACAAGAGTTGCTTGAACACAAGCGCTGTAATACTGTGACAGTTGATTTGATAACTGAGATGGCTACTAAGTGACTAGCAGGTGGGTAGCATATACCGCAGGGATATGCTGAACAAAGGGATAAAATTAACATCCAGGACAGCACAGAGCAGGATGGTGTGAGATTTTAACATGCTACGCAGAATAGCAAGAAATTTAAAACTTATGAATTATTTCTGGAATTTTCAATTTAATATTTTTGGACCGAGGTGGACCATGGGTAAGTGAAACCTCGAAAAGTTCACCACAGATAAGGGGAAACTACTCTATTTATGTGACAGTGTTAAGAGGTAGGACTTCTATTGAAGGGATTAATTCACAAGGGCTCTGACCTCATGTATGGATTAGTACTATTTTTAAAAAAGTTGAAGGGGGCCGAGCGTGGTGGCTCATGCCTGTAATCCCAGCACTTTGGGAGGCCGAGGCAGGTGGATCACGAGGTCAGGAGGTCGAGACCATCCTGGCCAACATGGTGAAACCCCGTCCCTACTAAAAATACAAAAATTAGCCAGGTGTGGTGGCACGTGCTGTAGTCCCAGCTACTTGGGAGGCTGAGGCAGGAGAATCGCTTGAACCTGGGAGGCGGAGGTTGCAGTGAGCCGAGATCTTGCCATTGCACTCCAGCCTGCTGACAGAGTGAGACTCCATCTCAAAAAAAAAGGTAGAAAGGAGTGCTCCATGCCTTTTGTCCTTCAACCATATGAGAAAGGACCAAGAGGCGCCATCTTGGAAGCAGATAGCAATCCTTACCAAGCACCAAATCTGCTAGTGTGTTGATCTTGGACTTCCCAGCTCTAGAACAACGATAAATAAATTTCTATTGTTTATAAATTACTCAGTCTAAGGTAGTTTGTTATAGCAGCAGGAAAAAGCTAAGACATTTCCCAAATTAATCTACAGATTCAATGTAATCCCTATAAAAATTCCAACTGCCTTTTTTTTTTTTTGCAGAAATGAATAAACTGATTCTAAAATTCACATGGAAATGGAAGGGACCCAGAATAGCCAAGACAAAGTAGGAAATGAACAAAGTTGGAGGACTCACACTTCCTAATTTTAAAACCTACTACAAAGCTACTATAATCAACAGCTACTTTGGAAGGCTAAGGTGGGAGGATCACTCAAGGCCAGGAGTTTAAGACCAGTCTGGGCGACATAGTGAGGCTCCATCTCTGCAAAAAATTAAAAAATTAGCCAGGGATAGTGTTGCACACTCATAGTCCTTGCTATTCAGGAGACTGAGGCAGGGGGATTGCTTGAGTCCAGGAGTTTGAGGCTATAGTGAGCTATGATTGCACCATCATACTCCAATCTGGGCAACAGAGTAATGCTCTGTCTCAAAATTAAAAAAAAAAAAATCAACACGGTGTGTGTGGTACTGGCACAAAGATAAACATATACATCAATGGACTAGAATTGATAATTCAGAGGTTGGGCACAGTAGCTCATGCCTGTAATCCCAGCACTTTGGGAGGCCAAGGTGGGTGGATCACTTGAGGCCAGGAGTTTGAGATCAGCCTGGCCAACATGGTGAAAACCCGTTTCTACTAAAAATACAAAAATTAGCCAGGCATGGTTGTGTGCACCTGTAATGCCACCTACTTGGGAGGCTGAGGCATGAGAATCACTTGAACCCAGGAGGTGAAAGTTGCAGTGAGCCAAGATTGTGTCCCTGTACTCCAGCCTGGGCAACAGAGGGAGACTCTGTCTCAGAAAAAAAAAAAAAAAGAAAATTCAGAAATAAACTTGTAATGTAGTAATGTGAAATGAATACTGACTTTTTTTTTGTAAAATTAGTTAAAATTATTTAAAAAAAGAAAAAAGATGGGCCAAGTGTGGTGGCTCATCTCTGCAATGCCAGCAGCACTTTGGGAGGCCAAGGCAGGCAGATCACTTGAGCTCAGAAGTTTAAGACCAGCCTTGGCAACATGGTGAAACCCTGTCTCTACTAAAAATTCAAAAATTATCTGGGTGTGGTGGTGCACACCTGCAGTTCCAGCTACTCAGAAGCCTAGGTGGGAGGATCACTTGAGCCCGGGTGGCAGAGGTTGTAGTGAGCTGAGATTATGCCACTGCACTTCAGCCTAAGTAACAGAGCAAGACCCCATCTCAAAAGAAAAAAAAAAAAAGGGAAAAAAGAAAAAAAGAGGCTGGGTGCAGTGGCTCACACCTGTAATCCCAGCACTTTGGGAGTCCAAGGTGGGCAGATCACCTGAGGTCAGGAGCTCAAGACCAGCTTGGCCAACATGGTGAAACCCTGTCTCTACTAAACATACAAAAAATCAGCCAGGCGTGGTGGCAGGTGCCTGTAATCTCAGCTACTTGGGAGGAGGAGGCAGGAGAATCACTTGAACCTGGGAGGTGGAGGTTGTGGTGAGTCGAGTTTGCACCACTGCATTCCAGCTTGGGCAACAGAGTGAGACTCCATCTCAAAAAAAAAAAAAAAATTAGCCTGGCGTGGTGGCACACACATGTAGTCCCAGCTACTTGGGAGGCTGAGGCAGGAGAATCGATTGAGCCCAGGAGGTGGAAGTTGCAGTGAGTGGAGACTGCGCCACTACACTTCAGCCTGGGCGACAGAGAGAGACTCTGTCTCAAAAAAAAAAGAAAAGAAAAAAGAAATTTATATTACCTATGATCAATTGATTTTTGACAAGGTGTGAAGACCATTTAATGGAGAAAGTCTACTTTCTTCAACAAAAGGTGCCAGGACAACTGGATATTCACATGGCAGGGTTTGTTTTGTTTTGTTTTGTTTTTTTGAGACAGTCTTTCTCTGTCACACAGGCAGGAGTGCAGTGGTGCAATCTTGGCTTACTGAAACCTCCACCTCCCAAGTTCAAGTGATTCTCCTGCTTCAGCCTCCCGAGTAGATGGGATTACAAGCATGCAACACCACACCTGGCTAATTTTTGTATTTTTAGTAGAGACAGGTTTCACCATGTTGGCCAGGCTGGTTTCAAACTCCTGGCCTCAAGCGATCTGCCTGCCTTGCCCTCCCAAAGTACTGGGATTACAGGCATGAGCCACCCAAGCCTGGCCAAGCAAATGAATTTGGATCCATATTTCATACGATTTGCAAAAATCAACCCAAAATAGAAAAAGATCAAAATATAAGAGCTAAAACAATAAAACTCCTAGAAGAAAATACAACTGTAAATCTTTGTGAGCTTGGGTTAGGCAATGGTTTCTCAGATATGATACCAAAAGCACAAGCTACAAAAGAAAAAAGTAGATTTTTTTTTTTTTGAGAGTCTTGCTCTGTTGCCCAGGCTGGAGTGCAGTGGCACAATCTTGGCTCGCTGCAACCTCCACCTCCTGGGCTCAAGGGATTCTCCTGCCTCAGCTTCCTGGGTAACTGGGATTACAGGTGTGTACCACCACACCTGGCTAATTTTTGTATTTTTAGTAGAGACGGGGTTTCGCAATGTTGGCCAGGCTGGTCTTGAACTCCTGACCTCAGGTGGTTCACCTATCTCGGCCTTTCAAAGTGCTAGGATTGCAGGCATGGGCCACCACACCCAGCTGAAAAAAAAAATAGATAACTTGTATGTCTTAGTCCATTTTGTGTTGTTATAAAAGAATATCGTAGACTGAGTAATTTATAAAGAAGAAAAAATTACTTCTCACAATTCTGGAGGCTGGAAAGTCCAACATCAAGATGCCTGCATCCTGTGAGGGCCTTCTTGCTCTGTCATCCCATGGCAGAAGGTGGAAGGGCAAGAGAGCATTCTTGAGAGAAAAGGCAGAACTCGCTTTCATAACAAACTTACTCTAGTGATAACAAACCCACTCCTTTGATAACAACATGAATTCATTCATGAGGATAAAGCCCTCATGATCTAATCACCTCATAAATGTCCCGCTTCTCAGTAGTGTGGCATTGGGGATCATGTTTCCAACACATGAACTTTGGAGGACACATTCAAACCAGAGCACTGGACTTCAACAAAATTAAAAACTTTTGGCCAGGCGCGGTGGCTCGAGCCTGTAATCCCAGCATTTTGGGAGGCCGAGACAGGTGGATCATGAGGTCAGGAGATCGAGACCATCCTGGCTAACACGGTGAAACCCTGTCTCTACTAAAAATATAAAAAAATTAGCTGGGCGTGGTGGCAGGCGCCTGTAGTCCCAGCTACTCAGGAGGCTGAGGCAGGAGAATGGCATGAACCCAGGAGGCGGAGCTTGCAGTGAGCAGAGATTGTGCCACTGCACTCCAGCCTGGGCGACAGAGCAAGACTGCATCTCAAACAAACAAACAAAAATTAAAAACGTTTGTGTGTCAAAGGGCATGCTCAACAAAGTGAAAAAACTCACAGAATGGGAGAAAATATTTGTAAATCATAAATCTGATAAGGATCTAGTACACAGAATATATAAAGAACTTTTACAACTCAACAATAGAAAAATAATCCAACTAAAAGATGGTCAAAAGACGTGAATAGACATTTCTCCAAAGAAGATATATGTATGTCCAATAAACATGTGAAAAGATTTTCAAAATCATTAGTTTTTATCAGCAAAATTCAAATCAAAACCACGATGCAAACCACCTGCTAGGATGGCTATAATTTAAAAAGTGGAAAATAAGTGATGGTGAGAATGTGGAAAAAACAGAACCCAGATGCATTGCTGGTGTGAATGTAAAATGGCATAGCCACCATGGGAAATAGTTTGGTAGTTCTTCAAAAAGTTAAACATACATATGACCCACCAATTCCACTCCTAGGTATATACCCAAGAGAACTGAAAACATATGTACCCACAAAAACTTGTGCAGAGATGTTAATAGCATCTTTATTCAAATAGCCAAAAAGTGAAAACAACCCAATGTCCACTAACTTATGAATGGATAAACAAATTGTGGTATGTTCATATAACAGAATATTATTCAGCCATAAAAAGGAATGACATATTGATACATGCTACAATATGGATGAACCTTGAAAACATTATGCCAAATAAGCCAAACACAAAAGAACAAATACTGTATGATCCTACTTATATGAACTACCTAGATTAGGCAAATTCATAGAGAAAGAAAGTAGATTAGAGGTTACCAGAGGCAGGAATTTGGGGCAAGGACTAGAGAATTATTACTTAATGGGTATAGACTTTCTATTCAGGGTGCTGAAAATGTTCTGGTATTAGATAGTGGTGACAGTTGCAAACCTTGTGAATCTACTAAAAACCACTGAATTGTACATTTAAAAATGGTGAGTTATGGTATGCGAATTGTATCTTAATTGAAAAAATAACAACCTTTAGTCTAAAGAGAAATTCTGCTTTGTTGGCAAAATACATGTCATTAAAAGGAAACATGTTTGAAACACACTATACACATCCTAATTTGGGAAACTCAACACACCTACTTATGATCTCAAATTGCTCCTAAATTTAAAATACAATTATAAATATACATAGTTATAAGCCCTTATGAAGCCTATATTATACTTATATATTTATACTTATTATGGGTTTCTTCTTTGTAGAATAAAATCTGAACAACAGAATGTAACTTCCAATAGGCAATGGAACACACATAAATGCTAAGTTCTTTGGAAACTACAGCAAATACTTGAGGCATAGGTATGTATTTGAAAAGAAATTTATGAAATGTATAGATCATGGCTCAGTTACAAAAGACATCATAATTTAGTTATTCCAGGCCAAGTTAAATTATCAAATTTGCTGTCCTGGCTTTGTTGTCTAGTTTGTTTTTACTTCTTTATGTGTAATTGAGGTGGCTGAAATTGAGGATTTTTCTAGCTTTAAAATTCTGAGCTTATTTGATCTTATTGTGACTTATAGTCAAAGGAGTTTTTGAATTATTTTATTTGCTTGAACTGCATTAAAACATTCACATTTTAAAATTTAGTGATTCCTGGACTATAAGATCTGAAAAGGATGAAACTGCCCTCTCAGCTTTTAGTAAACTGACCAATTGACCTGATTCTAGTAGGAATTAGTCTGAAACAACACCACCACCTGGTGGCTTCTCTTCAAATATCACAATTTCCTTGAAGATGACGGTTTGGCTTCTTGTATCAAATTAGGACAAGTGCTTCAGTTACGACTATCTTAGGAAACAAGTTTAATCATATTGCAGAATATATGCTTAAGAACTAAACTAATATTTAGGGCCTTGGCCTCAAAAACTTATTTTGTAATTTAAATATTTGTTTAATGGCCATGTACAGGAACAAAATAGTGAACAAATAGACAAAAATACTTGCATTCATAGATCTTACATTCTAGTGAATGTAAGACAATAAATAATCAGCATAATAAGCAAGTAAATTATAATCTGGTGAGAAGTATTAAAACATCAGGCTAAGGGTAGGTTGCAATTTTTTTTAAAATTATACTTTAAGTTCTAGGGTACATGTGCACAAGGTGCAGGTTTGTTACATATGTATACATGTGCCATGTTGGTGTGCTGCACCCATTAACTCGTCATTTGCATTAGGTATATCTCCTAATGCTATCCCTCCACCCTCCCCTCACCCCACTACAGGTCTCGGCGTGTGATGTTCCCCTTCCTGTGTCCAAGTGTTCTCATTGTTCAATTCCCACCTATGAGTGAGAACATGTGGTGTTTGGTTTATTGTCCTTGTGATAGTTGGCTGAGAATGATGGTTTCCAGCTGCATCCATGTCCCTACAAAGGACATGAACTCATCCTTTTTTATGGTTGCATAGTATTCCATGGTGTGTATGTGCCTCATTTTCTTAATCCAGTCTATCATTGATGGAGATTTGGGTTGGTTCCAAGTCTTTGCTATTGTGAGTAGTGCTGCAATAAACATACGTGTGCATGTGTCTTTATAGCAGCACGATTTATAATCCTTTGGGTATATACCCAGTAATGGGATGGCTGGGTCAAACGGTATTTCTAGTTCTAGATCCTTGAGGAATCACCACACTGTCTTCCACAATGGTTGTACTAGTTTACAGTCCCACCAACAGTGTAAAATTGTTCCTATTTCTCCACATCCTCTCCAGCACCTGTTGTTTCCTGACTTTTTAATGATTGCCATTCTAACTGGTGTGAGATCATTGTGCTTTTGATTTGCATTTCTCTGATGGCCAGTGATGATGAGCATTTTTTCATGTGTCTTTTAGCTGCATAAATATCTTCTTTTGAGAAGTGTCTGTTCATATCCTTTGCCCACTTTTTGATGGGGTTGTTTGTTTTTTTCTTGTAAATTTGTTTGAGTTCTTTGTAGATCCTGGATATTAGCCCTTTGTCAGATGAGTAGATTGCAAAAATTTTCTCCCATTCTGTAGGTTGTCTGTTCACTCTGATGGTAGTTTCTTTTGCTGTGCAGAAGCTCTTTAGTTTAATTAGATCCCATTTGTCAATTTTGGCTTTTGTTGCCATTGCTTTTGGTGTTTTAGACATGAAGTCCTTGCCCATGCCTATGTCCTGAATGGTATTGCCTAGGTTTTTTTCTAGGGCTTTTATGGTTTTAGGTCTAACATTTAAGTCTTTAATCCATTTTGAATTAATTTTTGTATAAGGTGTAAGGAAGGGATCCAGTTTCAGCTTTCTACATATGGCTAGCTAGTTTTCCCAGCACCATTTATTAAATAGGGAATCCTTTACCCATTTCTTGTTTTTTTCAGGTTTGTCAAAGATCAGATGGTTGTAGATGTGTGGTATTATTTCTGAGGGCTCTGTTCTGTATCATTGGTCTATATCTCTGTTTTGGTACCAGTATCATGCTGTTTTGGTTAATGTAGCCTTGTAGTATAGTTGAAGTCAGGTAGCATGATGCCTCCAGCTTTGTTCTTTTGGCTTAGGATTGACTTGGCAACGCGGGCTCTTTTTTGGTTCCATATGAACTTTAAAGTAGTTTTTTCCAATTCTGTGAGGAAAGTCATTGGTAGCTTCATGGGGATGGCATTGAATCTATAAATTACCTTGGGCAGTATGGCCATTTTCACAATACTGATTCTTCCCATCCATGAGAATGGAATGTTCTTCCATTTGTTTGTGTCCTCTTTTATTTTGTTGAGCAGTGGTTTGTAGTTCTCCTTGAAGAGGTCCTTCACATGCCTTGTAAGTTGGATTCCTAGGTATTTTATTCTCTTTGAAGAAAACTGGCACAAGACAAGGATGCCCTCTCTCACCACTCCTATTCAACATAGTGTTGGAAGTTCTGGCCAGGGCAATCAGGCAGGAGAAAGAAATAAAGGGTATTCAATTAGGAAAAGAGGAAGTCAAATTGTCCCTGTTTGCAGAAGACATGATTGTATATTTAGAAAACCCCATCGTCTCAGCCCAAAAATCTCCTTAAGCTGATACTTCAGCAAAGTCTCAGGATACAAAATCAATGTGCAAAAATCACAAGCATTCTTATACACCAATAACAGACAAACAGAGAGCCAATTCATGGTTGCAATTTTTAAATAGGATGACATTTGAGGTGAGATCAATTCTACATGGTTGTCTAAAGAAAAAAATTCTAAAGACTTTAAAGAAAAAAATTCCAAAGACTTACAATCTAAACATTTAGTTTTGACCAGGTGCAGTGGCTCATACCTGTAATCCTAACACTTTGGGAGGCTGAGGCAGGAGGATCACTTGAGTCTAAGAAGTCAAGCTCAGCCTGGGCAACAGAATGGGACCCCATTTCTATGAACAAATTAAAAATTTTTAAATTTGCTTTTCACGCCTGTAGTCCCAGTTACTTGTGAGGCTGAGCTGGGAGAATCGCTTGAGCCCTGGAGGTCTAGGCTGACATGAGCCATGATGACACTACTGTACTCCAGCCTAGGTGACAAAGTGAGACCCTGTCTCAAATAAATAAATACATAAATAAATGAAAACCAAACATTTAGTTTTAATTCTAGCATGATGCTATAATTCTACTTCCTCAAAGACTTCATTTTAATAAGTAGGAAACTATAATACTAGGTCAATATTAATAGGAATGACTACATTTTGAAAAGCAACATTGCCCTAAAGATATGTATCTTTCCTACAGAGTAATGGCTGTCATTAGTTAGAATCATAAAATATACAGGAAATGGCAGTTTTGTTATTTTATTTTTCAACACCTTATCATGACCTTTATGCATTTGCGTTCCTATAAAAGTAGGAACCTTGCTGTGGTCATAAACTGAGAGAAGCAGTGGTGGAGGTGGGATGTAATCACCAATAAAGATTAGCTAAGTTTCTCTTGGCTATTTATGACTTTGTTAATTATAAATTTGTCTCAACACTTTTATTCTTTTTTAAAATTTTTTAAAATATGGAACACTTCAATTTGCATGTCATTGTTGTGCAGAGGCCATGCTAATCTTCCTTGTATTCTTCAATTTTAGTGTATGTGCTGCTGAAACAAGCTCTCAATACTTTTTTAAAAAACCTTGAGTATTATGTGTTGATAACTATTCTATTTCATGTGCGTTGGCTCATTAAATCTCTTTATTCAATGTCTCAACACTTTATTTATCCATTTATTAGCAAAAAGGTCTTGCTCTGTTGCCCTAGCTAGATCGTAGTGGCTTGATCATAGCTCACAGCAGCCTCAAACTTCTGGGCTCAAGCAATCCTTCTGCCTCAGCCTCCGAAGTAGCCGGGACCACAGGTGTGTGTCACCAGGCCTGGCTAATTACAAAAATAATTTTCTTTTTTAGATACGGGGTCTCATTATATTGCCCAGCTGGTCTTGAACTGCTGACCTCAATCTATCCTTCCGCCTCAATCCAAAGTGCTAGGATTACAGGCATGAGCCATTGCTCTGGCCTTTGTTTTGTTTTCAATGCCTGTAGGGAATTAGGTCAGTTCTTTACTAACAAAGCAAAGCATTATATGATCAAATTTTGAAAAATGAGAATTTTTGATCAAAATGCCTAATGGGTCTTTTTTAGTCTTTATTACACTGTTATTTCCACAGTGACTTGTAACTAGGTGCTTAATATAGATTCTGAAAGGCTGTCAATACATTTAAATTTGTATATAGTATTTCAGTTTACAAAGCATCGCGATATATATCTCATTTATCTGGTTCAGAATATGTAGTTTGAATACACAATTATATTACAGCACATTTTTCCTTTCAGTTCTATTTTATTTATTTTTTTGAGATGGAGTCTTGCTCTGTCGCCCAGGCTGGAGTGCAGTGGTGCGATCTCAGCTCACTGCAACCTTCGCCTCCCGGGTTCAAGAGATTCTCCTGCCTCAGCCTCCCGAGCAGCTGGCATTACAGGCACCTGCCACCACACCCGGCTAATTTTTGCATTTTTAGTAGAGACAGGGTTTCACCATGTTGGCCGAGCTGGTCTTGAACTCCTGACCTCAGGTGATCCACCCACCTCGGCCTCCCAGAGGGCTGGGATTACAGGCATGAGTCACCGTGCCCCGCCTCAGTTCTCTTTTAAAGGGAATCTGTATTTTCAAGAATTACACACATCATACTCAAATATAAATCTGACATTGACCTAAGTTTGAAGTAGTAATGGCCAAGATCTTTCAAGCAGCAGCAAACTAATCTTGTTTAAGAGGAGGTATTATAGAATCATAAGCACAGAGGTCCAATAATTAGACCACACAGTGCTTACAAAGGATAGCCTTAGAAAGGTTCAGGTGTTTAGGTAGAGCCCTTCTCCCCTTCTCAAACCATTAACAAAAATAAAAATAAACAAAACAAAACTTTTCCTTGCAGGAAAATTTCCGTGAACCTGTGGTTTTGGGGGCAAGGATGAGAGCAAGAGGCAAAAACTAGTTCAGAACCTAGACAACTAGTGGAGTCTGCAAACAAATCAAAACCAAGATAGGCATGGTTGGTGAGCATGTAAATTGGTATAGCCACTATGGAAGGCAGTATGGAGGCTCCTCAAAAAATTAAAAATAGAACTACAGTATAAACCATATAGTATATACCATATATATCATATATGCATATGTACCATATATACAATATATACGTATATACCATATATTCTGGGTATATATCCAAAGAAAATGAAATCAGTATGTCAAAGAGATATCTGCATCACCATGCTCATTGCAGCATTATTCATAATAGCCAAAGTATGGAATCACCTAAGAGTGAACTGATGGATAAAGAAAACGTGAAATGTAAAAATGTGGTATATGTATGTATATTTATATATATAATGAATACTATGCAGCCTTTAAAAAGAAGAAAATCCTGTCATTTGTGACAACATGGGTGAATTTATGCTAAGGGAAATAAGCTAGGCACAGAAACACAAATACTTCATGATCCCACTTATATGTAGAGTCAAAAAAAGTGGAACTCATAGAATGAGAGCAGAATAATGGCGGGATCTTGGCTCACTGCAACCTCTGCCTCCCAGGCTCAAGTGATCCTCCCATCTCAGCCTCTCAAGTAGCTGGGACTACAAGTGCCACTGTGCCTGGCTAATTTTTTTATTTTTTTGTAGAGATGGGGTCTCACTATGTTGCCTAGGCTGGACTCCAACTCCTGGGCTCAAGGGATCTGCCCGCCTCGGCCTCCCAAAGAGCTGGGATTACAGGCCTGAGCCACGACACCTGGCCGACCTTAAATATTCTTAGCACAAAATAAACATATACACACAAGCACACACGACTATGTGAGGTGATGGGTATGTTATCATTTCACAACATATACAACTATGAAAACATCACATGGTACACTGTAAATATATACAATTTTTATTTAAAGCTAGAAAAATTCTTTTAAAATAAACTAAAAAGGCAGTCCATAAGCTTCTGTTGAATGGATGAAAATCTCTACCATAAATAAAAACATAATATGCAAAGGTATTAATAAGATTTGGAAGAAAACCTAAGAGAGTATTAACAGTAGTGACTACTGGGGATCACCGAGATACAGGGTATTAGGGATGGAAGGTTTACTTTTCTCTTTTTTTTTTTGAGACGGAGTGTCGCTCTGTCGCCCAGGCTGGAGTGCAGTGGCACGATCTCGACTCACTGCAACTTCTGCCTCCTGAGTTCAAGTGATTCTCCTGCCTCAGCCTCCTGAGTAGCTGGGACTACAGGCGCCCGCCACCACGCCTGGTGAATTTTCTGTATTTTTAGTAGAGACGGGGTTTCACCGTGTTAGCCACGATGGTCTCGATCTCCTGACCTCGTGATCCGCCCGCCTCGGCCTCCCAAAGTGCTGGGATTACAGGCGTGAGCCACCGCGCCCGGCCGGAAGGTTCACTTTTCAATGGATCTTTGGGAAGTTTCAAAACATACATGCTCAACCTTTAAAAATTTCTCTAGGGGAAATCCCTTCTCCACATCCTATAGGTGTGCTTCCTTCTTCCTCTCCACACACTTCACTATCAAAACCTACATTACTTCCAACAGTCGACCCTCGAGGGAATAAGTCCCTGGTCCCCACGATCGGGACCAGCCAGTCCACACTGCCGACCCCTGAAAGGCGGTCTCAGCTGCTCGGTCAGCGAGAAAAAAAGCCGGCGAGGTCCTCGTCCTGCAGGCCACAGCGAAGACAAAAACCTCTGGTTACTGGCCTCAGGTGCAAGGCTGCTCCGCATTGGCAGCGCGGTACCATTCCTATTATTATTACGTAGTCTTGTTTCTTTCTGGGAGAAAGCACCTAGGGAGAGTTGGGCTGGCCCCGCAGGGCGCTCCGGGACACGCGTCCTCTGCAACGCCGCAGCCTGCGCCAGCGTTCGACCGGGACGACTCATCGAGGCCCGACTCGCATTTTCAGTTGTCAGATTCGCCACTTTTTGGTGTCAGAATTTAAAACAAAAATTCCAATTTCTCTATTTCAGAAGCTCTTTCTGTCCAGAAAAACACAAGCAGGAGAGACTTCAGGTTTTTGAATTATTCGTCTCTTCTGGCCTCCACGGTATCTACATCCAGTGAGCGGGGACCGTGAGTCGAAAGCGACGACGCGGATGCTCAGGCCACCGTTCCCGGCGCGCAGTCGCAGCTGACCCTCGCTCCCGCCCCCGCCTGGAGTCCGACGTGGAAGTTGCTGGCTGACTGGGCTTGCGAGGAAACCGCCTCGGAGCTGCAGCCGAAGGCCAAGGAATCACTGAAGATCGGCGAGGGAGGACAGGGGGTTCATCATGGGTGAGGGGTTCGAGAAGGGCACCTGGGCGCGCTCGAGGGAGCCGCGGCCGAGGGCTGGGGTGCAGAGGAGGAGAGGGGCCGGCCAGGATACCCTAGAGTAGCCAGCTCCTCAGGGGGCGGGTCGCGGAGGACTTGACTCACTTTGGATCTTCATCTGTAGGGGTGGATCCGGCCTCTCGCGTTCTCCTCCGTCCTCTCTCGGTTCCCCTTGATTCCTGCGGGGTCCAGGGACCCGGACAGCTTGGGGACGTCCGCAGAGCCTGGGTTCGAGTTCTTTACCCTTATCATGAAGTTTTCCCTCATCCCCAGCTCCACTTGCTGGGCAGAGTTGTTCTTGCGGAGGCTGGCAACGCGTCAGTCGCAGGTTCGCCGAGGTTTCTTGGTGAAAGATGAGCTGCGGCCCCAGAGTGGAAGCTTAATCATTCTCTTTACCAGGGGCGCTGGGACGGCGTCAGTTTGAAAAACCTGAGAGCAGGTGTTGCTTATGTTGTTTTATGGCCAGTTTGGCATTTGTCTGCTAATCTGCTGTAGCGTTTCATGTAATAATACGGGTATTTCTAGTCGGCAAATGAAACTTTATTCTTGGTTCTTGGCCCGCTGATTGAGGGAACTGCATTCTCACAAGCATCAGGTAACACCCTCGCCCCGCTAGAACCCAAGTGAGGGTGCACATTCTTTAACTCGTTTCTCACCCTCCAAATGAAGGTGCAGATTCTTTGGCTTGGTTAAATCCCTCCACAGTTTTCTGGGGAGCATACTTCTTGCTCCCAAGCATCACAGGCGCTGTCCTGTCTTCCATAACCGCCTTCAGTTTTGTTCCGCCTCTCTTCTACCTGTAAATGGTAGAAAGGACTTTGTCAAGTCACACCTATTCTGTTGAACTTTCCCAAGGTTCTCTAGCCCATGGTGTTGTTCATTTTTCAACTCGCAGCTCTTAGTTATGCCATGTCTTTGCCAAATAACAGTGTGGCATCACTTCTGATGTTAACTATTTTTTTTTGTATTAATGTAACTTGTTTTTAATCTTCTCTAATGGCTCTGGATGGGAAAAGGACTGTGCTTTTTATCCTACACAATACTTGGTGTACAGGAAGCTTTCTGGGAATATTTTGTGATGCATTGGATAGAGCTTTATTATTTTTAAAAGTGGGTTTTTTGTCAAAAATAGTTATTGTTTTCAGCTTTTTTCTCAATTTCTTGTACTAGCTATATTGCTTCGTGGAGAACTCTGATTGAAGTTGGTTATAGTGGTACTGCTGCTGTACAGTACTTTTCCTGTGCGAGGATTACATTGTCCCACTATCCTCCTTACTGGCCCCTTGGTTTTTAGGGGTAGTGAGGGGATCATGCTAAAATATTCCTATTCTGCTGATTAGAAAATGAGATTCCCAAAGGCCGCGGCCATATTTCTCTTATTATTTGGTTTATCTTCTGTGCCTGCATGACACAATAGTAACATAACTAAGGACATAGTAACATAACTAATTACTTGTTTGATATTGAATAATATATTTCATTGGGAGGAAAAATATGCACCTACGCATCCAGGAAATTATAATATTTAATTTGGTATTTAGCTCTCAAAGGACAAGGTTAGATGTTTTGTATACCTAGTTCACAAAATGACATTGTGTATGTTTTTTCTTTTATTATTTTTTAGGTGGCTTTTTCTCAAGTATATTTTCCAGTCTGTTTGGAACTCGGGAAATGAGAATTTTAATTTTGGGATTAGATGGAGCAGGAAAAACCACAATTTTGTACAGATTACAAGTGGGAGAAGTTGTTACTACTATACCTAGTAAGTGTTGGTATGATGAGCTAATTGTAGGGACTTTCTGGTCTCCATCCAACATAACTATTTCTTTCTTTCTTTTTTGTTTGTTTTAGTAGAGATCAGGTATCATCACTATGTTGTCCAAGCTGGTCTTAGACTCTTGGCCTCAAGTGATCCTCCTGCCTTGGCCTCCCAAAGTGCTGGGATTACAGGCATGAGCCACTATGCCAGGCCTATTTCTGAATAAATTAATTCATATAATAAAGTATTTGATAAAGTTTGTAAACTGCTAGTATGAACATAACATTGATAACACTTTTTCCATCAACTAAGAGGCAGCTTAGTGTAATTTAAGGACCCTTGTTCTGGTTTACGGCCGGGTTGGGCTGTTTATAGGTTTAAGTTACTAAATCTTACTGAGAGCCAGTATCTTTACTAATAAAATACATAAGATAACAAATACCCACTGGTTTTCAGGGGGAAATAAACAAAGTAGGTAAAAGTACCTTTTAAATCTGTGTAAAGAATTATATAAATGTTAAGTGATGTTACATGTGAAGTGCCTTTTTTTCCTGTATTTGTTACTATTTTAATTAAGATTAGTTTATCTTAGGTAATTATATTGATTACTTTTAAAGATCTGAGTTGCAGAGACTGAGTGTTGAAGTAATTTGGTACCTTAAAAATATCAAGAGAAGGCCGGGCACAGGAGCTCACGCCTGTAATGGCAGCACTTTGGGAGGCCAAGGCGGGTGGATCACCTGAGGTCGGGAGTTGGAGACCAGCCCAACCAACATGGAGAAACCCCATCTCTACTAAAAATACAAAATTAGCCAGGCGTGGTGGTGCATGCCTGTAATCCCAACTACTCGGAAGGCTGAGGCAGGAGAATCGCTTGAACCTGGGAGGCAGAGGTTGTGGCAGGCCAAGATTGCACCATTGCACTCCAGCCTGGGCAACAAGAGCAAAACTAGGTCTCAAAATATATATGTGTATATGTATATATTTATTAAGAGAAGAAATACCTCAATTTTAATCAATTATTACTGTCTTACAAAAATATTCTCCAACAGTCTTACTGACTATATGAGAATACTGTTGTTATTTATACTTTTTTCATTTGTTGCCTTGAATTTACTTAGAGAAGAGTAGTACATTTAAATTAAAGAGTTCATACAGTTTGCTCAAGATTTTTTAAATTATGCCTCTAATGTTAGTCTGTCACTCAGGGTATTTCTATATTGTTACTGTTTAAATTTATGGACTAAAACGAAAGAGGCTAGCCTCTAAGAAAGAAGAGCGTTTTGAACCCTGTAATGTCTGTTATTCCTTTTTGCTACCTTCAGTAAATTTTAGTGCCCTTAGTTTTTGCTTCTCAAAATCACCCATCTCTGTCTGGGCATCTCCTGCAGTGCACAGAGCAGCACAGTGGATAGTTTGGAGTTTCAGTGAGTGCTGCTTTACACCACACTCTTTGTTGAGACAGTGTCTTGCTTTTTTGCCCAGGCTGGAGTGCAGTGGCACATTCATAGCTCACTGCAGCGTCTACCTCTACCTCTACCTCCTGGGCTCAAGCGATCTTCCCACCTCAGCCTCCCAAAGTGTTGGGATTACAGGCATGAGCCACTGCACCCAGTCTACACCATTCTCTTGTCTTGCACATATAAACGATGTTTTTTACTGTTGGTGAACATTGTGATTACACTCCTACCTAATTCTAAGGGAGACATCATGAACTTGCATTTTAGTTTTTTGCTCAAATTTGTCATAGTATTGTTATTTTTTAATTGTAATAGACATACTTGCCAAATACTCAAAGGTATCACTTACCACTGCAGACTTAAATATAAAACAAAAGCTAATTGTCCAGTTATACCTGGAAGTTATTTTTTATTTATTTATTTTTTTGAGACAGAGTCTCACTCTATTGCCCAGGCTGAAGTGCAGTGGCAAGATCTCGGCTCACTGCAACCTGTGCCTCCCAGGTTCAAGCGATTCTCATGCATCAGCCTCCAGAGTGGCTGGGATTACAGGCATGTGCCACCACACCCGGCTAATTTTTGTATTTTTAGAAGAGATGGGGTTTCACAGTGTTGGCTAGGCTGGTCTCGAACTCCTGACCTCAGGTGATCCACCCGCCTTGGCCTCCCAAAGTGCTGGGATTACAGGTGTGAGCCACCGCACCCAGCCATGGAAGTTATTTTTTACCTATTTTTCACCTAAGAAGGATGGCAGAGAAAAGGGATGGGACACCTGCCCTTTGACCACCCAGCCATGACCTTATTACAAGTGAGTTCTGGAGGATGTCTGCAGATGGGCTGTGAGATTGAAAGCTGCAGCCATGGCTGTGTCCATGCTGTAGTTTAGAACTGAAGTTTAGCTTTTTTTCTTTTGGTCTGTTTATTTGCTGCCAGCCAAAATTCTGCTTTTTATAGTACATCCACAACTGTACTTTCTAAATACAGCTTTCGAACACTTTTAACTACTCTATTATGAGGGGAGTTTAATATAATAGGATTTCCATTGAGCTAAAAATTATGTTTTCCTTTTTATTTCTTTTTTAAATTCTTTTTTTAATTTATTTGAGCTAAAATTATATACTTTATTTGCAGAACTGCTGGCTTTTAAAAAATATCCTGAAGATGGTATTGATCTTGCTAATTGATGTTTTGTGCACACACCTGCACATGTGTGGGGGAGCAGAGCATACTATTTCGTCTTAAATGGTATAAAATCTCAACCAATAATGTGATTCAACAATTACCATTTCTTTTTAACTCGAATCCTAAGACAAATTATATATATATATATTTTAAACTCTAATAACAGTTACCATTAATTGCTGTAACTCAATTAGATAGGATATTTTGAAGGTGGAATGTATTAGTCTACACATACCACTGATTTGATTTCTCTTCCAGCCATTGGATTTAATGTAGAGACGGTGACGTACAAAAACCTTAAATTCCAAGTCTGGGATTTAGGAGGACAGACAAGTATCAGGTATGGTACAAAGACCAGGTTATTTGGTAGTATTTGACATTTATTGATTCTTTTAAGGGTTAAAATCAGTAAACCCGAATATGTGTTCTATTGTAATTTAAATGGAGCCACCTAGTTTAAAATGAGGTAAAATTGGGAACTATTTCCTTAGAGCATCCATTGAGTTAAAACTTAAGGAAGCCCAGTTTTCCAGATACCTGTTTAATGAAAATCTTTTCACGAAAATCTCAAGACCTTATTACTTCAGCTATTCTCAATTAGAAAGGACCCTCCATTTAGTTCTTGTCAGTCTCTCCTCTCTGAAACACATTGTTTTGGAATTCATTAAAGTACCTTGCAGGCATACCATTTAGGGCTAATATAAAAATAAATGCCATTGGCCGGGCATGGTAGCTCACGCCTGTAATCCCAGCACTTTGGGAGGCCGAGGTGGGCGGATCATCAGGTCAGGAGTTGGAGACCAGCCTGACCAACATGGTGAAACCTCGTCTCTACTAAAAATACAAAAATTAGCTGGGCATGGTGGTGCGTGCCTATAATTCCAGCTACCTGGGAGGCTGAGGCAGGAGAATTGCTTGTACCAGGACTTGGGAGCTGGAGGTTGCAGTGAGCTGAGATCGCGCAACTGCACTCCAGCCTGGGCTACAGAGCAAGACTCTGTCTCAAAAAAAATAAATGAATAAATAAAAAATAAATGCCTTCTGAAGTTCAGGTCTTCTGCTTAGCATTTTGGGCTTGACATGGCAACAGTGAATGTTTGATGACCGTCAGTAGTTGGTCACGATAGTACCATCTTAAAAGATTAGTAATGCATTCTCCAAACATTCTGACTTCTTTTAACTCATTTCTTGAATCACGTTTCTTTTTTTTTAAATTGTGCAGCCTCCCAAGCCAGAGTAGGCTCAGAGAGACTCCATTGAATCACTTTTGAGTTTATTTATAATTTTAGCCATTTCTACTGCTTGATGTCAGTGATTAATTTCATGACTGTTAAATAAAATCACGTTTAAAAAGTTTATTCCTCTTAAGGGGTGCCTAGTTAAAGATTTGTTTAAGAAGATGTAATGATCAGGTCTGTGTACAACTTTTCTATCAGTATATTTAGTGATTTCATAGATTATAAATAAATTTTGTCAGCCTGAAGTCTGAATGAATTCATTTGGAAACTCCCTGGTCCTGTGAGTCAATGTTTATCAACATTCTTTTTTTTTTTTTTTTTTTTTTTTTTGAGACAGAGTTTCACTCTTGTTGCCCAGGCTGGAGTGCAATGGCACCATCTCAGCTCACTGGAACCTCTGCCTTCCTGGTTGAAGTGATTTTCCTGCCTCAGCCTCCCGAGTAGCTGGGATTACAGGCACCTGCCACCATGTCCAGCTAATTTTGTATTTTTAGTAGAGATGGGGTTTCTCCATGTTGGTCAGGCTGGTCTCGAACTCCCGACCTCAGTTGATCTGCCCTCCTCAGCCTCCTAAAATGCTGGGATTACAGATGTGAGCCACCGTGCCCAGCCAATGTTTATCAACATTCTTTTGACTCCATCACATCTGAGGGATATGGTACATATATCCACCAGAAACAGTGAATCATTAAGGCATTGATTCTAACATGTGTGGGACAGAATTGGCAATTGATATGTCAGTTTCTTCCTTAAAACAATAACAATATGTTCTCCCCTTTTAAATTTTCTCTAGGCCATACTGGAGATGTTACTATTCAAACACAGATGCAGTCATTTATGTAGTAGACAGTTGTGACCGAGACCGAATTGGCATTTCCAAATCAGAGTTAGTTGCCATGTTGGAGGTAAGAAAACGTAACCACTTTAAAATGTGGGGCAGTCATTTACATATTATTACATTGAAGAATAATTAAAAAGAATGCAGGGGTTGTTCCCTCCATCCTTTTAAAATTATTTTCTTTTATGGAAATGATTTTCTATTCCAAAAATACAGTTGAGGAGGGTTGGAGACAAAACAACAACAAAAATTAACCTCGTAACTTCCTCTTCAAGCCAGATTGCTTGATTTTCCAGGAGGTTCAGAAGAGCTCACTTAAACAAAAGCATCTATTCTAAGTCACTTCTTTGATGTGACTTTTAAAATATGTCTTTTTATTTTTAGCTGTTTTAGAAGGATTCAAGTTCAGAGAAATATGTATTTCTGGGTTACTGGCACAATGCTGGCCTCACGTTTATCGTTTTTTATCCTTCCCAGTGTTTACAGTGCTTTTGACCTTCTTTCTGTTCTTTGGACACGAGCTTGCACACCTGGCTCAGGGCCTTTTGCACTTGCTGATCCGTCTGCTTGGAATACTATTCTCCAGCATCTTTGCATGGCTGCCTTCCTGACGTGTTTCTTCCCACATCTCTTCCCCAGAAAGAAGTCTTATTTATTCTCTAATCCTTTACCCTTCTTTATTCTTTATACCGATATTGTTTCTTTTTTTTCTTTTTCTTTTTCTTTTTTTTTTCTTTTTTTTTGTAGAGACGGGGTCTACCTATGGTGCCCAGGCTGGTCCCAAACTCCTGTCCTCAAGTGATCCTCCTGCCTCGGCCTCCTAGTGTTGGGATTACAGGTGTGAGCCATTGCACCCCACTTACTGTTTTTTTACATTATTTTTAAATGTATTTGTTGGCTGGGCGTGGTGGCTCACGCCTGTAATCCCAGCACTTTGGGAGGCCGAGGCGGGCAGGTCACCAGAGATCATCAGGAGTTTGAGACCAGCCTGTCCAACATGGTGAAACCTCATCTCTACTGAAAATACAAGAAAATTAACCGGGCATGGTGGTGTGTGCCTGTAGTCCCAGCTACTTGGGAGGCTAAGGCAGGAGAGTCACTTGAACCCAGGAGGCAGAGGTTGCAGTGAGCCGAGATCGTGCCCCTGCACTACAGCCTGGGTGACAAGAGTGAGACTCTGTCTCAAAAAATAAAAATTAAAAAAAAATATATTTGTTTACTTATGTATCTCTCCCTCTAAAATGTAAGTTCTTTGAGTTTACCCTGATAGGAGGAACAATGTATAGTACTTAATTAAGAATTCAATACATCTTATTCACTGAAGTTAATAAGATCATATATTGGCTAACTGATCAAATTCAGAGGATGCATTAAATAATCCATTTTTAAAAAATGAAAAAATAATCAAATGTACTATGATAATAATAAAATTGCCCTTGCTCTGGAAAATTAGATGGATAAGTTTCTTTCTCTTGTCAAAAACTGGATTCTGAATTGTTTAATCAAGGGATGTTTAAATATAAGTTCTAGGCCAGTTGATACCTAGGTAAAAGCATCCTCAGACGAGGGGACTATGTACTTTTGAATTCTTTTTTTTTTTTTTTTTT